>NC_000001.11:181669435-181972465 GCF_000001405.40 Homo sapiens | reverse complement strand
AAGCCAAAGCAGAACACCTTCATCTGACAGGCACAGAACTAGGTGCCTTGGTGGTTACAAAGATCAACTGCATGTTCTTGTGCTCAAGAGTTACAATGCCCTCCTCTGGAAAAGAGTTGCCAACCTATGACTAACTCTGACAAAGCAGCCCCTGAAGCTGCCATTTTTGCTTCCTGCCTGGACTTCTTGCAAACTTGGAATGGGGCAAACTGATAAGAGTTAAAACTTGTTGGCTGAGTGTGGTGGTTCACGCCTATAATCCCAGCAGTTTGGGAGGCCGAGGCGGGTGGATCACTTGAGGTCAGGAGTTTGAGAACAGCCTTGCCAACATGGTGAAACCCCATCTCTACTAAAAATACAAAAGTTAGCTGGGCCTGGTGGTGCATGCTTGTAATTCCAGCTTCTCAGGAGGCCGAGATATGAGAATCACTTGAACCCAGGAGGTAGAGGTTGCAGTGAGCCAAGATTGCACCACTGTGCTCCAGCCTGGGCGACAGAGTGAAATTCTGTCTTAAAAAACAAAACAAACAAACAAACAAAAAACTGTTTTGGGGGATTAGTTTTATTATACTGTATTAGCATTATATACATTAAATATTAGAGTATTATATATTTTAGGTTTTTTTAACCTGATTTTAGTTTTCAAAGCTTCACAAATGTGCAATTCTGAGTTGCAATTTGATTTGGGAGCCATTTACAGAGATGAAGATAAATGATAGAATAGATAGAATAAGTAGATAGATGAGATAGTGTGACCTGACCAAAGGGAGGAAATTATAACACCTTAGGGTTGTGAGGGAAACTTAGCAGTCAATTAGAGTCACCACTCCAGGAGTTGAGTGGGCCTAACAAGCTCTCATGAGCTGTCAGGCCACCAGAACCTCACTCTATTCTGAAAGTGTGATAACAACTAGCATCTGGCTTTCAGAGTAATTAATCTACCACCAGGTCAGTAGCTGACATCCCAGGATAATTTTTTACCTTTTATCATCTTATAACTCATCTTTCTAATGTTTTGAAAGACTATGGATAAATATAACACCTGTCAACCAGTTAAGAAAGAACATTTCTATCTAAAAACATAACTTTATGGAAGTTCTTGATATGACATTTGTTTTACAAGCTCAAATATTTTAATCTTTCTTTTACCATCCAAACAGAACTTGCTTCTTGTATTCTTACCTGTAAGTTTCTCTCTGCTTCTCCCAATGTCCTTCCCATTTCTTTACCCTCTGTTTTTCTTTTCTTCAAAAACTTAGAGCAGACAGACCTTTTCTGACACAAGCTGTTTGGAATTGGACTTGTTACCTCTTCAAAATTCCTTTTTTTTTTTTTTTTTTTTTTCTGAAAAATGGGGATAATAGCAGCTTCACAGAGGTTTTTCAAGGTTAAATGAGTAATAAAGATAGGGCCTATAGCTCAGTATCCAGCACATAAAGTGTTATAATTGCCTAGCTCTTATATTTAGCCATTGCTGCCAGTGTTACTGTTTTTATTTTTATTTATTCATAGGTCCTTTTCTGTTTCTTTTTTCCTATGTCAGAAAGCCATTTCTAGATTTTCCTGGGTTTTCTATTCATGTAAGGCCGTCTTCTATGTAAATCCAGAGGTTTGCTCATGTGTCAAAATGTTTTCAACCCATAATTGGAAATATCTATGATGAAGATGTAGGTACCATGATGTTTACTCTGGATGTGGGGACCTGGGACTTCTTTTTCAATTTCTAGTGATGATCTACACACAGCAGTTTATAATAAAAATTGTTACTGAGGACTGAATAGAGGAGGCATTTTATTGCCCTGTTTGGTCAGTCTCCATGGAAATTTGACCCCAACTATAACAAAGTTATTAGTTGACAAAGACAACCTTGGAGGGGGACTGGGAGGGCAGAGTCTGTTTTACCCCCACCTCCTCAGGTTTGCATCCTCCATCCTCATAGTGTCCTGGGGCCCAGTGACCACCTGAGGCTGCACCCAGAAAGGGAACAAGGAGGACTTGGAAACATTCCTGCCAGGCGAGGCTCTCAGATGGCCCCTGAGGGTGCCTTTTGAAATATGTATAACCCTAAGTCACTTAGAAATACAGCTCATTAAATGAGATTTTTTTTTAAATGGGAAATAATTTATAAAGATAAAAATAGCCTGGCCACAAAAGCACAAAAATAAATTCTGTAGCTTCTCTGCCTGATTCTGGGAGGGAAGGAAGGGAGGGTGAGAGTCAGAATGTATTCTGGCTGAAGTTAAGTAAGAACAGAAACTTGACCAACTTGCACTGGTCCCCCAAGATGCAGGGATCTTAGGACAATGAAGGGGAATTGGATTCTTTAAAAATGTATATATATATAATTCCTTACTCCTGAGCTCCAGTCATTCCCAGCATGGGGTGCTTTGTTCCTAGACAATGGCACACCACAGGGGTGCAAAATCCATCCAGCCACCTGCCCTAGTTCCTCTTCCTCCCAAAAACCTTTTAATCACAGGGCTCATAGCAGAAAATAATAGCTCTCAAAAGGCCCCTTCCTTCAGCATTTTAAAAATACTTTCTCAGGCCGGGCGCAGTGGCTCACGCCTGTAATTCCAGCACTTCGGGAGGCCGAGGCGGGAGGATCACGAGGTCAGGAGATCGAGACCATCCTGGAGCACCCATCTCTACTAAAAAATACAAAAAATTAGCTGGGCGTGGTGGCGGGCGTCTGTAGTCCCGGCTACTCGGGAGGCTGAGGCAGAATGGCATGAACCTGGGAGGCTGAGCTTGCAGTGAGCCTAAATCTCGCCACTGCACTCCAGCCTGGGGGACAGAGCAAGACTCCGTCTCAAAAAGAAAAAAAAAATATTTTCACATGACCTCAGCTTCTAGTGAGCTCCTCTTCACTCACCTGCCCCAGCCTTGGTGCTTCTTAAGAAAAGCAGCCATATTCCTGCTTCAGGACCTTTGCACTGGCTGTTCTTTTTTTCCCTCCAGAGGCCTCTTCCTCGAGAAAAGCTCATTCCCTCACCTCCTCCAAGCCTCTGCCAAAACATCACCCTCTCAGGGGGCTCATTCACCAATGCCCCTTCCCCAGCCAGCACGTTCCATCCTCCATACCCTGCTCTACTTCTCCTGTGACACATGCCACCTTTAAACCTACCATAACAGTTATTTCTCTTATGCTTCATCTTCTCCAATGAGGGCAAGAATTTTCATCTCTTATGTTTATGGATACATCCCCAGATCCAGAACGGTATCCATCACATGGTCTGATGAACAAACAAATGATCAAACTTCTTTTTTTTCTTTTTTCTGACACAGAGTCTCACTCACTCTGTTGTCCAGGCTGGAGTGCAGTGGCGTGATCTTCATTCACTGCAACCTCCGCCTCCTGAGTTCAAGCAATTCTCCTGCCTCAACCTCCTGAGTAGCTGGGATTACAGGCGTGCACCACCATGCCCAGCTAATTTTTGTATTTTTAGTAGAAACGAAGTTTCACCGTGTTGGCCAGTCTGGTCTCGACCTCCGACCTCTAGTGATCCGCCTGCCTCAGCCTTCCAGAGTGCTGGGATTACAGGTGTGAGCCACCATACCCAGTCAAAATTTTCAATCACATCTGATAGCAGCATAGGACAGACTTCCCCCCAAAAGGATTTGATGAATGACAGATTCTCCCTTCCAGCCATGACTTAGGTGGTCATGACTTAGTTATGATGATGAGAGCAGGGTGGCCTCAGGGATGTATGATTGCCGAGAGCTTATCAGGCAAACCATAGCACCTATGACTACTCAGAAGATTTGCTTTACTCAGATTGTACCTAATATAGCAGCCACATTTGTACTTCAAGAAATTGGAAATGGAATCATAGCAAAAGAACCATGAAGAGGTCTTAGTGTGGAGTGAATTTTTCCCCTTTGTTTTTTTCTGTCCTCTGCCTGGAACACAGCCATGTGCAGGGCTCAGAACACAGGAAGTAGGGGCATCTTTTACATTGACTGTGTAAAAACCCCATTATTTCTCAATTCCTGTGTTCTGGGCTTATAATATACCAAGTGAGTAATTGTGAGTAGTTAGAATAATGCATGGTTCTAAGCACTTGGTACGTAGCTGTAAATACATCTTTAGTGAGGCATCCTGTGCGTGTTCTGGCTGCCTGTCTGCTTCCCCTAATCAGCCAAAGACCTGAGAAGCCTCCAAACCCCATGCGGAAAAGTAGAAAGCACGCCTTGATAGCTGAGGAGCAGTCGGGGAAACTGAAGTCACCCTTGAAAGAGCACCAACAGGGATGGGGGCTAATATCCAAAATATACAAGGAGCTCAAGCTACTCAAAACAAAAACTATTAAAATGGGCAAAGAAATGTCAAATAGACATTTCTCAAAATGAAGACATTTCTCAGAATATATAAATGGCCAAGAGATATGTGAAAAAAAAGTTCAACATTTCTAATCACCAGAGAAATCCAAATTCAAACCACAATGAGATATCACCTCACACCATTTAGATTGGCTGTTATTGAAAAGGTGAAAAATAAATGTTGGTGAGGATGTGGAGAAAGGGGACTTCTTATGCATGGTTGGTGGTATTGCAGATTAGTGCAGCTATTTTGGAAGACAGTATAGCGACTCCTCCAAAAATGAATAATAAACATGTGATTGAGCAATCCTACTACTGGATATATACCCAAAGGAATTGAAATCAGTATGCCAAAGAGATGTCTGTACTCCAATGTCATTGCAACATTGTTCACGACAGCCAAGATATGGAATCAACCTAAGTGTCCATTAATGGATAAATTGATTAACAAAATATGGTATATGTGCACAATGGAACATTGTTCAATCTTAAGCAGAAAATTCTGTTATTTGCAACAACATGCATGAACTTAGGAGACAGTATGTTAAGTAAAATAGGCCAGGCACAGGGAGACAAATATTGTATGACCTCACTTATATATGGAATTTTAAAAAATCAAGCTCATAGAAGTAAAGAGTGGATGGTGGTTATCAAAGGCTGGGGGAAAGGGCAATAGGTGGGGAAACAGGACGTTGGTCAATGGGTACAAATTTTCAGTTAGAAGTAATAAGTTCAGGTGTTCTATTGTACAGCATAGTGATCACAGTTAATGTATATTTCAAAATAGCTGAAAGATAGGATTTTAAATGATCTCACCAGAAAGAGGTGATAAATATTTGATGTGATGGATATGCTAGTCTGATATGATCATTCCACAATGTATACATGTATCAAGACATCACATTGTACCTCATTAAATATAAACAATTATTTGTCAATTAAAAGTAACATAAAACATATAATATATATTATATATATATTTTATATATAGAGAGAGAGAAAGAGAGAGAGAGAGAGAATGCACGCATGTGAGAGAGCACACCAAGACAAAGCAGGTAGCACTGCCTACCCTAGACCCAGCGTCAGAGTCAAGGCTCAAACCCCAGCTCCTCCACTTGTCAGTTCTGCAAGCTTAGATGAGGACTTGAATACAGTCAAGCTTCATTTCCATCTGTGAAATGAGACATTACTTGTTCTATTTTCTCTGTGGGGTTTTAATTATGAAAATGGTTAACACCTATTGAGTGCTCACTATGTACCAGATGATGTTAAAAGTGCATGTGTATATATTTATACACATATATATATATGTGTGTGTGTATATATTTGCAATAAAGTGCACAAATCTTAAGGGTAAAGCTTAGTGAGTTTTTATATATTTATACACTTGTAAAACCACTACCCAGATAAAGATATAGATGACAAGCACTCCAGAAGAGACTTTCATGCCTTCTCCCAATTCAAAGCCTCCAAAGGTAATTGATATTTGGCCTCCATCACAATAGATTAGTGATAGAGTTTGGCTGTGTCCTCACTCAAATCTCATCTTGAATTGTTCCCATAATCCTCACTTGTTGTGGGAGGGACCAGGTAGAGATAATTGAATCATGGGGGACAGTTTGCCTCATCCTGTCCTTGTGATAGTGAGTTCTCATGAGATCTGATGGTTTTATAAGGGGCTTCCTCCTTCACTAGGCACTCAATCTCTCACCTGCCACCCTGTGAAGAGGTGCCTTCTGCCATGATTGTAAGTTTCCTGAGGCCTCTCCAGACATATGGAACTGTGAGTCAATTTAATCTCTTTCCCTTATAAATTACCAAGTCTTGGTTATGTCTTTATTAGCAGCTTGAGAACAGACTAATATAGTAAATTGGTACTGGGTAGTGGGGTGCTGCTGTAAAGATACTAAAAAATGTGAAAGTGACTTGGAACTGGGTGAAAGGTAGAGGTTGGAATAATTTGGATAGTTCAGAAGAAGTCAGGAAAATATGGGACAGTTTGAAACTTCCTAGAGACTTGGAGGGCTCAGAAGACAGGAAGATGTAGGGAAGTTTGAAACTTCCTAGAGACTTGTTGAATGGCTTTGACCAAAATGCTGATAGTGATATGGACAATGAAGTCCAGGCTGAGATGGTTTCAGATGGAGGTGAGGAACTTGTTGGGAAGTGGAGCAAAGGTGACTCTTGTTATGCTTTAGCCAAGAGATGTGGTGGCATTTTGTCTCTGTCCTAGAGATCTGTGGAACTTTGAAGTTCAGAGAGATGATTTAGGGTATCTGGTGAAAGAAATTTATAAGTAGCAAAGCATTCGAAAGGAAGCAGAGCATAAAAGTTTGGAAACTTTGCAGCCTGATGATGCAGTAAAAAAGAAAAACCCATTTTCTGGGGAGGAATTCAAGCCTGCTGCAGAAATTTGCATAAGTAACAAGGAGCTGAATGTTAATCACCAAGATGGTGGTGAAAATGTCTCCAGGGCACATCAGAGACCTTCATGGCAGCCACTCCCATCATAGATCCAGAGGCCTAGGAGGGAAAAAAATGATTCCTGGGCTGGGCCAAATGGTTTCCTTCCTGCTCTATGCAGTTGAGGGACATGTTGCCCTGCATCCCAGCTGTTTCAGCTCCAGCTGTGGCTAAAAAGGAGCCAAGGTTCAGCTTGAGTCGTTGCTTCAGGGGATGCAAGCCCCAAGCCTTGGCAGCATCCACGTGGTGTTGGTCCCGCAGGTGCACAGAAGATGAGAAATGAGGTTTGGGACCCTCCACCTAAATTTCAGAGGATGTATGGAAATGCCTGGATGTCCAGGCAGAGGTGTGCTGCAGGGATGGAACCCTCATGGAGAACCTCTGTTAGGGCAGTGCAGAAGGGAATGTGGAGTTGGAGCTCCCACACAGAGTCCTCACTGGAGCACTGCCTAGTAGAGCTGTGAGAAGAGGGCTTTGTCCTCTAGATCCCAAAATGGTAGATCCACCAACAGCTTGCATTGTGTGCCTAGAAAAGCTTCAGACACTCAACACCAGCCCAAGAAAGCAGCCAGGAGGGGAACTAGACCCTGCAAAAGCCAGAGAAGCAGAGCTGCCAAAGGCTATGGGAGCCCAACTGTTGTATCAGTGTGACCTGGATGTGAGTCATGAAGTCAGAGGAGATCATTTTGGAACTAAAGTTCCAAAGGTTTAATAACTGACCTATTGGATTTCAGACTTGCTTGGAGCCTGTAGCCCCTTTGTTTTGGCCAATTTCTCCCATTTGAAATGGGTGTATTTACCCAGTGCCTGTACCCCATTGTATCTAGGAAATAACTAATTTGCTTTTGACTTTACAGGCTCATAGGCAGAAGGGACTTGCCTTGTCTCAGATTAGACTTTGGACTTGGACTTTTGAGTTAATGCTGGAATGAGTTAAGACTTTGGAGGACTGTTGGAAGAGTGTGATTGTGTTTTGAATTGGGAGGACATGAGATTTTGGAAGGGCCAAAGGTAGAATGATGTGGTTTGGCTGTGTTCCCACTCAAATCTCATCTTGAATTATAGTTCCCATAATCCCCATGTGTCATGGAAGGGACCAGGCGAGATAATCATGATGGTGGTTTCCACCATCGTGTTCTCGTGATAGTGAGTTCTCATGAAATCTGATGATTTTATAAAGGGCTTCCCTCTTCGCTGGGCACTCATTTTCTCTCCTGCCATCCTGTGAAGAGGTGCCTTTGCCATGACTGTGAGTTTCCTGAGGCCTCTCCAGCCATATGGAACTGAGTCAAACCTCTTTCTTTTATAAATTACTCAGTCTTGGGTATGTCTTTATTAGCAATGGACTAATATGATTAGTTATGCATATTCTTGACTTTTATATAAATGGAATTCATACAAGATGCATTCATTTTTTTCCTGGCTCTTTTCATACACGTTTGTGAGATTCATCCATGTTGCATGTAACAGTCAGTTTTGTTTACTCCTGTGTACTGTTTTATTATATGACTATATCAAATCTGTTATTGATGAATATTTGGTTGTTTCCAGGTTTTGCTATTATGCATAAAGCTGCTTTGAAAATTCTTGTAGAAATATTTTGGTGGAAATCCTTTTATTTCTTTTGAGTGTATAACTGGGATGGTTGGAAGGTGCTAGATCTAGGAATTATGTATGTTTACCTTTAATATCAACTGCCAAGTGGTTTTCCAACTGGGTTATACCAATTTTTACTCCCACCAGCAACAACAATTTGAATTCCAGTTGCTTTGTATTTTCATGAACACTTGGTATTGCTAGTCTTTAATTTTAGTCATTCTATAGAAAATGTTTTGTCATGGCTTTAATATGAATTTCTCTGACTAATAATGATAAGCAACTGTTTATATATGTATTGGCCAGTTGGATAGCCTCTATTTGAAGTTCAGGTCTTTTGCCTTTTCAATTTTGTTGTTTGTATTATTGGTTTATAAGAGTTTTTATACATTACAGGTGATAGTCCATTGTGAAGTATATGTTTTGCCCATATCTTTTCCCTCTGTGTCTTGACTTTTCACTCTGTTGATAGGTCTTAATGTTTATTTAGTTAACAGTGTCTCACTGTATCGCACAGGATGGAGTGCAGTGGCACAATCATAACTCACGGTAACCTTAAACTTTTGCCTCAGACTCCTGAGTGGCTGGAACTACAGACATGCACCACCATGCCTGGCAAGTTTTTTTATTGTAGAGACAAGGTCTCTCTATGTTACCCAGGCTGGTCTTCAATTCCGGTCCTAAAATGATCCTCCCAACTCAGGCTCCCAAAGTGCTGGTATTACAGATATGAGCCACCATCCCTGGCCCATAGTTCTTAATTTTAAAGAAGCCAAAATTAATATATCCTTTCTTTTATGATTATTGATCTTTATGTCCTGTCTAATAATATTTGCTTCTGGCAAGGCTTCTGAAGATGTTTTCCTATTCTTTCTTCTAGAAATTTTATCATTTTATGTTTTATATTTGGTCTTAATTTTTATGGTGCAAGATAGGAGGGTCACTTTCATTTTTCCTATATCAACATCCAATCGACATTTATTAAGAAGGACATCCTTCCCCAGTGACTTGTAATGGCATCTTTGTAATAAGTTGTGTGATGGTATTTATGTAGAAGTATTCCTATGTTTCATTGTTCTTTTTCTTTCACTGATACCACATAATATTTATAGTACTGTAGCTTTAAACTAGATCTTGAACTTTGATCTTCAACATTTTTTTTCACAATTCTAGGTCTTTTGTATTTCCATGTAAATAATAAAATCTGCTTACCAATTTTTATAAAAACCTTCTGATAATTTGATTGGATCAGTCACCTGGGGGTAAATTTAACATCTTAAATTTAACAATGTTAACTATTCCAGTCCATGAATATGGTATTTTTCTCTATTTATTTGCTATTCTTTACTTTAATCTCAGCAAAAGCTTGTAGTTTTCAGTGAAATTATTTTAAGTGCTATGCTTATTTAACCTCCTGAACAGCCTTAAGAGATAGGCACTATTATCCCGGTTTTCAAACTCATAGAAGGTAAATGATTTGCTTAGGGTCATGTAGCTAAAAAGTGAGTGAGTCACTATGCAAATGAAATATAATCATGCAGGGACATGAGTTTATAGATTAGTGCTATAAAGCAAAAGAAACAATCAACAGAGTGAAAAGATAACCTATAGAATGAAAGAAAATACTTGAAAACTATTCATCCAACAGGATTAATATCCAGAACATATAAAAAACTGAGACATCGCAAAAGAAAAAAAAAATCCAACTAACATAACAGGAAAGGAGGTGGCTGGCAAGATGGCCGAATAGGAACAGCTCCAGTCTGCAGCTCCCAGTGAGATCAATGCAGAAGGTGGTTCTGCATTTCCAACAAATGTACCTGGTTCACCTCATTGGGACTGGTTAGACAGTAGGTGCAGCCCACAGAGGGTGAGCTGAAGCAGGGTGAGGCGTTGCCTCACCCAGGAACTGCAAAGGGTCAGGGAACTCCCTCCCCTAGCCAAAAGAAGCTGTGAGGGACTGTGCCATGAGGAATAGTGCATTCTGGCCCAAATGCTATGCTTTTCCCATGGTCTTTGCATCCCACAGACCAGGAGACTCCCTCAGGTGCCTAAACCATAAGGGCTCTGGGTTTCAAGCACAAAACTGGGCAGCCATTTGTGCAGACACAGAGCCCAGCGATGTCTGGAATGCCAGTGAGACAAAACCATTCACTCCCCTGGAAAGGGGGCTGAAGCCAGGGAGCCAAGTGGTCTAGCTCAGTGGATCCCACCCCCTTGGAGCCAGCAAGCTAAGATCCACTGGCTTGAAATTCTCAGCGCCAGTATAGCGGTCTGAAGTCGACGTGGGATACTTGAGCTTGGTGGAGGGAGGGACATCCACCATTACTGAGGCTTCAGTAGGTGGTTTTCCCCTCACAGTGTAAACAAAGCCGCTTGGAAGTTCCAACTGGGTGGAGCCCACCACAGCTCAGTAAAGCTGCTGTAACCACACTGCCTCTCTAGATTCCTCCTCTCTGGGTAGGGAATCTCTGAAAGAAAGGCAGCAGTCCCAGTCAGGGGCTTATAGATAGAATTCCCATCTCCCTGGGACAGAGCACCTGGGGGAAGGGGTGGCTGTGGGTACAGCTTCAGCAGACTTAAATGTTCCTGCCTGCCAGCTCTGAAGAGAGCAGCAGATCTCCTAGCACAGTGCTCGAGCTCTGTTAAAGGACAGACTGCCCCCTCAACTGGGTGCCTGACCCCTGTGCCTCCTGACTGGGAGATACCTCCCAGCAAGGGTTGACAGACACCTCATACAGGAGAGTTCCGGCTGGCAAGTGCCCCTCTGGGATGAAACTTCCAGAGGAAGGAAGAGGCAGCAATCTTTGCTGTTCTGCAGCCTCCGTTGGTGATACCCAGACAACCAGCGTCTGGAGTGGACCTCCAGCAAACTCCAGCAGACATGCAGCAAAGGGGCCTGTTAGAAGGAAAACTAACAAACAGAAAGGAATAGCATCACATCAAAAGAAAGGATGTCCACACACAAACCCCATGTGAAGGTCACCAACATCAAAGACCAAATGTAGATAAATCCATGAAGATGAGGAAAAAACAGCACCAAAAGATTGAAAATTCCAAAAACCAGAAGCCTCTTCTCCTCCAAAGGATTGCAACTCCTCACTAGCAAGTGAACAAAACTGCACGGAGAGTGTTTGACAAATTGACAGAAGTAGGCTTCAGGAGGTGGGTAATAACAAACTCCTCCAAGCTAAAGGAGCATGTTCTAACCCAATGCAAGGAAGCTAAGAACCTTGAAAAAAGGTTAGAGGAATTGCTAACTAGAATAACCAGTTTAGAGAACATAAATGACCTAATGGAGCTGAAAAACACCGCACAAGAACCTCAGGAAGCATACACAAGTATCAATAGCCAAATCGATCAAGCAGAAGAAAGGATATCCGAGATTTAGAGATCAAAATACACAAGTGTCAACAGCCAAATCAATCAAGCGGAAGAAAGGATATCTGAGATTGAAATCAACTTAATGAAATAAAGCATTAAGACAAGATTAGAGAAAAAAGAATGAAAAGGAACACCACAAAGATACTCCTAGAGAAGAGCAACCCCAAGACACATGACAATCAGATTCACCAAGGTTGAAATGAAAGAAAAAATGTCAAGGGCAGCCAGAGAGAAAGATCGGGTTACCCACAAAGGGAATCCCATCAGACTAACAGCAGATCTCTCTGCAGAAACCCTACAAACCAGAAAAGAGGGGAGCCCAATCATTCTTAAAAGAATTTTCAACCCAGAATTTCATATCCAACAAAACCGTGCTTCATAAGTGAAGGAGAAGTAAACACTTTACAGACAAGCAAATGCTGAGAGATTTTCTCACCACTAGGCCAACCTTACAAGAGCACCTGAAGGAAGCACTAAATATGGAAAGAAAAACCGGTACCAGCCACTGCAAAAACAAACCAAATTGCAAATACTATCAATACTATGAAGAAACTGCATCAACTAATGGGTAAAATAACTGGCTAGCATCTGAAATTCACATGTAACAATATTAACCTTAAATGTAAATGGGTAAATGCCCCAATTAAAAGACACAGACTGGCAAATTGGATAAAGAGTCAAGACCCATCGGTGTGCTGTATTCAGGAGATCCATGTCACATGCAAAGACACACATAGGCTCAAAATAAAGGGATGGAGAAATATTTACCAAGCAAAAAAACAAAAAAAGCAGGGGTTGCAATCCTAGTCTGAGATAAAACAGACCAACAAAGATCAAAAGAGACAAGGCCATTACATAATGGCAAAGGGATCAATGCAACAAGAAGAGCTAACTATCCTAAGTATATATGCACTCAATACAGGAGCATCCAGATTAATAAAGCAAGTTCTTAGAGACCTACAAAGAGACTTAGACTCCCACACAATAATAGTGAAAGACTTTAGCACCCCTCTGTCAATATTAGATCAACGAGACAGAAAATTAACAAGGATATTCAGGACTTGAACTCAGCTCTAGACCAAGCAGACCTAATAGACACCTACAGAACTCTCCACTCCAAATCAACAGAATATACATTCTTCTCAGCACCACATCACACTTATTCTAAAAGCGACCACACAATTGGAAGTAAAACACTCCTCAGCAAATGCAAGAGAATGGAAATCATAACAGTCTCTCAACCACAATGCAATCAAATTAGAAATCAGGATTAAGAAACTCACTCAAAATTGCACAACTACGTGGAAACTGAACAACCTACTTCTGAATGACTACTGGGTAAATAACGAAATTAAGGCAGAAATAAATAAGTTCTTTGAAACCAATGAGAAAAAAAAGACAATGAACCAGAATCTCTGGGACACAGCTAAAGCAGTGTGTAGAGGGAAATTTATAGTACTAAATGCCCACAGGAGAAAGCAGAAAAGATCTAAAATTGACACCCTAACATCACAATTAAAAGAACTGGAGAAGCAAGAGCAAACACATTCAAAAACTAGCAGAAGGCAAGAAATAACTAAGATCAGAGCAGAACTGAAGGAGATAGAGACACAAAAAACCCTTCAAAAAATAAATGAATACAGGAGCAGGTTTTTTGAAAAGATTAACAAAATAGATACACCACTAGCCAGACTTATAAGAAAAGAGAGAAGAATCAAATAGACACAATAAAAAATGATAAAGGGTAAAACACTACTGATCCCATAGAAATGCAAACTACTATCAGAATACTATAAACACCTCTACAGAAATAAACTAGAAAATCTACAAGAAATTGATAAATTCCTGGACATATACACCCTCCTAAGACTAAACCAGGAAGAAGTCAAATCCCTGAATAGACCAATAACAAGTTCTGAAATTGAGGCAGTAATTGATAGCCTACCAACCAAAAAAAAAAAAAAAAAAGTCCAGGACCAGATGGATTCATGGCCAAATTCTACCAGAGGTATCAAGAGGAGCTGGTACCATCCCTCCTGAAACTATTACAAACAGTAGAAAAAGAGGGGCTCCTCCCTAACTCATTTTATGAGGCCAGCATCATCCTAATACCAAAAACTGGCAGAGACACAACAAAAAAAGAAAATTTCAGGCCAATATTCCTGATGAATGTTGATGTGAAAATCCTCAATAAAATACTGGCAAACTGAATCCAGCAGTACACCAAAAAGCTTATCCACCATGATCAAGTCAGCTTCATACCTGGAATGCAAGGCTGGTTCAATGTATGCAAATCAATAAACATAATCCATCACATAAACAGAACCAATGACAAAAACCACATGATTACCTTCATAGATGCAAAAAGGCCTTCAATAAAATTCAACACCCTTTCATGCTAAAAACTCTCAATAAACTAGGTAATGATGGAACGTGTCTCAAAATAATAAGCTATTTATGACAAACCCACAACCAATATCATATTAAATGGGCAAAAGCTGGAAGCATTCCCTTTGAAAACTGGCACAAGACAAGAATGCCCTCTCTCACCACCCCTATTCAACATAGTAGTGGAAGTTCTGTCCAGGGCAATCAGGCAAGAGAAAGAAATAAAGGGTATTCACATAGGAAAAGAGGAAGCCAAATTGTCTCTGTTTGCAGATGACATGATTGTATATTTAGAAAACCCCATCGTCTCAGCCCAAAATCTCCTTAAGCTGATAAGCAACTTCAGTAAAGTCTCAGGATACAAAATCAATGTGCAAACATCACAAGCATTCCTATACACCAATAATAGAAAGCCAAATCATGAGTGAACTCTCATTCACAATTACTACAATGAGAATCAAATACCTAGGAATACAACTTACAGGGGATGTGAAAGATCTCCTCGAGGAGAACTACAAACCACTGCTGAAGGAAATAAGAGAGGATACAAACAAATGGAAAAATATTCCATCCTCATGGATAGGAAGAATCAATGTCATGAAAGTAATTTATAGATTCAGTAGTATCCCCATCAAGGTACAACTGACTTTCTTCACAAAATTAGAAAAAACTACTTTAAATTTTATATGGAACCAAAAAAAAGAAAAAGGCCTGTATAGCCAAGATAATCCTAAGCAAAAAGAACAAAGCTGGAGGCATCACGCTACCTGACTTCAAACTATACTGCAATGCTACAGTAACCAAAACAGCATGGTACTGGTACTAAAACAGATATATACACCAGTGGAACAGAATAGAAGCCTCAGAAATTACACCACACATCTACAACCATCAGATTTTTGACAAACCTGACAAAAACAAGCAATGGGGAAACAATTACCTATTTAAAATGGTGTTGGGAAAAGTGGCTAACCATATGCAGAAAACTAAAACTGGACCCCTTCCTTACACTTTATAAAAAAATTAACTCAAGGTGGATTAAAGAATGAAATGTAAAACTTAAAACCATAAAAACCCTTAGAAGAAAACCTAGGCAATACCATTCAGGACATAGGCATGGGCAAAGACTTCATGACTAAAACACCAAAAGCAATGGCAACAAAAGCCAAAATTGACAAATGGGACCTAATTAAACTAAAGAGCTTCTGCACAGCAAAAAAAAAAAAAAAAAAAAAGAAAAACTACCATCAGAGTGAACAGGCAACCTACAGAATGGGAGAAAATTTTTGCAATCTGTCCATCTGACAAAGGGCTAATATCTAGAATCTACAAGGAACTTAAACAAATTTACAAGAAAAAAACCCATCAAAAAGTGGGCAAATAATAGAACAGACACTTCTCAAAAGAAGACATTTATGTGGCCAACAAACATATGCAAAAAAGCTCATCACTGGTCATTAGAGAAATGCAAATCAAAACCAGAATGAGATACCATCTCACCCCAGTTAGAATGGCTATCATTAAAAAGTCAGGAAACAACAGATGCTGGAGAGGATGTGGAGAAGTAGAAATGCTTTTACACTGTTGGTGGGTGTATAAGTTAGTTCAACCATTGTTGAAGACAGTGTTACAATTCCTCAAGAACCTAGAACCAAAAATACCATTTGACCCAGCAATCTCATTACTGGATATATACCCAAAGGATTATAAATCATTCTATAAAGACACATGCACATGATGCACATGTATGTTTATTGCAGCACTATTCACAATAGCAAAGTCTTGGAACTAACCCAAATGCCCATCAATGATAGACTGGATAAACAAAATGTGGCATATATACACTTTGGAATACTATGCAGCCATAAAAAAGGATGAGTGCATGTCCTTTACAGAGACATGGATGAAGCTGGAAACCATAATTCTCACCAAACTAACACAGGAACAGAAAACACTACATGTTCTCACTCATAAGTGGCAGTTGAAAAATGAGAACATATGGACACAGGGAGGGAACATGACACACTGGGGCCTGTCGGGTGGTGGGCTAGGGGAGGAATAACATTAGGAGAAATACCTAACGTAGATGATGGGTTGATGGGTGCAGCAAACCATCATGGCACGTATATACCTATGTAACAAACCTGCGCATTCTGCACATGTTTCCCAGATCTTAAAGTATAGTTTTAAAAAACCAGGAAAATGATCTTAACAGACATTTCTCTTAAAAAGGCATACGAATGGCCAGAAACATATGAAAAAACACTCAACATCAGTAATCATCAGGGGAATGCAAATCAGAACCATGATAAGGTATCATTTTACCCCGTTAGGATGGCTATTATCAACAATACAGACAATAACACATGCTGGAGAGGATATGGAGAAAGGGGGACTCTTCTACACTGTTGGTGGGAATGTAAACTATTACAGCTACTATGGAGAACAGTGTGGAGGTTTCTCATAAAACTACAAATAGAGCTACCATATGATTCAGCAATCCCATTACTGGACATTTATCCAAAGGAAAGGAAAGGAAATGATTATATTGAAGAGACCCCATGTTTATTGCAGAACTATTCATAATAGCCAAGATAACAAATCAAACTAGGTGTCCAACAACAGATGAATGGATTAAGAAAATATGACATGTATACACTGTGGAATACTATTCAGCCATAAACATAATGAAATCCTGTAGTTTTTGTCAAAATGGATGGAACTAGTGGGCCCTATGATAAATGAAATAAGCCAGGAATAGAAAGTTAAACACCATATGCTCTCACTCATGTGGAAGTTTTAAAAAGTTGATCTCTCTCTTTTTTTTTTTTTTTTTTTAGTATTTATTGATCATTCTTGGGTGTTTCTCGGAGAGGGGGATTTGGCAGGGTCACAGGACAATAGTGGAGGGAAGGTCAGCAGATAAACATGTGAACAAGGGTCTCTGGTTTTCCTAGGCAGAGGACCCTGCGGCCTTCCAAAGTGTTTGTGTCCCTGGGTACTTGAGATTAGGGAGTGGTGATGACTCTTAACGAGCATGCTGCCTTCAAGCATCTGTTTAACAAAGCACATCTTGCACCGCCCTTAATCCATTTAACCCTGAGTGGACACAGCACATGTTTCAGAGAGCACGGGGTTGAGGGTAAGGTTATAGATTAACAGCATCCCAAGGCAGAAGAATTTTTCTTAGTACAGAACAAAATGGAGTCTCCTATGTCTACTTCTTTCTACACAGACACAGTAACAATCTGATCTCTCTTTCTTTTCCCCACATTTCCCCCTTTTCTATTCCACAAAACCGCCATCGTCATCATGGCCCGTTCTCAATGAGCTGTTGGGTACACCTCCCAGACTGGGTGGCGGCCGGGCAGAGGGGCTCCTCACTTCCCAGATGGGGCGGCGGCCGGATGGGGTGGCTGGCCGGGCGGGGGCTGCCCCCCACCTCCCTTCCGGATGGATTGTTCTATATCACTGTAGGGTGACTATAGTTAACAATAATATAGTGTTTTCATGAAAAAATGCTTATCACTGGCCATCAGAGAAATGCAAATCAAAACCACAATGAGATACCATCTCACACCAGTTAGAATGGTGATCATTAAAAAGTCAAGAAACAACAGGTGCTGGAGAGGATGTGGAGAAATAGGAGCACTTTTACACCATTGGTGGGACTGTAAACTAGTTCAACCATGGTGGAAGTCAGTGTGACAATTCCTCAGGGATCTAGAACTAGAAATACCATTTGATTCAGCCATCCTATTACTGGGTATATACCCAAAGGATTATAAATCATGCTGCTATAAAGACACATGCACACGTATGTTTATTGTGGCACTATTCACAATAGCAAAGACTTGGAACCAACCCAAACGTCCAACGATAGACTGGATTAAGGAAATGTGGCACATATACACCGTGGAATACTATGCAGCCATAAAAAAGGATGAGTTAATGTCCTTTGTAGGGACATGGATGTAACTGGAAACCATCATTCTCAGCAAACTATCGCAAGGACAGAAAACCAAACACCACATGTTCTCACTCATAGGTGGGAATCGAACAATGAGAACACTTGGACACAGGAAGGGGAACATCACACACCGGGGACTGTTGTGGGGTTGGGGGAGGGGGGAGGGATAGCATTAGGAGATGTACCTAATGTTAAATGACGAGTTAATGGGTGCAGCACACCAACATGGCACATGTATACTTATGTAACAAACCTGCACGTTGTGCACATGTACCCTAAAACTTAAAGTATAGTAACAATAAAATTTAAAAAAAAACACAATAATATAGTGTTTCAAATAGCTCGGAGGCAGATACTGAATGTTCCCAACACAAAGAAAGGATAAATGTTTGATATGATGGATATTAATTAATCTGATCACTATACATTGTGTACCAAAACACCAGTATATACCTCATGAATATGTACAATTACTATTTGTCAATTAAAAAATTTTGTAAATGTGCCGTCCAAATGTCAGCTATGATTATGGCTACATTTTGCTGGACAGATGGATCCCAGTGCTGCCATGTAAATATTCAGAGCCTGGAACCTCTTGTGAATTTTAACATCCTTAGCTTGGCTCATTAGTCTTATAGACTTTATTTTGAATTCTCCCTTCTGAATGAAATTTGGTATCCTAAGAAAAACTTTTTGGTCCCCCCGAAAAACTCCGCTGATGCAAGGACCATGTCTTTCTCATTTCTTTAGTCCCCTACGGCCTGGCATGATGTCCGATACATAGTACATGCACTAAGTGTTTGCTGACATGATGGTCCAGTCGTAACGGTGAATTTTGTTAGCAGTCATCATGCCTTCTCAAAATAATTCTTTTGTAATCATGGCTCACTAGAAATTTAGTGACAAACAGCTTAAATCCAATGGACAAACTAAATTGTCTACTCCAAATATTACAGGGGAATAACGGCAGAGGATGAAGTCAGATGAATAAGGCTTCTCTCCTTAAAGATGATTCCTCTCTAACATATTTCTGAGTTAACACAATACGCTGTTTGTTTTTCAGTACTACATAATCAGTAGGTGTGCAATCTAGTGGATACTAGTTTATAGATCATTGGAGAACTTATTTCAGATATTTGAATTAAAGACTTTTCTATGTTAAAATGTTCAAAGCATGCAATTATGGAAGACAATCTGCTTCAGAAAATGAAGCATAAACTCAGTGCTAGTGGCTCATAAGAAAGGTTCTTTGTGTATCTTTTTCAGAGGTTGGTGAAGCTGGCACTTGAAATTAAAAATAAAAATTTCCGCCTAATCTCCATTACTACAAAACTGAAAGTGCAAAGTGTAAGATATGAGAACTTTTACTATCATATCAGATATATATAACATATATATATAAAATGATACATATGTAAAATATATAACAATTGTCACAGTGAATTTTCACTGCCTCTTGCCCACAGGTCGGCACTATGAAAGCTAAGAAAGAAAACCTCTAAAATTAAAGGACCAAGTCATCTACAAAGCTGGGGTGCTGTGTGTGTTGGGTGTGTGTGTGTGTTTCTGACCCTGCATATTACTAGTAAATACCCCAACATGAGGTATAATTACCTCATAATTCTCACTGGCAATCTTGAGCATTGATCTTTGCTAAAATAGACCAAATAATATCTAATGATGGGGATGTCAGAGAATCAAGCAAAGGTAGCAAAAACTTCATATAATTAAGAAGACAGCAAACTATGTCAGGAAAAGATGTAAACATATAAAAGTTCCTTTAATTTAGTTAACTTCATGAAACAGTTCTAAGCATCACTTATCAGCTTTTAATGTATCTATTTGTTATATAAGCTATGTTTTTGAAGATGCATCAATCCCAATGGATTCTTCTCTATGGATTTAATAAAAGATTGACCTAGAGAAGCACAGAGAATAATAATTACAGTAAAAAGTAATAGCATTAATAATCCACCTTGAATTTATACAAGGACTTTCTTATGTCAAATGCAGAGCATTCCTCATATTTTCCCATTAATACACAACATTTAGGCAACTTAGGAGCTAAAACAGTGTTTTCACAGATGGAATTAAGTTTAAATAAGTTAACTGACAACATTGCACATGGTGCCTGTGAATGAAATAGGACAAATAATTCCCAATTTTTTTCATCAAGCATCTTTCAAATAGGTTATACTTTTCTCTACTAGTACACTCCAATGCTTTGCTTCACTAACACATTTCTCTTTTTTTTTTTTTACCCCTATTCCCTGTAAGAAATGAGGTACACATATCCTTTCATTATGTTTGTTGAACAAGCAATAGAAACTAAAGTATGCTGCTGGCATTAAGGTAGTTTCAAATATTACATATATTTAAACAAACAAAAATGCAACCTTGGGATCCATTTGATTACTAAAATTTCAAGAATGTAATATAAACACTCAATTTTACTAGCTTCAAATATTCTGATGGTGACCCTAAGTTATTTCTAAATTCTGAGACTATAAACACTTCCTCTTTCTGTCTATGTATATTTTTAAATGGCTGCCCCAAGTAGAAGTTAGCAGTAAACAAATTATGAATCAATGAAAAGAAAATGTCTAACAGTATGTGAGAGACTCAAACGATGAGCATACAACTGTTGCAGGATTTAGAGGACTTCAGGAAGCCATTCAAGAGCCTTGAAAGTTAAAATGAAGTCTATGAATTAATAGCAAAAAGTCACAAAGGGAGATAAGGTGAAATGAAAATCATAAAATGAGATTAAAAGGTAAGAATTTTGTAAGAAAATTGTAACACAAATATTATACATTAAAATTTACTGTCAGACGCGAAGAGCAGAATTGAAATTGTAGAGAACTGAATCAGCAGATGAAACGGAAGATTTTGGAATTCAGATTAAAAGGACAAAGAGAAAAATGCTGACCAAGAATATTTTGAATATAGATGGTGGAAAATAGAGAGCACAGTATGTGGATAATAGGTATTTTTGGATGAAAGACCAGAGTAAGTGGAACTGATGTAATTGTTCAAGAAATAGAGAAAAGTATTTCCATTATCTGGTTGTGGGGTAGGAGAGCACGTATTTGCATGCAAGCTTTAGACAAATGAATCACTTTAAGAGATCATATCTAGATATAGCCTGACCAATTTCTTTTAATTTAAGAAAATCTTACATACATCCAAAGATAGACTAAGAATAAAGAGAAAAAAATCAGGCTGAGGTTTTATTTTAAAAAATCTAGAAAACTCAATTTTGAAAACATTGTGGAGCTTCCAAGTCAATGAGAATTTGTGAGGCTACAATCTGGAAAGAAAAACTTAAGGGGATAAGCCCAGCATTTTGTGTCATCTTACCTCGTAAGACATTTGTCAATTTCAAAAGCAGCTGAGTTAAGATTTATACCCTATGGGAAATCATGAATTAGGAACGACTCCCAGAGAGACATAAGACTACCTTTGAATCATCTAAATATCTGATGGTAGTAAGTGATCTGGGATTGTTAGTACTCCCAGAGTCGTGGCCCATGGGAAGAAAATATAAGCTGTTTTTGAAGGAAGATAAAAATATCATCCAAAGCCTCAACTATTTATAAAATTTTTCATTAATGGTTTTCAGAACTTAGTCAAATATAGCCAGGTATATGAAAACAGAACACTTAAGTGAAAACAAAGAGAAAATAAAAGCAGACAATAAAAACAAATCCATGAAAAATATATATAAGGAAGTTATAAGGGAAGCTATAACAGACTTTAAAATAGCTTTGATTAGTGTGTTGAGGGAATTAAAAGACAAGGGGAATTTCTGAGAACCAGAAAATTTTTTGAAAGTAAATGGAAATTCTAGAATTGAAAAACACAGCTGTAATTAAAATTCTGGGTTTAGATAACAACTGAAAAAAACAGATAAGACAGGTAAGAAAAACAAGGTAAGAGTCAAGGAAAAGTGATGAAATAATGGAAAACTTTAGAGTCACACAGGTTATGATGAAAAGTTTTAATATACAATTTTAATCTCAGAGGAAAATGAGGATGAGGATAGAGGTGATATTTGAAGCAATTATGACTGATAATTTTAGGAAACTGAAGACCTCAACCTACATATTGAGGAAGTACTATGAACTTCAAGCAAGATAAATACAGACAAAAATACACAAGGAACTTCAAAATATGCCAAGAGTTGATGATAAAGAAAAATTCTTAAAAGGAACTTGTGCAGGGGAAAATCAGGCTGAATCATAGCAAAGGAAATAAAGGGAAGGACTTATAGACTTAATTATATTAAGATTGAAAACTTGCATGTGATGAAAGCAACATGAACAATATCAGAATACAAACAGGACATTGGGAATATATATTTTATAACATATGACATAAACTATTAGTATTTTCTTATAAAGAAATATTTCAAATCAGTAGAAAGTAGGCAGAGAACATAGAGAAAATATTCAAACTTAATAGACATCGAGAAGTGCAAATTAAAACATTTCATTTTCATCTGTATTCTTTTCTCATGCTGCTATAAAGAACTGCTTGAGAGTGGGTAATTTATACATGAAAGAGGTTTAAGTGACTCAGTTCCACATAGCTTGGGGGGCCTCAGGAAACCTACAATCATGGTGGAAGGGGAAGCAAACACATCCTTTTTCACTTGATGGCAGGAAGGAGAAGTGCCACATAAAAGGGGGAAAAGTCCCTTATAAAACCATCAGATCTTGTGAGAACTCACTATCACGAGAATAGCAGCATGTGAATAACTGTCCCTATGATTCAATTACCTCTCACAGGGTCCCTTCCATGAAACATGGTGATTATGGGAACTCCAAGATGATATTTAAGTAGGGACAGAGCCAAACCATATCATTTGCCCTGGGCCCTCCCAAATCTCATGTTCTCACAACTCAAAACACAATTATGCCTTTCTAACAGTCCCCAAAAATCTTAATTCCAGCATTAACCCCGAGTCCAAGGTCTCATCTGAGACAAGGCAAGTCCCTTTTGCCTATAGGCCTGTAAAATCAAAAGCAAGTCAGTTACTTCCTAGATAAAATGAAGGTATGGGCATTGGGTAAATATACCTATTCCAAACGGGAGAAATTGGCCAAAACAAAGGGGTATAGGCCCTATGCAATTCCAAAATCCAATAGTGCAGTCATTAAACCTTAAAGTTCCAAAATGATCTCCTTTGACTCCATGTCTCACATCCAGGTCATGCTGATGCAATAGGTGGGCTCCCACAGCCTGGGGAAGCTCTGCCCCTTTGGCTTTGGCAGGTATGGCTCCACTCGTGGCTGCTTTCATGGGCTGGCATTGAGCATCTGCAGCTTTTCCAGGCACATGATACAAGTTGTCAGTGGATCTACCATTCTGGGGTCTGGAGGATGCTGGCACTGTTTTCACAGCTCCACTAGGCAGTGCCCCAGTTAGGACTCTGGGGACTCCAGCCCCACATTTTCCTTCCACACTGTGCCAGCAGAGGTTCTCTTGAGGGTTCTGCCCCTACAGCAAACTTCTGCCTGGACATCCAGGCATTTCCATACATCTTCTGAAATCTAGGCTGAGGTCCCCAGACCCCAGTTGTTGACTTCTGTGCACCTGGAGGCCCAACACCACGTGTAAGCCACCAAAACTTGGGGCTTGCACCTGCTGAAGCAATGGCATGAACTGTACATTGGCACCTTTTAACCATGGTTAGAGCTGAAGCAGCTGAGACTCAGGGCACCATATCCAAAGGCTGCATAGAGCAGGGGGGAAACTATTTGGCCCAGCCCAGGAAACCATTTTTCCCTCCTAGGCCTCTAGGACTGTGATGGAAGTGGCTGCTATGAGGGTTTCTGGCATGTTCTGGAGATATTCTCCCCATTGTCTTGGTGATTAACATTTGGCTCTTCATTACTTATGAAGATTTCTGTAGCAGGCTTGAATTTCTCCCCAGAAAATGTTTTTTTTTTCCTACTGCACCATCAGTCTGCAAATTTTCTAAACTTTTATGTTCTGCTTCCCTTTTAAACATAAGTTCCAATTCCAAACCATACCTTTGTGAATGCATAAAACTGAATGCTTTTAAGTGGACCCAAGCCACCTCTTGAATGCTTTGCCATTTAGACATTTCTTCCACCAGATACCCTAAATCATCTCTCTCAAGTTCAAAGTTCCACAGATCTCTAGGGTGGGAGCAATATGCCACCAGTCTCTTTGCTAAAGCATAGCAAGAATCACCTTTATTCCAGTTTCCAACAAGTTCCTCATCTCTGAGACCACCTTAGCCTGGACTTCATTGTTCATATCATTATTAGCATTTTGGTCAAAGCCATTCAACAAATCTCTAGGAATTTCCAAACTTTCCCATGCCTTCCTGTCTTCTGAGCCCTCCAAGGCTCTAGGAAGTTCCAAACTGTCCCATATTTTTTCCTGTCTTCTTCTGAGCCCTCTAAACTGTTTCAATCTCTGCCTATTACCCAGTTTCAAAGTTGCTTCCACGTTTTTGGGTATCCTTATAGCAGCATCCCACTACTTCCTGATACCAATTTACTGTATTAGTCTGTTCTCATGCAGCTATAAAGAACTGCCCAAGACTGGGTAATTTATAAAGAAAAGAGGTTTAATTGACTCACAGTTACACATGGCAGGGAGGCCTCAAGAAACTTATAACCATGGCAGAAGGGGAAGCAAACACATCCCTCTTCACATGATGGCAGGAAGGAGAAGTGCCAAGCAAAAGGGGAACCAGTCCCTTATAAAACCGTCAGATCTTGTGAGAACTTAGCATCACAAAAACAGCATGGAGGTAAGCACCCCCATGATTCAATTACCTCCCATCAGGTCCTTCCCAGGACAAATGGGGATTATGGGAACTAGAATTAAGATGAGATTTGGGTGGGGACACAGCCAAATCATATCACTATTATATCTACAATATAAAATGGTAAAACCAATTTTGGCATGGACATAGGAGAATATGAACTCATTTCTGGTCAAAACCATAAATTCAGATAAATTTTTTCGATAGCAATTTAGGCAATGTGTATCATAAGTTTTAAGTGTTTAACTCTTTGCTCAACAATCTTTTAGGATTTTTACTTAAAGGAAATGTTTAAACAAGTATAAAAAGGTAGGTACAAAATCCCAATTGCAATATTAAAAAATAGCTCAAACTGTAAATATCAATATCCAATTCGGGTTGTTTATAATGAATTTCATAGACCTCAATACATTCCTTTTTGTTTTTTAAGTTCAGGGTTACAAACGCAGGTTTGTTACATAGGTAAACTTGTGTCATGGGAGTTTGTGGTACAGCTTATTTCATCACTCAGATATTAAGGGTGGGGGCTTAATACCTAAAGAAAGGGGCTATACCCTAAAAATAACCTAGTATGCATTAGTTATTTTCCCTGATCCTCTGAAAGACCCCCGTCTGTGTTGTCCCCCTCTATGTATCCATGTGTTCTCATCATTTAGCTCCCACTTTTAAGTGAGAATATGCAGTATTTGGTTTTCTGTTCCTGTGTTAGTTTGCTAAGCATAATGGCCTCCAGCTTCATCCATGCCCCTGAAAAAGACATGATCTCATTCCTTTTTATGGCTGTATAGTAATCCATGGTTTATATGTACCACATTTTCTTTATCCAGTCTATTGTTGATGGACATTTAGGTTGATTCCATGTCTTTGCTATTGTGAATAGTGCTTCAATGAACATACATGTGCATATGCCTTTGTAATAGAATGATTTATATTCCTTTGGATATATACCTAGTAATGGGATTGCTGAGTCGAATGGTATTTCTGTCTGTAGGTATTTGAGAAATTGCCACACTGTGTTCCACAATAGCTGAACTAATTTACACTCCCACTAACAGTGTATAAGTGTTCTTTGTCTCCACAACCTCGCCAGCATGTTATTTTTTGACTTTTTAATAGTAGCCATTCTGACTGGTGTGAGATGGTATCTTATTGTGCTTTTGATTTTCATTTCTCTAATGATTGGTTATGTTAAGCTTTTTTTCATAGGATTGTTGGCTTCATGTATGCTGTCTTTTGAAAAGTGTTCATGTCCTTTGTCCACTTTTTAATGGGGATGCTTGTTTTTTTTTCTTGTTAATTTAAGTTCCTTGTAGACTCTGGTTTTTAGACTTTGTCAGACGCATAGTTTGCAAAAATTTTCTCCCATTCTGTAAGTTGTCTGTTTACTATGTTGATAGTTTCTTTTGCTGTGCAGAAACTCTTCAGTTTAATTAGATCCTATTTGTCAATTTTTGCTTTTGTTACAATTGCTTTTGGCGTCTTCATGAAATCTTTGCCCATGCCTGTGTCCTGAATGGTATTGCCTAGGTTGTCTTCCAGGATTTTTATGGTTTTGGGTTTTACATTTAAGTCTTTAATTCACCTTGAGTTAATTTTTGTATATGGCATAAGGAACAGGTCCAGTTTCAAACTTCTGCGTATGGCTAGCAAGTTATCCCAGCACCATTTATTGAATGAGGAATTCTTTCCCCATTGCTTGTTTTTGTCAGGTTTGTCAACAATCAGATAGTTGTAGGTGTGCAGTCTTATTTCTGGGTTCTCTATTCTGTTTCATTGGTCTATGTATCTATTTTTGTACCAGTACCATGCTGTTTTGGTTACTGTATCCCTGTAGTATAGTTTGAAATCAGATAGTGTGATGCCTTCAGCTTTCTTCTTTTTGCTTAGGATTGCCTTGGCTACTCAGACTCTGTTTTTGTTCTATATGAATTTTAAAATAGTTTTCTCTAGTTCTGTGAAGAATGTCAATGGTCGTTTAGTAGGAATAGTATTGAATCTATAAATCGCTTTGGACAGTATGGCCATTTTAACAATATTGATGCTTTTGATCCATGAGCATGGAATGTTTTTCCATTTGTGTTATCTCTGATTTTTTTGAGCAGTGGTTTATGTTCTACTCGTAGAAATATTTCATCTCCCTAGTTAGCTGTATTCCTAGGTATTTTATTCTTTTGTGGTAATTGTAAATGAAAATTTTTCCTGATGTAACTCTTGGCTTGACTGTTGGTGGTGTTAGAAATACTAGGATTTTTGTACATTGATTTTGTATCCTGAGACTGCTAAAGTTGTTTATTAACTTAAGAAGCTTTTGGGCTGAGATGATGGGGGTTTTCTAGATAAAGAATCATGTCATCTGCAAACAGGGATGGTTTGTTTCGATGTCCGTTGTTTGTTTTTCTTGCCTGATTGCCCTAGCCGGAACTTTCAGTACTCTGTTGAATAGGAGTGGTAAGAGACAGCATATGTGTCTTGTGCCAATTTTAAAGGGGAAAGGGTTCAGCTTTTGCTCATTCAGTATGATGTTGGCTGTGGGTTTGTCATATATGGCTCTTATTATTTTGAGGTATGTTCTTTCAATACCTAGTTCATTGAGAGTTTTTAACATGAGGGGATGTTGAATTTTATCAAAAGCCTTTTAATGTATCTATTGAGGTAATCATGTGGTTTTTTTGTCATTAGTTCTGTTTATGTGATGAATCCCATTTATTGATTATGTATGTTGAACCAACCTTGCATCCTGGGGATGAAGCCTACTTGAGCATGGTGGATAAGCTTTTTGATATGCTGCTGGATTTGATTTGGCAGTATTTTGTTGAGGATTTTTGCATCAATGTTCATCAAGAATATTGGCCTGAAGTTTTCTTTTTTAATTGTATTTCTGCCAGGTTTTGGTATCAGGATGGTGCCAGCCATCTAGAATGAGTTAGGGAGGAGTCCCTACTCCTCAATTTTTGGAATAGTTTCAGTAGGAACGGTACCAGCTCTTATTTGTATATCTGGTAGAATTCAGCTGTGAATCCATCTGGTCCTGGGCTTCTTTTCATTGGTAGGCTATTTATTACTGCCTCAATTTCAGAGCTCATTATTGGTTTGTTCAGGAATTCAATTTCTTCCTGGTTCAGTCTTGGGAGGATGTATGTTTCCAGGAATTTATTCATTTCTTCCAGATTTTCTAGTTTATGTCCACAGAGATGTTCATAATATTCCCTGATGGTTGTTTGTATATCTGTGGGGTCAGTGGTAATATCCCCCTTGTTGTTTCTGATTGTGTTTATTTGCATCTTCTCTCTTTTCTTCTTTATTAGTCTAGCTAGTGGTCTACCTATTTTATTAATTTTTTCAAAAAACAAGATCCTGAATTTCTCGATCTTTTGAACCGTTTTTTTGTGTCTTTATCTCCTTCAGTTTAGCCTGGCTTTGGTTATTTCTTGTCTTTTGCTAGCTTTGAGATTTGTTTGCTCTTGGTTCTCTAGCTCTTTTAGTTGTGATGTTAGGTTGTTAACTTGGTCTTTCTAACATTTTGATGTGTGCGTCTAGTGCTATAAATTTCCCTCTTAAGACTGCCTTGGCCAGGTGCAGTGGCTCATGCCTGTAATCCCAGCACTTTGGGAGACCAAGACTGGCAGATCACAAGGTCAGGAGATCAAGACCATCCTGGCTAACACAGTGAAACCCTGTCTCTACTAAAAATACAAAAAATTAGCCAGGCGTGGTGGTGGGTGCCTGTAGTCCCAGCTACTTGGGAGGCTGAGGCAGGAGAATGGCGTGAACCCAGGAGGTGGAGCTTGCAGTGAGCGGAGATCGTGCCACTGCACTCCAGCCTGGGTGACAGAGCGAGACTCCATCTCAAAAAAAAAAAAAAAAAAAAACGACTGCCTTAGCTGTGTCCCAGAGATTCTGATACATTGTATCTTTGTCTCATTAGTTTCAAAGAACTTCTTGATCTCTACCTTAATTTTATTATTTACCCCAAAGTCATACAGGATCAGGTTATTCAATTTCCATGTAATTGTATAGTTTCGAGTGAATTTCTTAGTTTTGATTTCAAATTTGATTGTGCTGTGGTCTGAGAGGCTGTTAGAGTGGTAAGCTGGATGAGAAACCCCAAGATCCATTGGTTTGCTGTCAAGAAACCCATCTCACATGCAGTGACACACATAGGCTCAAAATAAAAGGATGGAAAAAAATGTAGATAGCAAATGGAAAACAGAAATAAGCAGAGGTTGCAATTCTAATTTCTGACAAAACAGACTTTAAACCAACAAAGATCAAAAAAGACAAAGAAGGGCATGACATAATGGTAAAGG
The DNA here is from genome assembly GCF_000001405.40 of Homo sapiens. Classification (NCBI taxonomy): domain Eukaryota; kingdom Metazoa; phylum Chordata; class Mammalia; order Primates; family Hominidae; genus Homo; species Homo sapiens. The sequence goes on along the minus strand of NC_000001.11, from coordinate 181,943,229 downwards.
GTTCAATTCAATAAGATCTAACTATCATAAATATACATGCACCTAACACAGGAGCACTCAGATTCATAAAGCAAGTTCTTAGAGACCTTCAAAGAGACTTATATGCCCACACAATACTACTGGGAGTCTTTAACACCCCGTTGACAATATTAGACAGATCATCAAGACTGAAAATTAACAGATATTCAGGACCTGAACTTAACACTGGATCAAATGGACCTCATAGGTATCTACAGAGCTCTCCACCCAAGAAAACAACAATATACATTCATTTCATTACCACTTGGCACTTACTCTAAAATCAATTACATAATCAGAAGTAAGACACTCTCAGCAAATGCAAAAGAATTGAAATTGTAAGACAGTCTTATATTTCCAAATTAAATGCATGCTACAATTGATATTGAAGGCCACCTACATTTGTCTGGTAGAATAGTAAATTATAATGTGATTGTCATTACTTTTACATGTATGAACCTCATTGAAGACTATAGTTTTACACTGAGTTGTCTTTTTAGTTAAGTTACTTGTCTTGGTATAACACTAACCATTGAACTTTAACTTATTTTGAAATGCCTCTTCATTGCATAAAACGTCCCAAAAAAATGTCTGTATGATGACAACATTAAAATAAAAAGGTTTCCTGCAAATAGAAGATTGCATGTTATATGCTAAGCAATGTGATAAAAGATGGTAGGTACCATCAGATTTCTTGTACCAAATAGAATTTTCAAAACTAGAAAAGCTCTGACCAATTCATGTGTCTGGAAGAAGTGCTGTCACTCAGGCTCTGTCCAATAATATGATTAAGGAAATAATAAAAATTTCCAAATGGGAAATGTAGACAAAATCCTGGCATTACATGGTCTACTTTGAAATTATAGTATTAATTCTAATGTTGCTAAAAAGATCAATGTTATAAACATAAGTTATAAAAGTATATTATTCTTATGTATGATTGCTAATGACTAAAATGTTTCATAATTTTTTTTAAACTTCAGATGAAAAGACAACTTAAAGCTTTTATTTTAATATTAGAATATACTTATACAGACAAATGTGTTTTATTGTCTACTAGTAAACACAAAACCACTTTTATGTCCTTTAGTGTGATGTCCCTTTCTTCCCAATAAGCTGTTAATAAATTAATGGTAATGTCACAATCTCAACTTCATCTTATAAATGGAAAACTATATCATAGGAATAAAAAAATCTGAAATTATTAATATTAAAGTATTGTGTTCATTGCTGGTAGTATTTGTATATTATTTTTCTTTGCCTGATAAAACAGGTTGATTTTAGATTCTAGAAACAGGAAATTCTGGAAAACAATGGAATACAACCTAGAAAATTTTGTAACCTAAGAATTTTGTACAAAGCTAAGCTTTCTTTCCTTATGTGTCAGCAATTTGAAGATATTCTAAGATGTTTAGGTACTCAGAAAATGTCCTACTCATGTATATTACTTTTTATAAGCTACATGAATATTTTTTCCCAATGAATAATGGAGCAAAACTGAAAGCTCGAGGTTAGGGAGATCAGGATATAAAAAGAAAAGCAGCAATGACTACTTAAACCAGTTAAAATAGAGATGTCTAAATATTTGCTGTTTATATGAACATAAAATTTAATGAAAATTTCAGGCCGGGCACAGTGGCCTGTAATCTGAGCACTTTGGGAGGAAGGTGGGTGGATCATTTGAGGTCAGGAGTTTGAGGCCAGCCTGGCCAACATGGTGAAACCCTGTCTCTACTAAAAAATACAAAAATTAGCTGGTCCTGGTGGCACGGGACTAAAATCCCAGCTACTTGGGAAGCTTGAGGCAGGAGAATTGCTTGAACCTGAGCGGCTGAGTTGCAGTGAGCTGAGATCGTGCCACTGCACTCCAGCCTGGGCAACAGAGCAAGACCCTGTCTCATAGAAAAATTAGTGAAAACTTCAAATAATTCTTATCAAAAGATAATATAAAGCATATAAAATAATTGCATAATAAAAACATGGATAGAAAAACTTGAAATGTAATAAAAAACGTAGAAGTTGGTGATCGAGGGGTAGGGTGGAAAAAATGGCATCAAATATGGTAGTTTTAAAAATATTGTTGAACTTCTTAATCTAATTTTAAAGAAATATAAGTTAACACAATGCTTTTGAAAAGCTTATGGGAAGCCAATGGCATAATTAGGAACTACTTATACCCTTTGAAAACTATAAATAATAAATGCAGAGAAAATATAATTTATCAACAGAAAAGAAAATTTTAAAGTATGGAATGCTACAAAAGAACTAAAACCAAATATGAAATTTATCAAAATAAATGCAAATTATTAATAGATGAAGTTTTTCATTAAAATATAAAGACATTCAGATTGAGTTTTTGAAAAACCCACAACCTATATCCTTTATTCCTAGGATATAGTTTTTCATTTATAAGATGACATTGAGGTTGTGATATTACCATTAATTTATTAACAGCTTATTGGGAAAAAAGGGACATCACACTATAAGACAGAAAATTTGTTTTCATTTATTTGTTTTTACTAGTAGACAATAAAACACATTTGTATAAGTATAATATTAAAATAAAAACTTTAAATTGTCTATATCTTATTTATCTGATACTTATTTAAAGCAAAGTGGCAATAAAATTATGAACATGCCAAAAGCATTTTATGCAAATGCAACTAATAAGGAAACAGTGAACAATATCAATATCAGATAAAAAAAATTTTATACATTTTTACACAGAGAACCACTATATTAACAAGGATGTAGTTCTCAATGAAGCCGAAACTGTCATAAACCTTTATGTACCAAATAACATTGCCTCAATTTGTTTAAGGGTAAAATGATAGAAATACAAGAAGAAGCAGAAATATAGTAATATTTCGACATTTTGCATTTTTAACAGGCAAATAATAAGGATATAATTGAATAATATGTATATTGCAATGTATACCCTACATATCAGAGATCTTTATAGAAAACCATCACATTTTACTGAAGAACAAAGATTTTGTCTTCTGCAATTAAGAGAATATTTAATTGATCACATATTAAGCTACAAAGAAAAAATCACAATAAATTCTAAGATTTGGCCACAATCTCTGACCAAAATGCAGTGGACTCAGCATCATAAGTCATTAAGAAAATGCTAATCATAACCACAATGAGCTACTCCTTCATACCCACTAGGATGACTAAAATAAGAAAAATATCAATTATTGGGCAGAATGTGGAGAAATGGTTGGACTATAGAATGATACAGCCACTTTGGAACACAGTTTGACAGTTCCTCAAAATGTTAAACATAGAGTTTTAATATACCATATAATACAGCAATTCAACTGGTAAAGGTATACAGCAAAGAGGAATAGTTTTTGTGTGTTTTTATTCATGCAAAAATTTGTGCACAATAGTTAATAGTAGCATTATTCATAATAACCCAAAAAGGAAACAATCCAAATGCCCATCAGCTAATGAACAGAGATAAATGCAGTAAATTCATGCAATGCAGTACTATTCCAGCCATAAAAAAGAATGAAGTATTTATTCTTGCTACAACATAGAAAAGACTTGAGAACATTTTGCTAAGTAAAAGAAGCCAGACAGTAAAGGCAACATATTATATAATTCCATATATATGAAATGTCCCTAACAGGAAAATCTATAGAGATAGAAAATACATGAGAGGTTTCTAAGATGGGAGTGGGGTGGGGGTCTAAGGAGATTAGGGAGTGATGGCTAATGGATATAGGTTTTCTTTTTGGAGTGATAAAAATGTCCTAAAATTAGATGGTAGTGATTATTACATAACTGACATACAAAAAACAATTATACACTTTAAAAAGGTAAATTTTAGGGTATGTGAATTATATCAATACAGCAGTTATAAAAATGTAATGCAACTAGAAATCGAGTATTTTTTAAAAGAATCATAAGAAACTTTTAAAAGCTTTTAATTTTTGGACAATAGAAAAAACTAAAACTTCAATAATTAGAATTTTAAAAAAATAGAACATTATATATAAAAACAAAGAATATAGCTAAATCTGTACCTTAAAGGGAAAATTCATGGTGTTAAGTAATTATAAAACAAGAAGTAATGAAATATATTTATCCAGGAAAACAAAAATCAAGAGACTATAAAACAGAAAAATGAAAGGCAGTAGGCCTGATAAATAAGTCCAACAACATGATCTTTGAAAGATCACTAAAATAGACAAACATCTGGAAAAGCAATAAGTCCTTTTCAATTTACTCTCCTTTGGTTACCCCAGGCTGTAGATCACATTTTTCACACTAGCTAGGGAAGAATCAAACTACCTTCAGTTCTTTTATGGACAAGGCATCGTATAAAACACAACTTAAAAGATTGTTCCTTTAACTATAAAGTAATTAAAATGGACATTTATCTGATTTTTCTATATTTTGACAGTAGAGAAACACCAGACAGATCCTCTACCCCTTTCCTCTCATAAAGCAAAGATTAGGTGACTCGTATCTGTCACAGAGTAGTCGGTGTCAGAGAGGGGATGAGTGTCAAGCCTTCTAGCCCCTTGGCTGTCATGCTCGCTTTTAAGTGGCTCCTAACCTTTATGGGGTTGGACAGTGTCATACAGAGCTTTGAAAACTAGAGGAAAGCTAAGCCTTCTCCCTAGAAAAAATATATCCACATCCCCTTGTTTACTATGCCAGTGAGGTTCTGTGCCACCCATGTGTCCCATTCGATACAGAAATGATGAGAGTACATAGTTGGACAGTCCAACTAAGCCTCTGAAACTTAAGTTTTTAAGTTTTCGGTTATTAAGTTTTTTAGTCTCAATACCCTTTTACACTCTTAAAATGAATATCCAGGACTCTAAAGAGCTTTAGTCTATGTGGGGGGGGGGGGGGTAACGTCTCTCAATACTTAACCATATTCAAAATTAGAAATTTTAAAAATGTTCATTAAAAATAACAATTCTTGGCCGGGCGCGGTGGATCACGCCTGTAATCCCAGCACTTTGGGAGGCCTAGGCGGGCGGATCACGAGGTCAGGAGGGCGAGACCATCCTGGCTAACACGGTGAAACCTCGTCTCTACTAAAAGTACAAAAAATTAGCTGGGCATGGTGGTGGGTGCATGTAGTCCCAGCTACTCCGGAGGCTGAGGCAGGAGAATGGTGTGAACCCGGGAGGCGGAGCTTGCAGCGAGCCGAGATCGCACCACTGCCCTCCAGCCTTGGCGACAGAGCGAGACTCCGTCTCAAAAAAAACCAAAAAAACAAAACAACAACAACAAAACCAATTATTACATACACATAATAACGTATTTCAATAAAATAACTGTATTTTCCAAAAAAGTAATAAATGACGTTTTTTAAATTTTGCAAATCTTTATAATATCTTGCTTAATAGAAGGCAGCTCCATTCTCATATCTGCCTCTGTTTGAGTCTCATATCTGCCTCTGAGGACAGTGTAGGTCACATAGCCCTGGGAAGACTCCAGTGTACCCTTATAAGGGAATAAGAAGCCAAAGGCGGAATATGTCTTAGTATTACTATAAAAATAATTCTGACTTTGCAAAATCCCTAAAAGGTTCTTGGGACTCCCTGGACCACACTTTGCGAACTGCTGCTCAAACTCTATAAAGCATTAAGCCTTCAAAAGGTTCGTAGACATTAAACAAAAAGAAAGAAAAAGGCTGCATACTCAAATGACATTGAGAAAACAGGTTTCCTTTTTTTAACTTTTAAGTTCAGAGGTACGTGTGCAGGTTTGTTATATGGGCAAGTTGCATATCACGGCGGCAGGGGGTGCTGGTTTACAGGTTATTTTGTCACCCAGGTAATAAGCATAGTACCCGATAGTTTTTGATCCTTTGCCTCCTCCCACCTTCCACCCTCAAGGACACAAGATCATGTCCTTTGTAGCAACACAGAAGGAGCTGGAGGCCGTTATCCTAAGCAAACCAACACAGGAACAGAAAACAGGTTTTTATACCACAGGACTTGTGAGGCTTCCTGTTCAGGAGCACTAGGAAAACTACAGGTGCAGAAAGATGGAGGAGCTACTGCATTACACAAGATTGCCATTGGATGGCACTGCGGTTCCAGTCACAGGCAACCGGAGGCTCTGCATCAGGAAATGGCCCCTAGCTTGTGGAGGTCCACATGCCCCAGAGAGCTGAACTTACACAGGACACTGTTTTTGCTTTTTTTTTTTTTTTTTTTTTAATAGTGATTAAAGGTTTTCAGAGAGGGCAACATAAGCACGTTTCTTCTCAGTCCAGTGGGTGTTTTCCCCTTCACCCCCAGTTGTGGGCTTTCAGGTTGTCAAAATCAACAGTGAGGTTTGAAAGTACCTTCCAAGTTCATGACTCAGATTAGGAATCTGAGAAAGTCAAATGTGGAGATGACAGAGGCCCTGACCACAAAACATTAGTTATATGTAAAGGTCATGAAGAAACCAAGATGTTCTCAGCTAATATTCCCAGATCTGGCTAATACTGAGTTAATTTTACAAGAGTAAAAAATTAACTGGACTCCCCGAGAATATCTGCATTGAAGAGGGCAGTGCACATGAGGAAAAAGCTGTCCTGAGAGACCAAGGGCTCAGAGAGATGAGGGCTCCCTTCAGGTGCTAATAGGCTCTGCAAGAAGCCACTCAAATGATGGGAGAGCCTGATGGTGGTGGAGGAGTGACACACACTCTGGTCCATGGTGAGGCACTCAGCCTGATGGCAGTGTGGGGGTGACACATGTCCTGGTTCATGGAAAGACACAGAGAGAACCTGATGGTGGTGCGGAGGTGACACCCTGGTCCATGTTGAGGCGCTCACACAGAGAGCCTGTTGGCAGTATGTGAGTGATACATGTTCTGGTGCATGCTGAGATGCTCACACAGGCAGCCTGAGGGTGGTGTGGAGGTGACACATGTTCTGGTCCATGGTGACATCCTCACAAAGAGTAAGCCACTGGTGAACCATGAGCCGTCACTATTTTTCTGGGTTCTGCTGCTCTGTGCCAGCTGTCTAGCCGTGAAATTGGCTCTGGCTAGAACATCAACATTCAGAGGGTGGAGAAGGCCTCAGAACAAAGGTCTGGAGAAGGTTAGTGGCTGGGATATTTTTCAGGGCTTCAGTGTAGCATCTGAAGAGTGTTGGGGGAGAGTGTAGGCTTGAGAGGCCAGCTCCTGCCAGGTCTCAAGGAAATCTAGGCAGGCTGTGGAAGTTGGTCTTTGTCTTAGGGGTGGTAGAGAGCTACTGAAGGGTTGTAAGTCAGTGCTCTTGGATTTGCTATGTTCCAAAATGTTAATTGCTGTGATATGGAGATACAATTCATAAGGTGGTCAGTGACTATTAAGAGAGACAGGTATATACGTATAACTGTTTATACTTTCCTTGTGCTAGTTATTAACATCAACTTATTTAATCCTCTTTTCCTCCCAGTGAGGTAGGAAGTATTATCACCTCTTCTCTCTAGATGGGGAGACTGAGGCACAGAGCATTTAAGGGACTTTCCCACCATCTCACAGTCAATAAATGGTAGAGCCAGGATTTGAACCCAGTGAGTCTGGTTCCAGCAGCTATTTAACTACCCCATTATACTTCCTCACTAATTAAAGGGGGAAATGGCCTTGGAGTGCTATAGCTAGTTTGGAGACATCACTTGGGTACAGTGGGAACCCAAAGGAAAAAATGTCAAATCCTATTGGTATTGGGGTAGAGAAAGAGAGGGTGCAGTAAGACAAAAATTCATAGCTTGTGCTGAATCTGCCAGTGGAGTTTGTGTTGATTAAGTATATTGTGGGGTGGAGGAGAAAAGTGGGGGGACACTTAGAAGAAGCAAGGCTCGTCTCAGTACTGCAGGTAGTTACCTTTGTCCAGAGTCTAAGGAACTTGTAGCCACAGGTAAAGCTGGCCTGGTGATGACAGGGCGACATACCCCATGCAAAGGAATTCATATTTGTTACTAGTAAGCTTAGGTTGTTAGAGTCAATCCATTATTTCATACACGTCGAGATCATTTAGAAGGCTGCCTTTTCCAAATATTAGCCTTTTTGGGGTTCTGACATGGAAACTTGATAAAAATGTCATCATCCAATTCATGGTTTAAAATACTGATTTGGGACAGAAATCAGTTAGGGCAGAACCCCTGAGCAAAGGACATAAACCACAGCTTATGGCTAATCAATCAGTTACATAGTCACCCCACCATATTGTCGCCTGGTCCACATCTTCGTCTTATTCATAGCAGCAGCAAGAAGACAAGTATTTAACTGAAATAAAGATATCCTGTGTGCTCAGCTTTCTTGTATCTTTCAATCTCATAATCACACTGGATAAGAAAGAGGGATTCTGGTGTAACTTCTTCATGAACCCATGTTGATTTTTTATGATTATTCCTTTTGTCAAAATTGTTCATTTTAAAGTCCATTCTAGAATTTTACCTGAACAATGAGCCATTGTTCTTTCTTCCTTCCAGAAACCAGACCAACATTTTTCCATTTTAATAGCCCAGCCGATCTTCCGTTTTCCATGGTTCGGTTTGAGATTTCTCACAAGGCCCTGGGAAGTGATCCATCTGGGTTGAGGGCATGCAAAGCCCTTCATGATCTGGATTCTGCTGGCCTCTCCCAGGTCTCCTAACTCTTCCACACTCCAACGCCCTAGGGCAACTCTGAGTGTATTCCCCACTGTGTCACATGTTGAGTATTTGTAAATACTTGAAGATGATTTCTTCCTTCTCTCCACCCAGGGAAATCTTTTTAAATTTAAATGTTATATGGGTTCTAAGAAGTCAAGTAGTTATAAGCCTTATTATGAAAAATAGCAGATTCCCGGCCTTCCCCTTCTCCATCCTTCTTTCCCACTTCCCAGAGGCAACCACTTTTGATTGCTCTTTGGGCATTTACCTCCAAATTGTTAAATAACATGTTTCTACTGCCGACCTCTTGATTTTTCATTTTAGGAATTATTAAATTCTCACTATGAAAGATGAAGAATTAGCTCTCTTTAACACCTCCCTCACCCACCTCCACAATTTTTTTTTCCAAACCTCCCAGTAGGCTTATATCATCATTTTAGTTAGATCTGTATTCAGTGTTTACATAATTATGACTGTATTCACAGCATGTCCATGTAGTGTAAAGGATGATTGCATTTTCTTTCTTGTACAACATTTAATATTCCTTGGAGTTAATAATTGTCTTATTTCTTCGTTTGTGCAGTTTTCTGTTCACCTACCACTAATTCCTACCTAGACATTCTTCCATATATGTACATTTCTTCTCAATATATTTAAACACATCAGATATTCCAAGAAGTTCATCTTCTTGGGAGCTTTCTAGATACTCTCTGTGCTTCCTCTCCAGTCTGTGCTACCTGCACTGCATGCCTGCTGAGCAGCTATCTTCCTCAGTTCCCTTCTTCATCATCTTAGAATTCTCTTTCCCCCCTTCCCCTCTCCTATGTTAGATTCCCTGTTTCCTGGATCCCATGTCATCTTGTCTTTATTTACTCCCTGTCTTTGTCAAACCATATCCTGAAGTAGCCTCCTGAGAAAGATGTATGGGTGATAAATGTTTTTGAAAACTTGCAAGCTGGAAGTATATTTATTCTGTTCTGACTTTTGATTGACAGTTTGTCTATGTATAGAATCCTAGATTGGAAATGATTTTTCTTCAGAGTTTTAAAGGCATTGCCCCATTTTCTTTACTCACTACGAATCCACTGACAGCAGCTCCCAATGCTTTTCTCTTGGATTACGCAGTTTTCTCTGGAAAATAGTAAGTGAAGAAATGAAAACTAAGCAAGTCTGATGCCTTTTTGGTTCTTGATCCTTTGTATCTGACTTCCCTGAAAACGTTTCAGGGGCTTCTCTCTGTCCTTCATAGTATGAAATTTTACAATGATGTGCTTTGATGTGAGCCTGTGTTCTGTCATTGTGCTGGTTGCTTGGTGCACCTTATAATCCAGAAGTTAAAGTCCTTCAGTTCTGGGAAATTTTCTTGAAATATTTAATAATTTCTATTTTTGCCATTGTTTCTTTTAGAAATTCTTTAGTATTCCTGGGCTGATTCCCTAATTTCATAATTTCCTGTTTTCTATCTCTTTGTTTTTTTTCTTCTATTCTCTGTTTTCTTCAAATTATCTTCCAAATATTTGTCGAGTTTTTATGCATTTCTAAGAAATTGTTAATTTTTGGTCCTCTGAATGACCTACTTCTTTCTAAATCATCCTGTTTTGTTTCATCAGTAAAACTTTCTCTTCTCTTTAAGGATATTGAAAAAATATAGATAGATAACATAATCTATATTATATATATCATAATACATATAACATATCTTAGATATTATGTATAATATATAATAGATATAATGTTACTATATAGCTTATATATAGTAATAGATGTTATATATAATATATAACTATATATTGTAAAATATAAGATATATATCTTTTATATAATTATATATCTTATTTCTTCTCTATATGATATATATATCTTTTATATATATGAGACCTATACATATATATATGAGACCTATACAATTTTATATATATATGTAAATTGTATATATAAATATGAATATGTATATATAAAATTACACAGGCCTCTTTTCCCTGACTTGTCTTGATTTTCTTCTAAATTCTTTTTTTTCCTGTTTTTGGAGGGAGGGGGAGCTTTGCTTTCAGAGGCTTTTCTCCAACACCTGGAAATTCTGGGCTGTCCACTCTAAAAGCCAAGCCCTAAAGAACTCTATGCTTGTGAATGGGGTCTGTTGACTAGAAACAGCTTCATCAGCTGGGTGATGTGACCATGCTGTTATATGGTGGCACCCTTTATATCTTTTCTCTTGGACTAGGCAGTTTTCTCTCTTTTCCTAGAGAGAATGAGCCTGGTGCTGATGTTCTGATTGCAGAAGGCTCTGACAGTTCTATCTGCAGACTTTCCCTGAATCCCTGCTTTCAGGACAACACTTCAGCCCTCACTGTACCTGATGGCCCCAACCTGGAGTCCCTCTAGTTCATCCTCTCCCAACTTCTGCCATGGTTGAGGAAGGAGAGCTATCTGCATGTGTTGTGGGGAGGGTGGTTGTGGGGAGAAGGCATCATGGGGTCAACTTTGAGATGCTTCTGCTTTTAGCTTCACTTTCACCTTCATGATTAGAGACATCTTGTACCTTTCTGGGGTTCTGCGGTTCAGTCACTTCCACTGCCAGTTAAGATTTCAGTCTTCTCAGCTCTGTAGAGTCGTTATCAAATGCCCATCTGCTTTTCTTCTTCAAAATAAGGTGTTTGGTATTGTTTCTTTTCCTGATCTCCTTGTCTTTAAATATTTATTCCTTAAAGAAAAAAATCCCTGTGTTGTTTTTTGGTAAGGTTTCAGGAGATAGTGGGGATAATGTGCATTCATTCCACTAACTCGAATAGGAAGTACACAGCTATTTTTCAAATTTGTGTGTGGCATGATCTCCTGTTAGGACACTTGACTGCCCCCACACCTGTAGGATCAATGGCTTCCTTCTTTATAGCACTTCTGTATCTGAACCTTGTACATACTTATTTAGTTGCATATGTAACATGATTACATAAGAAGTTTGGGTCTTCTTACTGGACGATAAACTGCTTGAGTGAAGTAGTCCTGTTATCTATTTTTACATCTTCAGGATCTAGCACAGAACCAGGTACTTAAATTTTCAATACATGGATGTTGAATTGAGCAGAAATTGAATGGTATTTTCTATAAGCAGACTCAACTGCAAAGGAATGAGTGGCTCAGTTGTCCTGCCAGCAGGAAGCCCCTAAATGTGAGGGTATTTTCCTAGATCCTATTTCATCATTCTTAGGAATGGTGAGGAGTGGAATTGCAGACTGAACCTTTCCTAAGCGATATCCTTCAAACCTGGGACATGAATTGGGCTTAGTCACCTCCCTCAGGAACAGGGTATTAAAACTAAGGGCATTGAAACTAAGCGTGTCCTTGGAACAGGCATAAATTGAATTGTTTTTGTCTGTAAGTTAGGATAAGCATGGTGTCCTGGCCCTGGAGGGATGGTGTTTATGATCATCATCTCTCATGTATGGGAAGTAGAGTGTGAAAGAGTGGGTGTTGCATCTTCTCAAGCCTCCTTGAATGTTCCTTGTCCCTAAAACACACCTAGTTCATTCTAATAAAGGCCATATTTCCAAAGGCAAGGCCATTCAAAGCTGGGCTGTGTTGAAGAGCCTTGGCAGCTTATAAGGTTTGGTCTGCAGTGACATAGACAGGGGTCTTGGCTTCAGATCTCCCTGCTAAGAATCTAGCTAAAAATAATATAGTAGGACACCCTCCTTGCTCTGAGTTGGTCAGTAACTCTGCCTCTTCCTCAACAGGCAGGTTCAAGAAATACAACTCAGGTCAGTGACCAAGAAGCCATCCAGCAACTGTGTCAATAAGTTGGACCCTGTTCTTTCAGTTGGAGACTCTAGGTTGTGGAAAGGTGGCCTGGGATAGTAGCCTGAACCTCTGGAAGGTACACTAAGTTAGGAAGGTCTTCAGAGGGAAAGGAAGCTTGGAGGGGCATAATTCCAGGCAGCATTAATAGGCAGTGGCAGGCTATAGGGCAGAATCAGAGACAAGAGACAGCAAAAACACACCTGGAGACCAATTAGGTACATCCAATCTGATGGGTGAGAGGAGAATGGAATGACATTGAGCTAAAAGGATCATGTCTGGACCAAACACCCAAGTCTTAGGAGTACTTCTCTCTTCTTAGCTATTCTGGCTTCAGAAGTGTTGTCTTAAGATCTCATGCTCCCATTTGCAGCTAATGCCGTCTGCATTATGGCACTTCTCTCTGCATGACACCTCACCATTCATCGTGGTGACAATGTTTAGTCAGGACCTGTTCAGGCAGGAGAAAGAATCTAAGAGAGAATAAGTAAAGAAAAAAAAAGATACTATTTTCTTAGGAATGGGTGTGTTTATACCTCTCTCTGGGGGAAATAAACCTGTCAGGAATCTGTTGGCCTATTTGGGTCATTGATATGATGTTAAATGCTGACATATAATCCAGGCAGCCTTGTAGGCCTGGATGATTGACCATTTTGACATATACAGATATGCACATGCTGGAAGAAACTTGACTTTCATAGCCAGAATGGCAACATATGGGAGTGGGGGGAATGGCAGTTCTAAAATGGACAGGCACAAATCCTCCCTTGTCTCCTCTTCATTTGCTTATTTTCCTTCTTCTTTACGATAAATTTAAACAATAAATGGAATTTGGACATGGATCTGGACATCACTGAATTGCAAATATGTGATTACCCTTAGAAAACCCAGAGAGTCTTGGAGAAAAGGTCAAGCAAGGCCAGGAATTTTTCCAGTGGCCTATGAGACAATCTGGGCTTTTGTACTCCTTCAGGTGATTCTTTCCCATCAACTGTCATGGATGAGAATGGGGCATAGAAGTTAATAAGGCCCAACTCTGCCTCTTATTAACCATGATCCTAGGCAGGTGAACTCACCTCTCAAGGTGTTAGTTTCCACACTTTGAAAATAGGAACACCTGCCTCATAGGCTGATTATGAAAGTGATCAAGAACATGTAAATAGCAAGCTTCACACAGAGTTTGGCATCTCAGTGCCCAACACAGGCTATGAAATAATGTTGATTTTATTACTGCTCTCATGGCTAGAGGGCAGCAATGGTTTGCCTGTTGGCATTCTATCTTATGGTCAGGCAGCATGGGCCATTCCTTGGCCACTCTATGGAGATTATCTGAACTTGGCCAAAGAAGTAAGTCTTTTAAAAAGAGGGAGTAGAAACTCCCTCATAACATTGTAGGTGTTCTATAAAGAAGTCACTATGAAAGCACTTCATTAATGCTAACCTTAGCTATTGGTAATGTTTTCTGGGAAGCAGTGCAATGGTGCACACAAAGTGTAGACTCAGATAAACATGGGATCTGATTCCACCTCCAGCTTACAAACAGCTTCACTCCGATCAAGGGCACTTTCACTCTGTGTGGCACTGGGGAGTTTTAATCTGTTTAAATGTTACTATCAATGCTTTCCTTGTAGGTTGTCACTAGAATTAAAGGAGGTAAAATATATGGAAATACCTTCAGTCTGGGCAACATGATGAAACCCCATCTCTACCAAAAATACACACACAAAATTAGCTGGGTGTGGTGGCACACACCTGTGGTCCCAGCTATTCAGAAGGCTAAGGTGGAGGATTGCTTGAGCCTGGGAGGTGGAAGTTGCAGTGAGCTGAGATCGTGCCACTGCACTCCAATGTGGGTGACAGAGGGAGGCCCTGTCTTGAAAAATAATAATAATAAATATCTTGCCTAATACCTTGCATAAGGAAGGCATTCCTTGATCAATGTTAGCTTCCTTCCTTCCCATGGTTCCTCTTCTATTACCTACTCAAGAATCTCTGGTGCATAATTTGAAATTCAGACATCAGGGCAGACAAAAACACTGAGAGATGATAGAATCAAGATTAAATAGCATCTTAATAGGTTAAGAGATTGAGGCTGAAAAAATATAGAACAACATTTAACAAGGCTGTCTGTGAAAATGACATTTTGTATCAACATCCACTTAGTACATAAGCGTATGATGGATTTGTGTGAGTTTAGGTGTGTGTGAGCACAGCTCATACCCAAAGCTTTAGTGATAGAAGCACCAAACACTAATTACTGGAATTCCATGGGTCCATTGTCGTCAGCACTGGTCAGGCCATCCAAGGGAATGTGTCACATCTGGGAGCCATGGTTTTTAAAAAGGAACCCTGATATGTCAGAGCCTTTCCAGGGACATGGCCAGAGTGAAGAGTATCCTTAGGAATGGCTGAAGGAACTGAGGAACTCTAGTATGAGAAATAGAAGATTAAGGGGAAACATGACAGCTATCTCTTTTTTCAATTGAAGGATTTTATAAAAGAGGGAATGAATGGGCAATGTGTTATACAAGGAAAAAAACATGAAATTGCAAGTCTCAAAAAGACAATTTTGACTCCCAAAAGCTTTTATTTGCTCATATGTTCATTCATGTATCCAGCAAATATTGATTGAATTGAGTGCATATTTGGTGTTAGACATGGTGCTCTGTAGGCAGGGATATGCTGGTGAATATTTAACAACCAGCTCTCCAGGAAAGGAAAAAATTCCTGATTTATATAATTTGCCAATTTCTGTGGTGTAAATACTCCCTCCATGGCTGATTACAAGCTACTAAAGTAAATGTGGAAACTGGGGAGAGCTGCTCAATTGGTTTTTCCAAGCTGGAGAAAGCTGGCTTCAGCACGATCCTGCCTATGTAGGCTCTGGGGATGCAGAGCTCAAAGGCACAGACTTTGCATCTAAGAGACCTACAAGCTAGTGGTAGAAACCACTTCATCCAGCTGTGACCTAGGAGTGCGTTTGGTTCTGAGAGAAGACCCATACCTGAGTGGGAGGGTGTGACTTATTGGGGTTGGCTACAGGGAAAAGCAGAGGGAAGGGAATTCCAGACAGAATAGCTACAAACCTGTGCAGCTAGGAGGAGAGATGATAAACACGGCCATGCAAGTTGTCCAGTTTGACTGGAGCAGAGAGGACAAGGCTGATTCAGGAAGACTGACATGAGAGCTATGTGGTAGCCAGAACACAATCATGAATTTGGGCCTAATTTCAAAGGCAGTAGGAAATGGATACAAGATTTTTAACAGGGAAGTGGTGTGATATTTACTCTGAGGGAAGCATAGAAAAATGTATTATGTCAGGTCAAAGATGGAGATATCGATTAGAAACATGCCCAGATAGCTGACAAAAAATAGTAATGGTATGAAGTATTGACTTAAAAGCATGAGATCTAAAATTTGGAAAAGAGAACTTTATTTCTTCTGAGGGGTTGCAACCTGCAGGCTGGGAAGTGAAGCCTCCTGCTGAGACCAAAAGCAGGCACTTAGAGGGGAGGAAAGGTAGAACAGGAATTTTATGCCAAACAGGAAATATACATATTCAACAGGTTTTAGGAGGAGCTATGAATATTCATAAAGGGAGGTCATGCAGGCATGGCAAGGAAACATACATGTTACAGACATCCCAAGTTCAGTTTGGGGTAGAGACGTAGCATTAAAATACAGTAAAATTAGTCTCTATACATCAAAAGGTGAAATTTAGGACACAGGTGCTTTGTTGGGCACAAGCTTCATAAACCAGCTGGACCTAATTTGTGGTTGATGGTCATTTACCAGGAAAGAATGCTTTGTGAAACTGATTAGTGTCACCAGGAAACTGCAAAAAGGGAGGGGAATTGGCCATAATATCAAGTGGTTGGCTGAAGTCATCAGAGGACTGAGTTTTCCACTCTTTGTTTTCCAAGGCTGGTTTCTATTTAACTCTTAGGAAAAAAATCTGGCAAGTTAGCAAGGAAGGAGGGTGTACTGAGAGGCATGACCAACCTCCTGTCCTGTGATGGCCCAGAAATTTAGTTTTAAAAGTTTTTTTGGAGTCTTCTTGGCCAAGAGGGGTTCATTCAGTCAGTCAGGGAACTTAAGATTTTATTTTTGTTTCACAGAAGGTAGTGACATTGGAAAATAGGGAGGGTACACATCTAAGTAATGTCAGAAACATTAGATGGGACAAGGAGAGAGAAAAATAGGGCATGGTGAATAACCGGATCTGCAAAGTAAGAGGGAATGATGAGTTAGGATGTGCAGATTGGTGACAGTGACATTCATCTTGTTAGGAAAGAGTTCCTACAATAACTAACTTGGTGAGCTTTTTGAAAATGTCATTTCCTGGGCTTCACCCTAGAGGCTGAGGTGGAGTGGGGCCTCTGAATCTGTATTTTAAAATCACCCCAGTGGAGTCCACTGCATAATTCTGAGCCCATACTTTCATTCCTTATGTCCCAGGCATTGTTCTAGGTGCAGGAGATGCTGTGGTGAATGAAAGTCCCTGTCTTTTACAGCCTTTAAGTAGGAGAGACAGAAAATAAAGCAAATATATACAATAATGTTTAGGTTCCAATACATTCTATGAAGAAAACACAGGATAAGGGGATGGAGATTGTTGGAAGGTGAGAATAGGGTTGCTATTTTAGATAAGGTAGTAGAGAACCCTCTGAAAAGGTGACAAGGTGAGACATAACAATAAGTAAAAAAGTTTGAGAAACACTGAGTTACAAAATATAGAAATAGTAACAATGGAATTGATCAATGGCAGGGATAAAGGAGTGGTAAGTTCTGTTTTGGGCATGAGTTAAAGCTCTCTGTTAGAGATCTGAGTAGAGATAACCAATAGATCGTTGCATAGAACTGTTCAAGGCTCATAGAACAGATCTGGGCTTGGGATCTAGTTTGGGAGATATCAGGCTATGGGTGGTAGTTGAAGCTGTGAGAGTGTATGGAGTAAGAATAGGAGCTAAGAAAGAAACCCAGGGAGGGAATGCTCTTCTGAGGCAGGTAAAGGAAAGGACCCTGGGAAGGAAAATGAGAGGCAACAGAGAGGTGGGAAGAAAACCAGTAGGCAGTGCTGCCAGTGAAAAAGAAAGGTTTGAGGAGGGAGACGCAAACAGGTTCAAGAGTTGCCCAGAGGTCAGATGAGATAGTGTTTGGCAAGTGAAGATAATTTTCCATCTTGATGAGCAGCCTCAGAGTGGAGGTGGTGGGACTTGGAATATAACAAACAGAGGATTCAACGGGAGGTGAAAAGTGGAGACAGTTGTGGTAAAACTGCCCATTGAAAAAGCAGAAGAGAAGTCATGGAGTGGTGAAAGAAGGGCAAAGGAATGAGGGAGAATTTTTTAAGTTAGACTTGGACATGTATATTTGTCAAGGGAAAAAGCAGGGCTGGGCCCAGTGGCTCATACCTGTAATCCCAGCACTTTTGGAGGCCGAGGTGGGTGGATTACCAGACTCCAGGAGTTCAAGGCCAGCCTGGGCAATGTGGCAAAACCCTGTCTCCTCAAAAAATACAAAAAATAGCCAGGTGTGGTGGCATGCACTTGTAGTCCCAGCTACTCAGGAAGCTTAGGTGAGAGGATCACTTAAGTCCAGGAAGTAGAGGATATAGTGAACCGAGATCATGCCCACTGCACTCTAGCCTGGGTGACAGAATGAGAATGTTTCTCAAAAAAAAAAAAAAAAGTCAATGAAGGAAAGATGATAGAGAGAGGGGGGAGATAATTAAGACACTGACAAAGCACAGGGACTGTGATCTCTTCCCTGAGATCAGAAGACAGGGTGGATACTCATGCAGATGCGGTGCTAGGTAGGTTTGGGAGGTAGTGGATTTCCAACCCAAGAACCTTTATTTTACTTGATGTGAAGGTTAAAGCCATTTGCAGGTAATGAGGCAGGTAGGTGGTCTAGGCAGGCGGGGGAGAGTGGCAAAAGTGTGGAGGGCATGGACTTAAAAATAGGTTAGTGAGGTGGCAGGACCACAGTGTGATGGTTGGGTCGTGGCTGAGCCAAGTTGAAGGCCCTCACTTCGAGGGCCGCCAATCTGCCCAAGAATACGTGTTTATCCGACAAAATTCAGTATCTCAAGGAGTTTAAAAAGGTGGAGAATTAGATAGATCTGGTGTTGGGGTTTTGCTGTATGAGAAAGGACAAGAAAGGAGAGATAATTGACACTTTTTAAAAATTATACTTTAAGTTCTGGGAAATGTGCAGAACGTGCAGGTTTGTTACATAGGTATACAGGTGCCATGGTGGTTTGTCGCACCCATCAACCTGTCATCTTCATTAGGTACTTCTCAAAATGCTATCCCTCCCCTTACCCCCCACCTCCCAACAGGCACTGGTGTGTGATGTTCCCCTCCCTGTGCCCATGTGTTCTCATTCAAATGCCAATTATGAGTGAGAACATGTGGTGTTTGGTTTTCTGTTCCTGTGTTTGCTGAAAATGATGGTTTCCAGCTTCATCCATGTCCCTGCAAAGGACACAAACTCATCCTTTTTTATGGCTGCATAGTATTCCATGGTGTATATGTGCCACATTTTCTTTATCCAGTCTAACATTGATGGGAATTTGAGTTGGTTCCAAGTCATTGCCATTGGGAATAATGCTGCAAAAAACATAAGTGTGCATGTGTCTTTATAGTAGAATGATTTATAATCCTTTGGGTATATACCCAGTAATGGGATTGCAGGGTCAAATGGTATTTCGGTTTTAGATCCTTGAGGAATCGCCACACTGTCTTCCACAATGGTTGAACTAATTTACACTCCCACCATCAGTATAAAAGCATTCCTATCTCCAGCATCTGTTGTTTCCTGACTTTTTAATGATCACCATTCTAACTCTAACTGGTGTGAGATGATATCTCATTGTGGTTTTGATTTGCATTTCTCTAATGACCAGTGATGATCTTTTTTTTCATGTGTTTGTTGGCCGCATAAATGTCTTCTATTGAAAAGTGTCTGTTCATATCCTTTGCCCACTTTTTGGTGGGGTTGTTTGTTTTTTTCTTGTAAATTTGTTTAAGTTCCTTGTAGATTCTGGATATTAGCCCTTTGTTAGATGGATAGATTGCAAAAATTTTCTCCCATTCTGTAGGTTGCTTGTTCACTCTGATGATAGTTTCTTTTGCTGTGCAGAAGCTCTTAATTTAATTAGACCCCATTTGTCAATTTTGGCTTTTGTTGCCATTGCTTATGGCGTTTTAGTCATGAAGTCTTTTCCCATGCCTATGTCCTGAATGATATTGCCTAGGTTTTCTTGTAGGGTTTTTATGGTTTTAGGTCTTGCATTTAAATCTTTAATCCATCTTGAGTTAATTTTTGTATAAGGTGTAAGGAAGGGGTGCAATTTCATTTTCTGCATATGGCTAGCCAGTTTCCCGAACACCAATTATTAAATAGGGAATCCTCTCCCCATTGCTTGTTTTTGTCAGGTTTGTCAAAGATCAGATGGTTGTAGATGTGTGATGTTATTTCTGAGGTCTCTATTCTGTTCCATTGGTCTATGTATCTGTTTTGGTACCAGTATCATGCTATTTTGGTTACTGTAGCCTTGTAGTATAGTTTGAAGTCTGGTAGCATGAGGCCTCCAGCTTTGTTCTTTTGGCTTAGGATTGTCTTGGCTATAAGGGCTCTCTTTTGGTTCCATATGAAATTTAAAGTAGTTTTTTCTAATTCTGTGAAGAAAATCATTGGTAGCTTGATGGGGATAGCATTGAATCTATAAATTACTTTGGACAGTATGGCCATTTTTACGATATTGATTCTTCTTATTCATAAGCATGGAATGTTTTTCCATTTGTGCCCTCTCTTATTTCCTTGAGCAGTGGTTTGTAGTTCTGCTTGAAGAGATCCTTCACATCCCTTGTAAGTTGTATTCGTAGGTATTTGATTCTCTCTGTAACAATTGTGAATGGGAGTTCACTCATAATTTGGCTCTCTATTATCAGTGTATAGGAATCCTTGTGATTTTTGCACATTGATTTTCTATCCTGAGACTTTGCTGAAGTTGCTTATCAGCTTAAGGAGTTTTTGTGCTGAGAAAATGGGTTTTCTAAATATATAATCATGTCATCTGCAAACAGAGCTAACTTGACTTCCTCTCTTTCTATTTGAATACACTGTATTTCTTTCTCTTGCCTGATTGCCCTGGCCAGAACTTCTAATACTAAGTTAAATAGGAGTGGTGAGAGAGGGCATCCTTGTCTTGCACTGGTTTTCAAAGGGAATGCTTCTAGCTTTTGCCCATTCAGTATGATATTGGCTGTGGGTTTGTCATAAATAGCTCTTATTATTTTGAGATATGTTCCATCAATACCTAGTTTATTAAGAGTTTTTAACATGAAAATATGTTCAATTTTATCAAAGGCCTTTTGTGCATCTATTGAGATAATCATGTGGTTTTTGACATTGGTTCTGTTTACGTGATGGATTACGTTTATTGATTTCTGTATGTTGAACCAGCCTTGCATCCCAGGTATGAAGCCAACTTGATTGTGGTGGATAAGTTTTTGATGTGCTGCTGGATTTGGTTTGCCAGTATTTTACTGAGGATTTTCCCATTGACGTTCATCAGGGGTATTGGCCTGAAATTTTCTTTTTTTGTTGTGTTTTTGCTAGATGTTGATATCAGGATGATACTGGCCTCATAAAATGAATTAGGGAGGAGTCTTTTTATATTTTTTGGAATAGTTTCAGAAGGAATAGTACCAGCTCCTCTTTGTACCTCTGGTAGAATTTGGCTGTTAATCTGTCTGGTTCTAGGCTTTTATTTGTTGGTATGCTATTAATTACTACTTCAATTTCAGAACTTGTTACTGATCCATTCAGGGATTCAACTTCTTCCTGGTTTAGTCTTGGGAGGGTGTATGTGTCCAGGAATTCATCCATTTCTTCTAGATTTTCTAGTTTATTTGCATAGAGGTGTTTATAGTATTCTCTGATGGTAGTTTGTATTTCTGTGGGATCAGTGGTGATCTCCACTGTATCATTTTTTACTGTGTCTATTTGATTCTTCTCTCTTTGCTTCTTTTTTAGTCTGGCTAGTGGTCTATCTATTTTGTTGATATTTGCAGAAAACCAGCTCCTGGATTCATTTTTTTTTTTTGAAGAGTTTTTCATGTGTCTATCTCCTTCAGTTCCGCTCTGATCTTAATTATTTGTTGTCTTTTGCTAGCTTTTGAATTTGTTTGCTCTTGCTTTTCTAGTTCTTTCAATTGTGATATTAGGGTGTTGATTTTAGATCTTTCCCACTTTCTCCTGTGAGCTTTTAGTGCTATAAGTTTCCCTCTGCACACTGCTTTAGCTGTGTCCCAGAGATTCTGGTATGTTGTGTCTTTGTTCTCATTGGTTTCAAAGAACTTATTTCTGCCTCAATTGTGTTATTTACCCAGTACTCGTTCAGGAGCAGGTTGTTCAGTTTCCATAAAGTTGTACAGTTGTATGTGTGTATAGTTGTGCAGAGTTGGCAGGCAGGAGCATTTAAATCTGCTGAAGCGGTGCCCACAGCCACCCCTTCCCCCATGTGCTCTGTCCCAGGGAGATGAGAGTTTTATCTATAAGCCCCTGACTGTGGCTGCTGCCTTTCTTTCAGGGATCCCCTGTCCAGAGAGGAGGAATCTATAGAGGCAATCTGGCTACCATGGCTTTGAGGCACTGTGGTGGGCTCTGCCCAGTCTGAACTTCCAGAGGCTTTGTTTATGCTGTGAGGGGAAAACTACCTACTCAAGCCTCAGTAATGGTGGGCACCCCACCCCTGATCAAGCTCGAGTGTTCCAGGTTGACTTCAGAATGCTGTGCTGGCAGCGAGAATTTCAAGCCAGTAGATCTTAGCTTGTTGGGTTCCATGGGGGTGGGATCCACTGAGCAAGACCACTCGGCTCCCTGGCTTCAGCCCCCTTTCCAGGGGAGTGAACAGTTTTGTCTCATTGGCCCTCCAGGTGCCACTTGGGTATGAAAAAAACTCCTGCAGCTAGCTCGCTGTCTGCCCAAACGGTGCCCAGTTTTGTGCTTGAAACCCAGGGCCCTGGTGGTGTAGGCTCCCAAAAGAATCTCCTGGTCTGTGGGTTGTGAAGACCATGGGAAAAGCGTAGTATCTGGGTCTGGATAGCACCATCTTTCATGGCAGGGTCCCTTACCACTTCCCTTGGCTACTGGAGGGAGTTCTCCAACCCCTTGTACTTCCTGAGTGAGGCAACGCCCCACCCTGCTTCTGCTCACCCTCCATGGGCTGCACCCACTGTCTAATCAGTCCCAATGAGATAAGC
Source organism: Homo sapiens (assembly GCF_000001405.40). Lineage (NCBI taxonomy): Eukaryota > Metazoa > Chordata > Mammalia > Primates > Hominidae > Homo > Homo sapiens. The sequence goes on along the minus strand of NC_000001.11, from coordinate 181,920,536 downwards.
TGGGTACCTCAGTTGGAAATGCAGAACTCACCTGCCTTCTGCGTTGGTCTCACTGGGAGCTGCAGATCAGAGCTGTTCCTATTTGGCCATCTTGCCTGGGAATTCCCAATTGACGCTTTATGTTTTATTTTTTAATTTTTGAGATGGAGTCTTGCTCTCTCACCCAGGCTGGAGTCCAGTGGCTCAGTCTCAGCTCACTGCAAGCTCTGCCTCCCAGGTTCATGCCATTCTCCTGCCTCAGCCTCCCGAGTAGCTGTGACTACAGGCACGTGCCACCATGCCCGGCTAATTTTTTGTATTTTTAGTAGAGGTGGGGTTTCACCATATTAGCCAGGATGGTCTCGATTTCCTGACCTCTTGATCCACCCACCTTGGCCTCCCAAAGTCCTGGGATTACAGATGTGAACCACCGCGCCTGGCTCCCAATTGACACTTTTAAAGTAAGCTACCTGTGCTTCTGGAAGGGCAGCCTGTTATCATGGGATGGCCATTTGGTCCAACCCACCCTGTAGGTGTGTCTGGTCTGATCTGAGGACTGTTGGCATCAGAATCACCCTGGAGTTTGTAACATGAGCAGTGAATCTCTGAGGGGCAGAGCCTAGGAGTTTTCAATTTACAAGCTTCCTATACCATTCTAATGTATATAACAATTTAAATATTGCTGCTTTCTGAGTCCTAAAATCCCTCCCCAGCATCCTGATACATCACTAGCCCCATTGCAATGCCCGCAAATGAACAGCAGCAGGCAGTAGATGATGCTTCTGGCCAGCAGCTCCAGAGGAAAGCCTCCTCTCCTCTCTCTCTCCTTGCAGTGTAGTTATGTCAGTCCCTCAGCTTGACCAAATGCCCCAGCAATGCCCTTGCTAGCTGCCAGGAGTGCTCTGTATCAATATCTATCAACACCAAGAGGGGATCCCCCCTTTCCCCTCCCCTGGCATCCTGCCCACAGGCCCCTCAGGTCCTTTGCTTTGTCCAGGTCTTCCCAGCACAGCTGCAGAAATGTAAGATGGCCCCACAAGTTCCCTGAATAGCTGAGGGGGTCCAGCCACTTGCCTTGCTCCCGGAAAGTCTCTTCCCTGGCTGTGCTCTTTTCCATTTTCCCACTGGCTCTGCCCCTGCAGCTTCAGCAAATCCCACTCCCCCGCAGCTCCCAGCCACCCCTTCACAGACCAGAGAGCTGAGAATCTAAGAGGCAGAATTAATTAGGCAAATGTCATGCGGGCATGAGTCACCAAGGCCCTGAGTATTTTAGTGGATTACAAGTGGGAGCCCTCACAGCAAGAAGGACCCTGAGACAGTGTCCGCCACCCCCCATAGGTGCTGATCCCTGCTTGTGGATCAGTGCTGCAGGCAGTTTTCCGGAGACCCAGCAGATTTCCAGCCAGGACTGGGTGTGGGCAGGGGATGTGACCCCAGCAACTGAGGGAATCCTTATCAGTCTTTTGGATCATTGGGTGCTGAAATATGCAACCAAGTGAAACCAGAAGCTTGTGTAGGCTATAAAACTGGGAGTATTCTCAGTGCCGAAGAGAAACTTCACGCAGGCTGTAAGGAAACCAGCAACCTGCCCATCCTGAATGTCTTTTTTGATAATTTTCTAGACTCAATGAGCCATATTCTTATCCAGTTATTCTCTAAGATGGGGAGCAGGGGGCATCAGGTAAGTGACTGCCATGTTCTCATGGGATCCCCTGGCTTATAAGAAGAGCTGAGACCTTTTCCCCCAGAAATCTGCCCTCTTGCACCCTATCCAGTCCTCCTGCCAAGCTCACCCTGCAGATCAGGCAATAATTGTCAAAGTAACATAAAAACCAGGAGGAATCTTCCAGATGGATTTTTCCTGATGGATTTTTCCCACCTTTCAATGAGTTTTATTCATTTACTCATTTAGCCAAATTATTGAATATGTAGCAGTATGCTACATACTGTTGTCAAATGAATCTGCCATGAATCCTGCTCCTGGTAGTTTTAATCTATGAAGGGAGTCAGAATGTGCTCACCCTAAACTATAATACAAGGTAGAGTGATGAAAATATCTTAAGAGATATAGGGGTTGTGTGTGGGAGGGGGCATGGTTATGACTGATCAGAAGGAGGAGAGATTATATCAAATTAGGCTGCACTAAGAATACAAACCTTCAGTTAAAGGATGAATGAGAACTGGAGACCAATAATATACAACACAGTGACTATAGTTATTAACACATATACCTGAAGTTTGCTAAGAAAGTGGATCTCAAGTATTCTCATCACAAAAACATGGTAACTGCTTGAGGCGATGGATATGTTAACTTGCTTGGTTGTATTAATTATTTCATAGTATAGACACTTATCAAAACATTACATTGTATACCCTAAATATGTACAATTTTCATTTGTCAATCATATCTCAATAAAGCTGGAAAAAATTACTGGGAGGTCCCAAGGGAAAGCTTGCAGTGGGAGGTAGTGTTTGAAGCAGTTGGGCTTGCAAGCATGGCTCTCCAGTCAGAGAGGCTGGACCTCATGTCTGAGTGCAAAGAGTTTGTGGCTGGCAGAGCAGGACGAGTGGTAGAACTTCATTCTCCTGAATCCCACTCCAGGGATATTTAGCCATTAGATGGTAAGTTTTGATCCAGCAGGCAATTCAACCTAACACAATTGATGAAGTATTTACAACACTCAGTACCAAGCTGGGTCTGATGAGGTATCTTTCCTCAAAGAACTCCAAGCCCAGAGCAATCAAAAACTTCTTGGTAATAGGCTAATAATAGTAATAGGCATCACCTTCTCCCTGCCCACACAAGTGAGGCCTTAGGAGTCTCTTTTTCCTCTTTTGAGACTCTCCCTTTCCTCCTTACTTCCTACATTGAATTTATCACCAATTATTGTTGGTTCTGCCTCATTAAAAATTCTATCAATATGTATTTATTGGACATCTCTGTTAGGTTCTGGGAAACAAAGATGAATAAGGCACAGTCTCAAGGAGTCCATGATTAATGATGGGGGCAGACTTGTAAACCAAAAATATGGTGCGATGTGATATGTGAACAATACATCACAGCAGAAGTGCTGTGGGAACACAAAGGGAGTCATGAACTCAGCCTGGCGGGGATTCAGGATGGGTGCCAACAAATGGTTTTCTAGTTCATCCCACCCCTCCATCCCCAATGCCATATGTGCCATCACTCTAAGCTTTTGACAACTTGCAAATGTCTCTTAATGGTCTTCTTGTCTCCATACTGGCCCTCTGCCTATATATTCTCCACGCTGCTGCTGGGTCTTTTTAAAGTGCAAACTCACCTGTGACACTCCTCACCCTACTTAAAGCTCATCAGTGGCTTAGGATAAAACCTGAATGCCTGTTCTAGTACACAAGGCTGGTAACAATATGGTCTCTGCTTACTTTCTCAAACTTTTAATAGATATTAATCCTTACCCCAGCAAACAAAACATCCCACTTATTTATAAATACCTTTGCACATGCTGTTCTCTTGATCTAGAATCCTCTCCCTACTTATCCCCCTGAGGAATCACCACTTTTCTTTCAAGACTTCATTAAAGCTCACTTCCTGAACCCTGCCCTCTGGTCTTTAGGCATAATTCCTGGCTCCATTTTTGTCTCTTCTTGGTACTTCAAACATTCTCTATTACCCTCATCTCTCTGTTCTGGACAGCAATGGTCCGTTAGACACAAGCTTATCCCCAGATAGTGAGCATTCTGTCGACAGAGGCTATGTCTTACACATCTTTATACCAGTCCGACACATAATAGGCACTTGATAAAAGACTGTCACATAAATGTAATTAAATAATCGGAAAAGAAGTGTGTTATCAGAGACTTTAGCTTTAAAGAAAATCATCTACAAATTAAATGGAAATTCTGTGGAAAGCAACTGGGCAACTAAAAGTATATTGAGATGACTTGGTCTTGACATTACCGCTTAATTTTTACTTTAAGATTTTTCCTTCATCTATGATGAACAGCACATAACTTGAGACACCCATTTATTGCTAAAACAAGGCATTGGGTATTCCATTGCTTCAGAACATCCCAAGAGATATGATATGCCATGTCCTCTGTGTTCCAAATCTGGCACTTTCATTAATAGCTTTGTGATTTGGATGATTTAACCTCTCACAGTCTTGGTTTCCCTTATGTAATAAAATTGTCAGCCTGTGGTGAGTTCAGTAATGTTGCCTGTATTTGTCCGTTTTCACACTGCTAAAGAAGACATACTCAAGACTGAGTAATTTATAAAGAAAAAGAGGTTTAATGAACTCACAGTGACATGTGGCTGGGGAGGCCTCACAATCATGGCAGAAGGTGAAAGTCACATATTACATGGTGGCAGGCAAGAGAGAACTTGTGCAGGGGAAACCCCTTTATAAAACAATGAAATCTCGTGAGACTTATTCAGTATCATGAGACCAGCACAGGAAAGACCCACCCCCATGATTCAATTACCTCCCACTGGGTCCCTCCCATGACACATAGGAACTGTAGGAGCTATAATTCAAGATGAGATTTGGGTGGGGACACAGCAAAACCATATCACCCCCTAAAATATATGTCTACCTAAGACCTCAGAATGTGACCTTATTTGGTAAGGGCCTTTCTAGATGTAACTAAGGTAAGGATCTCAAGATCATGACGGATTAGGATGGCCACTAAATCCAATGATAGGTTTCCTATAAAAGATAAGAGATGCAGGTACAGAGGAGAAACATAGAAAGACCTTATGAAGAAAGGAGAAATTGCAGTGATATACGTAGAGGTCAAAAAATGCTGGGATTCCCAGCAGTCACCAGAAGCTAGGAAAAAAGGATGGAAGAAATTCTCCCTCATAGTCTCCAGAAGGAGTCCACCGTGCTGGCACCTTTGTTTCAGATTTCTGGCATCCAGAACTGTGAGAGAATGAATTTCTGTCTTAAGCCACCTAGTCTGATAACTTATAATGGCAGCCACAGGAAATGAATACACAGCCTTACCTGGCCCACAGAGTCTTGAGAAGGTCAAAGGAGGTGGTGTACATGGAGATGCTGGGCCACAGAGCTGGGGGTGGAGGAGCTGAGCTCTGAGCCCAGCCCCAATCTAGCAGAGCAGCTCTTTTTTCTCTGGATCTGAAGGGAGTCTGTTCTAGGTCCCAGGTGACCTTTCCTCTGCAGAATACACTGGCCTCACAGGAGAAACATGCTCAGCTAGGCCTTTAGTGCTTCCTTGAGAAGTAACTCCCTCTCTTCAAAGTGTTTTGAGAGCTCAAGCCACAGGTGCCCTGACGACAAAGGTCTCAGGCTCTGATCCTTTTGGTTACTTCCGGAGGGTGTTTCATTCATCATCAATTTCTGGCTCTTGGGCCTAGGTTAAATTTATTTAGTCTATAACTTTGTTCTCCTGGCTGCTCAGCTGGGCCCCTCTGAGCACTTTGGCCTGAATTGGTAAGGGACCTGGTTACCTCCATCCCCCAGGATGACTGAGTTTTCATTATTATGTACAGCATCCCAGACTCAGCAGACAGGCCCTCTATAAATCGGCACAGTTATTATGTTGCTGCCAAGGAAGCCTGCCTCAGCACCAGCCTGGGCTTGGCCTTGAGGGTCAGGCTTGAGAGTACCATTTGCAAAGCAACCACTGTCAGCATAGTGCTGGTGTTGATGCGGGGTCTTGAATCCCAAGGAGGGGTTTGCAAGGGCAAGACAGGGCCTGATGCTCATAGGAGGGTCAGGGAGAGACCACTTGCTGGAACAGGAAGGTTGGGGTCAGGGCTGAAGCATAAACTCAGTCATCCAAACTAAGCATACAGCATAGAGGGCAAGGACAGAGATGGAGTAGACCTCAAGAACCCCATTATTAGAAGGGGGGAATCTTGGGGAAATGGTACAGAGGAACAACCAAGCAGACCTGTGGTGAGCATTGATTCTAGGTCATGGTTGTCAGACGAGTGATTTGGAACCCAATGCAAAAGCCCATTGGCTGTGGTCATTGTGGGAGCAATGTCATGAAGTGAGGGGGTTTGTGCAGTTTCTAAACTGTACCAGATGGAGGCTAGGGAGGCCTGACAATACTTAAGTTGTCAGTCCTTCCACATACTGATAGTTTCTTTTTTACCCAGCTGATGTTTGTCCTCATCATTAATTGTTATGAGGACAAAGGAGAGACTACAGGCAAGGAGACAGGGAGAACCATTGAAAGGCAAGGGCCAGGCCAGAGATAATGGTGGCTTAAATTATGATAACAGTGAAGGCAGGGTAGAGAGAGAGAATAGTTGGTATATTCTCTGTGGGTAAAATGAATAAATAAAATGAAAAGAGGATTAGTTATGAGGTGTAAGAATAAGAAGGGCAACAAGGATGACTCCAAGAGTTGTCATAAGCACATGTGTCAATCGCAGGACTATTTCTTGAACCAGGAAACATTGAGGTAGTGAAGATTGGTCTCCAGGGATATAACTTGAGAGTTTGGTTTTACGCGTGTTAGCTTTGAGATGTCTATTAGACATTCAAGTGTGAAAGTAACAATAAGCATTGGATACATGGGTCTGGATGTGTGGAAGAGGCTGGATTCTGAGGTAAAAATTTGGGAGTCCTTGATAGACGGAACTGGATGATGTCATTCAGGGAGTAAAGGTGGGTATAGAAGAGACCCAAGGACCAGAGTCTCTCTTCTACATTTAGAGATGTGGAAGAACAGGAAAATCCAGTAAAAGAGAGTGTTATTTTATACCTGGTCTCCCTTTTTACTCACCTGCCTAGCCCCTGTAGGCATTTGGGTGGTTAACAGCACCAGCCCTGGAGTCAGACACACTCAACTTAGAGACCCAGCACCATCTTTTAACAGTGTGAAAATGTTGGCCAGTTATTAACCTCTCTTCAATTTTTCTCCTTCTTTTTTCTTTCTTTCTTCCTTCCTTTTTTATTTCTCTCAAATTTGGATAGTAGCCCCTACTTCCAAAGGAGTTTGTGAAAATTAAAGGTGAAAATACATCTGAATCACTCAAAATCTGGCACACGAGAAGTGCTCGTTAAATTTTAGCTATTGTTAACAATGCTATGAAAAATGCTTTATAAATTATAATGTGCTGAGAGATTCTACTGCTACTACCATCATTATTTTACAGATTCTCAGAACCTGTGTATTTTTTGGGTCCATGATCATTAAGATGACTTACCAATACACATGACATCTTAAATAAGAGAATCTGAAGATGTTCTCTCAGTGACCTTGACAAAGCTCATTTAATTTGTTCCTGGATACTTCTGTTTTCCCAATAATATGATCATTTCACATGCTTAAAAAGCAGAAGAAGGCTGAGGTAGACAGGAGAGGTTTTCCATGATCAGCCTCCAAAAGTACAGCCAAAATAGAGTTTCAAACTCTTTAATGACATTTCTGAAACAGAAAATTCTGGAAGAAGGTTTACCAAGGCACCTCTGCAATTGGGTGTGGCATTCTCTGGGGACTATCCTACCCTCCCCAGGACTTTATGGAAAACTTGAGGATTCTTTAGGAACATCAGCTTCTCTTCCTGGTGCCTATGAAAATAGGAACAGCAGCAGGTCTCGGCTGATTTGAGTGAATGGTCTGCTGCTGCTTATCTCAATAATTAGAGTACGAGAAGCTTGGCTAGGGATCTGGAAGGCTTACAGAGAACAGGCATCCTGGCCCAAAGTCAGATACCTCAATTCCTTCCTGGCATTCCACTAAATTCTGTCAGAAGCTGAGCCATGTCTCATGGCTGAAGAGTATCCAATTTGCCACCAGAATGGCAACTGGAAGTGAAAACATGCCTCTTGGAACCTATCATAGCCTCCGACGATCTTTTATTTTCACAGAGTAAGGGGAATAGAGGATATTCTAAGTCCAGTGGAGTTACCCATACAGGCAGTGTAAGGGAGAAGGCAGGCAGTTTTGAAGTCTGAAGCAGGAAGCAACAGACACTGAGTGCCTCAGACCCAGCTCTTCTATGGCAAGAACTCTCTGTTCTAAAAATCAAGATGGTTCCAAATTAACCCAGAGTTTTAATTTTACATTATCTATTGGCTATTAACCAGCTATTCTAATGACCCATTGTCAAATTGTTTAATAATTCAGTCAGTATGGAACAGTAGTTCTTATCCCTGGCTGAACTTTAGAATTTAATGGAGAACTTCTGAAAAATATTGTTACCCAGATCACACCTTCAAAGATTCTGCTTCAACTGGTCTGCTGCCAGCCCCAGTAACTGATATGTTTTTAAAGCTCCTCTGGTGATTCTATTTTGCAGCTGGGGCTGAAAGGTACTAGTATAGAGAATACCTAGCCCAAGCCTAATTGTTGTAACTATTAAGATGACTGGCTTGATCTGGCTGCTGTTGGTTGATTGATTTCTCAGCAGTTGACCCACAAGAAACAATTGGCTATTCACACATGACCTGGGGATCCATAACCCCACCTTCAGCAGAGACTTAGAGACTTAGAAATCCTTCTTCGAAAGAGGAAGTCATGTTCAATCCAGGGAAACTAGCCTCACATACAAAGATGTGTGAATTCCAGATCCACTGCTGAATTTGAATATTTTAATTTTTAGATGCAAATCAGAGAAAATGGAGCATTTCCAGGATGAGTCAGAGCACCTCACTCTGAAAAAAAAAAAAATGCTTAAGGCAGGACCTTGGAGAGAGACATACCTCCTCAGCAGAGAAGAATCTAGCAGCTCTCTTCTATAATAATTACATTTTCTAGTTCTCATATTTGATGCTTTGAAATCTAGGGCTTTCCTCATCCTGTAGGGACTGCCCCTCCCAGGGTTAGCCAATTCCTAAAGATGGTAAAGGACTGGGCTGCAAGCCTGTGTTTTACATGCAAACCATCCAATCCAGAGCCCACATCCCCAACTATCTCCTCTGTGCAGTTCTCACATGCAATGCCACCATTCCCCTGCCCTACTCACCCCAGGACCAGAAGCCAGAAAACTAGGAACATCCCTAGAAACCACTAAAATTATTCAAACTAGCCCATTCTAAGGCTGCTTACCCTGCCTTGGCCGTTTCTTCCCAGAGAAATTACAATAAAAGCATTTCCCATGTTTTCATTCCATTTTTTCTGTCTCTCTACTGACCCTGGTACATTCTTGCGCTGCCCCTCCTTTTGCAGTATGTTACTGTAACAAGTTCTCTTTTCAGTGGTAGTTGTCTCCCAATCTATTGGCCTTGCAATACCAGAATAATAATTATAATAACTTCTTTCTTAAAAACTTTCCCGAGTCTGGAAAAAGAAAAAAAAGGAGTCAAGCCAAAAGCAACTAGGAAGGAAATGACACTCTTGCTCTATGGGTTGGGGGATTTGGGGTGGAGGGGTTGTGTTGAGAACTGCCTTGGAGATCCATGAGTTTTAAACTGTAAGAAGGATCCCAACATTGAAAACTTGGTCTATGGATGTTTACCTAGCAGAACACTGCCCTCTCTGGCAGAAGCCTTTGTTGCTTCTTTCCAGGTAGAAGTCAGTAAGTCAATGGTAAACCGCATGTGTCAAGGAATCATTGATAAATGTGGCTGAATTATACTGTATTCGTCTGTTCTCACACTGCTATAAAGAACTACCTGAGACTGGTTAATTTATAAAGAAAAGGGGTTTAATTGACTCACAGTTCCACAGGCTGTACAGGAGGCATGGCTGGGGAGGTCTCAGGAATCGTACAGTTATGGTGGAAGGGTGAAGGGGAAGCAAGCACGTCTTCACATGGTGGCAGGAGAGAGAGAAGGAGGAAGTGCTACACACTTTTGAACAACCAGATCTCAGAACTCATTCATTATGAGAAGTGCAAGGGGGAAATCTGCCCCCATGATTCAATTATTTCCCACCAGGCCCCTCCTCCAACATGTGGGGATTACAGTTTGACTTGAGACTTGGATAGGGACACAGAGCCAAACCATATTATATGCTAAAGGAAGTGTGCCAAGGACAGGTCATCCAATTAGTACAAAACAACTGCCATAGCAAAGCCCTCCTTGGGGCAATTTTGGAAACTTAAGCAAATTGTTCTTTGTGAAATCCGAGTTCAATGACTATCAAGGGGAACTTTGGAGGTGTGAAAACGGGGGAAAGTGTCCCAAAGGACTAGCATGCAGCTGGCAAGGTACATGTGGAAAGAGAGTGAGATTAGACTACTAGGAGCCTTCTCAGTTTCTCTTGAGGGCCAAGGGCAGGTAAGAGTGTAGTAAGTGCTATTATTAACAAGACATAATGCATTAGCATCTGAGTCATGTGGAAATGAAATGCTACCCTCTTCTTTGCCCACTGTCTCTCTGTGTTGCTGTTTCTAGCTACTTGGCACTTGGGATTGTAGGAGTCCCACACACACAAAAATTTGAAAAATGTGAGTCTTTGTCCCAACTTGGTACATAGCTCTGATTCAAATGATGTACTAATAGGTTTCCCCCGCTGAGAGTTGGTTTCTAGAGCTTCTCGTAACTTAATAAATCTGGTGCTGAGTCTGAAAATGTGGGCTCCCATTCCTCAGGACCTGATTCATACTAGATCAGTCTGGCTTCTCGGTTCCTCATTTTCCTCATCTAGTAAATGGAAAATATATTTAATTATCTACTTATTATATTGAATATTGAATGCATTTATATATGCAAATATTAAGAACAATGCTTAGTGCTTACTTAGTAAGCATTCAATAAATATTAGCTCTTATTAACCACTAAGAAAACTAGAAGGTGCTAAGATGCTAAGAAGTAACTCACTTGATTTTGTGAAGGGTAAACTGTTCTTGGACCTCACATGAAAGGTGGAAATAATCAGTTATTTGTCTCAATTTCAGGAATGCTCAGGGTATGCCCCACAGGTCTCAGAAGCTATAGGTTAAATCAAGGTCTACTACTTTAGGATTATTGTCAAAGTAAGATTGTTGAAGCTCATCTCACCCCCTGGGACCTGACTAGGGACACTTCACCTCCCTCAGAGTTAGCCCAGTTCTGGGAGCTCAGAAATCTTCAAGGCTGGGGCCCCGGTAGCTGTGGGAGTCCATTTTGAAAATGGACAAGAACCAGGCTCAAAATCCATTCTGAGATATAGTAGCTAAGGACTCTGGAAAGCCTTCTTCCTCCCTTCTTTGTCCAGCTAATTCCTTTGCCCTTGAGAATGTGATTCAGGTCAGTTCCTAAGAGAAGCCTTCCATAACTGGCTCAGACCAAATTTGCTGTCCTTCTAGCCTTACTTCTGCTCTAATATTGCCCTGCCTCTCAGCTTGAATGGCACAGTTGAAATAAAACAACATATTACAGAGCACTGTACAGTCATTTTTCTGTTGACATATCTGTCCCATGAATTAGGCTGATTTGATCATGAGCTCCTCAAAGTCAGGGTCTTTGTCTCATTCATCTTTGTAGCCCCAGGGACTGTCAGAATGCTGACACACTGCACAGTAAACGCTGTACAGTAAATGCTAGGATAAGTGAATGAATTAGAGAAGCTACTCTGAGCATCAATCTAAAAGTGAGAGAAATAATACTTCACAGTATTATTGTGTGGATGCAGTAAGATACTCTCTAATTGTGTACAGGATAATTATAGCCTAGGTGTATCCTAGTGCTCATTGTCTGATACCAGTATCTCTTCAATCAGTGGTTATTTCCTTCCTTTCCCCCAGGGTTCTTTTTTGAAGGTGACTTTGCCATCAGGGTCTCTAAGTCTGTCTTCCAGAGTATCTGGGAGGTCTGTATCCCCATGATTGGAAACCTGGCTGGGCACCTCACCCATAGTCCTCCAAGTGTGTGAAGACCTGCCTTCCTCCACCTCAGGGCAACTTTCTTAGACTCCTTAGCCACACATTCCCCAAATTATTGTCTGAGACTTCTTATCATGGATTCTTGTCAAGGATTATTTCAGAGCCTATATTATTTCTTCTAAAAAATTGACGCTCCTCCTCCTCAAATTCAGTTAAATATTTTGGTGAAAGCCTCAGCAATTAGGAAGATGCTTACCAGATACAGCATGACCTCGCTAGCACTTTTTTTGGGCTCCAAGACTATTTCTGGACAGAAAAAGAATCATTTACTTGCACTAAAGGGCACCCTGTTTCACTGTAGCTATTTTAACCTGTCAGAAATATGAGCATTACTTTTTCTCTTCCTACTCCCTTTTTATCAAATAATTTCCATCATATATTTGACATGGCCACTTGTAATGGAGGCAGCCCCTGGCTGTGGGCAATGTTGCTTAGTCAGTCATCAGCTCTCTAACCCAGGAAGGATGATGGGCCTATGTGATGGATGGCGGTCTGGGGAAAAATCAACCTAACCATGCCCCTGGGCATTTCCAGATAATCAAGTATATTGTAGATGGCTCTGGAATGGGATCCATATTCCCTCTATGGACTGTCATACAATACTACTCCTGCCACACTAAGACCTTTGGAGGAATCTCAGGACTTAGCAGTCCTGCAAGAAGAACACAGCTGGAGAGCATTTGCCTCCATGCCTTCTACTTGTCATTTGATGCAGGCTTGTTGGCATGGTGAAGATGATGATGCTGATTTGCAGCTGTACACCACATAGGAAACTGCAATGAACTGCGAGGTGCTGCAGATGCTGAAAGTGCACCTAGCTTTCAAGTTTGCCTCAGGGCTCCAGAGGATGCTAGGAGTGATTGATTGTAACACAGTGAGGCAGTCACTGTACCTGCCAACCTGCCAAGCATCTGGGTGCACACTAAAGGGGGGCCTGCTGCCTGGTGGTGGTGTCAGGAGTTTGATGAAAATACTACCTAATGATCCCGTGACGTGGCACAGGACATAACTCCCATGTCCTGGCTACATGGTAAGTGTGGTGCCACATGTGCTAATACCACCTAACTTCCTGGATTATACAAGGGTACCAGTAACAGAGCTCTTGTTCTACCCCTCCTAGAAACTAGCATTACACATCCCAGCATATTGAGATGGGCTTCTCAGTGATTACTTGCAGCAGAATTCTGCTTTTTGAAAGACACTATTAAGGCAATAAAAAGCCACACATTGGGAAACTATATTTGCAAAGCCTATATCTGATAAATAACTTACATTTAGAATATATAAATCTCAAAACTCAAGAAGTAACCAAGTTTTTAAATGAGCAAAATATTTGCACAGACACTTCAAAAAAGATACACAAATGGCATTTAAGCACATGAAAAGATGTTCAGTATCATTAGTCGTGAGGGAAATGCAAATTAAAACTACAATAAAATATTACTACACATCTTTTAGAATGGCTAAACTTCAAAAGACAGAATACCAAGTGTTGGCAAAAATATGAAGGAACTGAAACTCTAATCCATTGCTGGTAGGAATGTAAAATAATATAATGGCTGTGGAAAACTTAGTTTCTTAAAAAGTTGAACACATGCCTGCCATGTGATCCAGCTATTCCACTCCGAGGTATTACTCCAAACAAAAGCACATGTCCATACAACAACTTGCTCACTATTCATATCAGCTGAATTTGCACTAGCTCTAAACTGGAAACAACGCAAATGTCTACCAACAGGTGAATAGATGAACAAATTGTGGCGTATCCATACAATGAAACACTACCCTATCAAGCAATAAAAAGGAAGAAGTCATTAATACACACAACCACATGGATGGATCTCAAAATAACTATACCGAGTGATAGTAGCCAGGAAAAAAAGAAGTACATACTACATGATTTCATTTGTATGAAATTCTAGAAAATGCAAACTAATGCATAGTGACAGAAGCAGATCTGCGCATGCTTGGAGATAAAGATGGGGAGAAAGGCACAAGGGAGGGGATCGCAAAGAGGGATGAAGAAACTTTAGGGGGTGACACATATGTTCGTTATCTTGATAGTAGTGATGCCGTCACAAGTATTTAAAATGGCAAAATTTATGAAACTGTACATTCCATATATACACAGTTTTCAGTATGTTAATTATACCTTAGTAAAACTGGAAGCGGCATCCCATGGGATACTTTTCCTGTGCATAGTTAGCAACAGTGATAGCATAATATTCCTGCCATGGGGACTCCTGGGTGTTCTGGATTAATGGGGCACCACATGGTGAATCTCCAGATCATTCTGAGCCTGCAGATTCTTTTTGAGGTAAAGAAAACATCCATGGAATTATCTGTTGACAGCTTCGGTCACTCTGCCACACATGCAACCTAGTTCTGTGCCCCGTTCTCATGGGAACATGGTTTAGAGCCAAGCAGCTTCTAGTCCTTAAAGGAATGAAAGGGATCAGGATATGCCACCCCTGCATATGCTACTTTGGAAAAGGGATAGTTTTGAGATGAAGGCAACTAAGAACCTACAAATGCAGAAAGAGATTTCTGTGCTTATCTGCTTAAAAGCAAGGCATAAATTTATTCTGTGAAGGTTTCCCCCTGTACCAGGAAAAGAAGAGGAGGGACTCTTATCACTGGAGACAGAGAGTTGACACCAAGATGAGTTTGCATAAACAGGTTTACTAAAATAACCCTTACATTCATTCCCTAATTTATTTCCTAAGTCACTTCCCCATGATTTATTGTCCCTCAAAGTCCAAACTCCCTTTCCTTTGTTAAAATTGTCTCTAAATCCCTGATTCTAACTACTTCTTTGAGTCTCACTTTTTTCTGTGAACTCCTGTGCATGTAAACATTAATGAAAATTATGTGCTTTTTCTCCTATTAATCTGTCTTTTGTCAGTCTAATTTGAAGGCCCCTAGTCATTAGTCATTGAACCTAAAAGGGTAGAGAAGTTTTTCCTCCCCAATAGGAATTATGAATCAAGTGGAAAAAGCAAATTAGCCTCAGCATATAATGATTCAACATAAAAAATATATTGCTTGGTAGACTTGGCTCTTGGTTCAATTCCATATGCTGATTGAAATTATTTCATGATGTATAAAAAGGGATGGAAATACTTATCCTGCCCCTTGTGGAGGTGCTATAAGCATAAAGTAATTAGATAATTGTCGGAATGTGTTTGATAATTACTCTCATTTCAGATGTTTTAGATGCATACAAAAAGAAGCAGGAGGGTGAAGACTGTGTGGTTAAAGTCTGTTGTGTCTGTCCAACAGCCTTCCCTTCTCATGGTACCAGCCTATCCTCTTCTCCTTGAAACTTTCTTTTCCAGGCACTCATGTGCTTATAGGGAATTTTAAATTTTCATATGTTCCCATAACCTAACTTCAGGGTCCCTAGTGATTTATTTTAGAAGTGAGTGCTGGTCCAAGCCAACCCTGTCAGGGTCCTTCCCTGTCACTCTTCAAACTGGCGCTAAAATAATAGTGGTGATTATTTTCTGGAGGTAAAAGCTATGAAGTGTGAGGGCTGGGCACTATCCATGGCATCTGCACTGCTTTGTGGAGAAAGCTGAACTGCAATAAAAGAGAATACAGAGAGGAAAGAGAGAGAGAGATGCCGATGGCAGTCCAGGTTCTGTTTCCCGCCTGAGGCATCCCTGCCCCTCCGTTGTTTGATTATTCGACTCTTCTTTTGCTTACATAGATTATTTTTATATTCTCCCAAAAAAATCACCTTTTTGCCTAACCAGTTTGAGTTGGGTTTATGTCACTTGCAACAAAAATTTTTACTTCATAAAAACAGAGTGGGAAAAATTTTCACAAAGATTCAATTCAGTTAACTATTAAGCACTTACTATTTGCCTAGTGCTTTCACGTATATGTAATAAAATCTTCTTAGAATGGTGATGTTTTTTCTCACATTTTCCAGATAAGGAAACTAAAAGTAAGAAATATACAGCAAATAATAGATAATAGAACTAATAACAATCAGAGGCCAGGTGTGGTGGCTCACACCTGTAATCCCAGCACTTTGGGAACCAAGGCAGGCAGATCACTTTAGCTCAGGAGTTCAAGACCAGCCTGGGCAACATGATGAAATCTCATCTCTACAAACAACACAAAAATTAGCTGGGCGTGGTAGTGTGCGCCTGCAGTCCCAGCTACTTAGGGAGCTGAGGCAGAAGGTAGGATCGCTTGAGCCCAGGAGGTCACAGCTGCAATGAGCCATGTTTGTGCCACTGCACTGCAGCCTGGGCAACAAAGCAAGACCCTGCCTCAAACAACAAGAAAAAATCAGATCCAGGACTCAGTCTGTCAGTTCCAAAGTCACTCACATTCTTCCCACTATATATACTATGCTGCTGTGAATAGGGCTCTTCCAGACCAAGTCTTACCTACCTTGGTATTTTCTACACCTTGCAAATTTCTTATGTGGTAGTTACTTTACACGTTGAATGAGTGAAGTGTTAAGTTTAATTAGAATTGTTCTGAATTCAAAGAGCTAGGATAGGACCAAGCAAGATTAGGTAGTCTCTGCAAATAAGGCATTCTACGTAATTGATGTATTACTCAAAATGAGTCTAAAATTAAGTTTCCCTGAACCTAGTAACATTTTAAACATGGAAAAGAACTTGCTTCTTAAAGGAACCTATGATAAATCTTTTTAAACAATAATTATGCCCTATTTTAACTTGTGAATAAATCTAGATTTTCCCATAATAGGTCTACTTAAATCAAAAATTGCAGACCAGTAGCCTGTGGGCTAAATTTGGATTTCAGATGTTTTTTTTATTCAGCACAGTGTTTAAATACTGAAATAATTGCCAACATTTAAAAGCAGGAGTTTTTACATAAAACTCTGAGTTTGTGGGGCTTTTTATTTTTTTGTAAGTGGGATGATGTCACATTAAGCCTGTCAGCATGTAGCATGTGACAGCAATCAGCTGAGTGAAGGAATGACCACCACCTTTGGTCAGAGCGAGGCCACAGTCCTCCCCTGATCCTCACACTGTACTTACCTCCCTGTGTGCATTTACATTAGAACTCTTGGATGAAGATGCGTTCTATCTCTCTAGGTCATATAGAGCATGGGAAGAGCACATGTAGGTGGGAAGGGTTCTGTCCCACAGGTTTCCCAAGGAACCCCCAAATGAGGGACTTATCAGAAGTGCTAACAAAAGGCACATGTTTTCCTGACTACCTGGCAATCTGTATTTGGTAAGTGCCATAAGTTACTTCTCATATTGTTTCACTTGGTAAATAGTAAACTTGGCTTTCTCTCTGGCATATGCACCAGCAGTAGACTCATCGCCTAAATTTCTTTCCAGAAATCTTCCCTAATGGCATTGAAATGCAAATTAGAATAAATGCAAAACCAAGACTTTGGAACCCTGGCAATTAGCAAATTCATTTTTTGACTCGGCAAAAAAAAAAAAAAATACTGGTGTAGGAAATTACTCTGTCACTTTTTTAGGTTTCTGGACTGTTCTTTTGTTTTGTTTTCTTAATTTGGCTTTGGTTTCTTGTGATGTATCCCTAATGAAGTTAGCAAAATGGATAAGAATTAAGATGTTTTTAAATTCCCTTCCTCTCCTCCATGAATTACTTCCCTAGACTGTGTTCAATGCCTACATGTCATATATAGTAAAACATAGACATTAAGCCTGTGGAATCAGAGCCAGAATAATCAAGCTCTCACACCTACTAGAACACAGCTTATTGGTAAAGTTGGTTAACTCTTTGTCTTGGCCTTCTTAGAAGACAACTCAGAAGTTAAACATGTAAGCTTTGATATCAAACAGCCTAGCTCTGCATTCTGACTCTATTATTTACTGTTCATATGTTCTTGTGCAAGTAAGGAACGCCTCTGTGTCTGTTTCCTCAACTTTTGTACAGGAATGATGACTATAGCAACCACCTCAGAGGATCATTGCAAGTATTATAATATCAAACTACATAATTTTCAATAAGTGAAATACATAATTATGCAAATATAAGGTACAAAATGTATCAAGGATTAATTTGAATTATTAATGATGGAACCAGGAGGATGATAAAACTGGTGTAAAGGAAGATACAAGAAACTTGGAAAATAGAAGCACCAGAATAAGATTGGAACATTTTGACAGAAAACTGGTTAACGTCCTAAGTAAAAGCACTATGATCATTAGGATTATCTTTCCTATCAGACAAAAATAATTTGCAAAAATCATTCGTAACGTTTGATTTTCTAAAAGTTAGAGAATCATATGACCCTTATGCAAGTTTGTTGGACGTTGCTCTGTACGTCTTCAAAAGGTCATGATGTAGCCTTTTTACCTTACTTCCAAGTTTTTGGTAATTTTACTTAAAGGATTTAATGCAATAATGCTCATAAAGCCATTGAAATAGTGCCTATGTTCAGTAAGTATTAGATATTTTCATCATTACTTACAAAATGGGGAAAATGTTTATGGCCCACATGGTGGTATTGTAGAAAAAACTGGGTTCTTGTCACACGACCAGGAAAGATTAGGCACGCAGACACTTTAAAGGGTGAGGGGTTACAGGATTTATTGGGCAGAAAGGAAAAAGACTGTCAGCAAAGCCAGAGAGGTTCCTGTTAATAGGCCGCCATCTCACAGATTGAATTCCAGGTCACCATCCAGGAACAGGAGAGGCCAGGCTCCTCCCCACTGCAAATGGCACGAACTTCCCAAGGCCTCACCCCATCCTCCCAGTGTGCCAGCTGGCCAGAGTTTCTCCAGGGGCCCCTTTTAATTACTTGGCTGTCTTGGTGGTGGTGGTGGTGGTGGTTTTCTGTTTTATTGTCATTGATTTTTAAGAAACAGGGTCTCACTCTGTCACCTAGCCTGGAGTGCAGTGGTGCCATCTCAGCTCACTGTAGCCTCAACCTCCTGGCTGGGCTCAAGAGATCTTCCCACCTCAGCCCACCCCACCCTGCCAATCCCACATGGTTGTTGAATTAATCTGTATAAGGTCTTAGCATCATGTCATCCACATAATAAGTACTCAATAAGTGTGAACTGTTGTTATGGTTGCTGGAATGTCAGAAACATATAATCATACTACAGTATAACTGTATTGGGAAACTATGATATGAACTTTACACATGATTACAAATTCTGGAAATTCTCCCACTATTAACATTTTAAAAATGTGCCACGTTCTAGTAGTTTCAATGCCAATGCTTTGTATTCAAGTGTCCTTAATTTTATTTTATTCTAAGAGGAACACCTTCAACTCTTTACAAGAAAGGCTCTTTTCAGATTAATCAGTCTGTCAATCAACCAGAAGTCCACTGAGTCATACTCTCCAATTTGGCTCTGTGTTCTATTTTATGAATAAATTTTCACAGGGAGAAAATGTATTATCCACTTTTTTGTAAATAATGTTGAGTGAGTGCATCTATATCTAAGTTTTCACAGAAAACTTTTGCATTAGACATGACAGATTTCTTGTCTCAAAATTTCTCATTAATGAGATCCATGATCTTTACTACCACTGTCACTACACCCACTCCTTATCTCCAGAGAATACCCAAGATCTGAAAAGTAGCTGGTGAGAGATGAAATACCCAGATTAAATAATAAGAACACTTTTTTCACAGTCTGTGTTGGTTTCATTAGCAATATCTACACTTATTGAAAACTGGCCAATATTTAGAGCTATTTCTCAATAATGAATGAGTGTAGAGGCAAGACAGTTCTTTTACATTCACATCCAACTATTATCAAGCACCTACTCAATGCAGTATTCCACCACATCTGGTATCTCATTTAATTCACCCTGAGGGCAGAGACCATTCTGTGGGTGGACTGTTTCACACTCAGCACAGTAATAGGATTGAATATACCCCTTGGGCATGCGAATGTTGCAGCTTAGAGGTATTTGGGAAACTTCAGGAAGAAAAGAAAAAAGAAATAGGCCATGGGAGCTACTTTGAGCATCTTTACATAAGCTGGTTACAGCTATCAAGGATCATAAAGCTTGGAATCTCATACCTATTTAGAGAGGCTGGAAGGTAATTAAACACCTTTGCACCAAATCTACTTTCAAAAAAAAGTGGAGAAGCCAAATTGCTCAGCTTGGAGAATCTGGACTGCTCCACCCTAAGATTCCAAGAAATTGACAAAATCTGTAAAATAAATATTTAATTATCTCCAAATTATGTGCCATTAATAGGACTAAGAAAGCCGTTCAGCCTTTTAAGAAAGCAGACTAAGTCAATTGCTAAAGTCCTGGATCAATCAGCAAATATATTTGAGACCAGTTGCTTTCCATCACTCTCTTAGGCACCCTGTATCTTAGATTAAAAGATAAAAGTAGCACAACTGTAGAGATGCAGCATTTATGTCTATACTGAGCCTTTAATAGCTCCTCACTTCACATGTGTAAGGAAGGAAAGACTTTTCCTCTACCCTCTTGGGGGTAAACCAAGGGTATATGAGACAGGTCTCAATCAACTTAGAAAGTTTATTTTGCCAAGGTTAAGGACACACCCATGACACAGCCTCAGGAGGTCCTGACAACATGCACCCAGTGTGGTTGGGACACAGCTTGGTTTCATACATTTTAGGGAGACATCAATATATGTAAGATATACATTGGTTTGGTCCAGAAAGGCAAGATAACTCAAAGCGGGGGCTTCCAGGTCATAGGCAGAAAAAAGACAAAAGGTTGCCTTATTTTTAGTTTCTGATTAGCCTTTCTCTGAATACATGATTTATAGGAATAGTCACTTATGCTTTAGTCTGGCTTAGTGAAACAATAGAGCAAAGGAGACAATCAGATATGCATTTGTCTCACGTGAGCAGAGGGATGACTTTGAGTTCTGTTTGTCCTTTGTCCACAAGGAATTTCTTTGTGGGCAAATTGTGAGGGAGGTATGTAGCTTTTTATCTTTGTAGTTATCTTATTTAGGAATAAAATGGGAGGTAGGTTTGCCTGAAATAGTTCCCAGCTTGACTTTTCCCTTGGCTTAGTGATTTGGGGGTGCCAAGATTTATTTTCCTTTCACATTAGTTTCTGTTCCTGGGCCTTTGAATTAAACAGACATAAGACACCTCAGCAGGAGAAAAAGCATACAAATTTTATTTGATGTTAATATTTTTATGTGGCATTGGGGATCCATAGAAATAATTTTAAAAACCCAAAGAAGAAGTTATACCTGTGGGCCTATATACATTTTAACAAAGAGTAATAGATTTTGCAGCCATGACAAGAAAAAGGAAAAAGGGACTTGGGCTGGAGGCAGTAAGTTGTAGGAAAGCAACTAGGAAATATAT
This sequence comes from Homo sapiens, assembly GCF_000001405.40. Taxonomy (NCBI): domain Eukaryota; kingdom Metazoa; phylum Chordata; class Mammalia; order Primates; family Hominidae; genus Homo; species Homo sapiens. The sequence goes on along the minus strand of NC_000001.11, from coordinate 181,899,491 downwards.
AAGGAAACTAATGGAAGATAAGTGTTATTTTAGTGAGGTTTATTTGTACAGACTCATCTCTGTGTCAACTCCCTGTTTCTAGAGATAGGAATGTTTTCTTCCTGGCACATGAAGGGCCCCTTTCCCAAAGGAAATTTTTGCCCTACCTTTTAAGTAGAAATGGGGAGAGTTGAGAGCCCTTTATCCACTCTTTCTCATTGTCTTCAGCTCAAAGTAATCAATATGGCAAAGCGGCATATCTTGGGGTAGTGTATTCTGATTCCCTTCTAATGGTTTTAAGTTGCAGCATCTTTCTAGTCAATTTCTTCTATATCCAACTTATCTTTATTACACCCAAAGCCCAGTATCCAGAAGTGACCACAATATTCCAGGTGTGTTATAACCAATATGGAGTATAGAAAAGCCATCACTTTCTTTTTTCAAATACCATAGTTCAGGTCAATGCTATCAAAGTTGAATCAGTTCTTTGGCTGACACAGCTCAGAGTACTGACTCATCCTCAGCCTCTTGTCACACAATTCCCAAAGTCTCTGTCACATGTGCTGTTGCTAAGCTCCTTCTCCTCCACCCTTGCTGATGCAGATGCTTTTTTTGGAATAAAGAGCTAACTCTGGGACTTAAATGGGTATTCTTAGGTGTGGCCTCTGTATTGTTCATTCAGGTAAACAATTTTTATGAGTACATTTGCTGAAAGAGAAAACATAGGAAGAAAAGCAGGTGTTTTCTTGGTTTCTTGGGTGAGTTATAAGTTCTATTTTGCACATGATAAGCTTGGATTGGCAACAATGGAGACGTCAAATATACAGTTGAAAATATTAATGCTAATTTGAAGGGCAGACCCAAGCTAGGATTAGGGATTTGGAAATTATCAGTAGATTGATGGGAAGTGAATAAAAGGGACAGGATGAGAGGTCCAGGGGTAAGAAGAGAAAAGGGTGTAAGAAACTCCACCACATAGGTCTTGGAAGAGAAAGAGGACTCCACAAAGGAAGAAGAAAGGGAGTATCCCGACTTACAGATAGAAAACCAGCAAGGAGGTCTCAAGGATGGAATTGTCAATTGTTTCAAATGCTGCTTAGAGGTCCAGTGTATTTCTTTCATTACAATTCTATTATGCAAACTTTAGCAAGTATGTCACAATATTCATTCAAACAAATTTGTATCTACATGCTAGGCATTCTTCTAGGTCCTGGAGCTAAAGCAGGTAATAAAGCAGACTTGCTCTGTGTAAGGCAGATTAAAATATTTCAATAAGACTGAGGTAAGACAGAGTACTCTCTTTCTATAGTTGGAAAATCAGCTTCCTTTTGTTTCAGCTAATTTTGACCATCTTAATAAATAATATCAAGTTTGCATTTTGTTTTCTTCCCCAAAAGGTAACATGAGAGACCTTGTCAAATGCTATATTGCAATCTGTGATGGTAATATTGTCAACTTGACTGGATTGAAGGATGCAAAGTGTTGTTTCTGGGTATGTCTGTGAGGGTGTTGCCAGAGGAGATTAACAGTTGAGTCAATGGACTGGGAGAGAGAGACCAACCCTCAATCTGAATGGGTACCATCCAATTGGTTGCCAGGATGGCTAGAAAAAGCAAGCAGAAGGTGGAATTAGCTGACCTGCTGAGTCTTCCAGCCTTCATCTTTCTCCCCTACTGGATGCTTCCTGCGCTTGCACATCATACTCCACGTTCTTCAGATTTTGGACTCTTAGAATTTTACCAGTGGTTTGCCAGGGGCTCTGGGATCTTCAGCCACAGACTGAAGGCTGCACTGTTGGCTTTCCTACTTTTGAGGTTTTGTGACTCAGACTGAGCCACTACTGGCGTCCTTGCTCCTCAGCTTGCAGACAGACGGCCTATGGTAGGACTACACCTTGTGATCGTGTGAGTCAATTCTCCTTAATAAACTCCCTTTCGTATATACATATATCCTATTAGTTTCATACCTCCAGAGAATCCTGACCAATACAAAATCTAAATGTAATAACTGTCTTGTATTTTCCTGATCTCCTGGGGTAGCAGTATCTATGGCTAATTTTTCTACTTTGTGGGGGATGGAATTGTCAGAAAATCAGTTTGAAATTTGTCAGATACTTGAATTTTAGTCAACTAATTCAGCCCACAAGTTATTAAATATTTACTGAATATCCGCCTTTTGTCAGGCACTGTTCTAAATACTGGGATACTCTGGTGGACAAAACCAACAGGGACCCCAACTTTTCACAGAAGGTAGGGTAGTACTTAAGAGCATGGACTGGGTTTAAAGCTCTTCTCTGTCACTTACTAGTAAATTATTTCCTCTTTGACACAATTCTATTATCAATTAGGGCTCAGTTTCATCAAATGTAAAATGGGGATAATGAGAGTAAATCTATTACATGGTTATTAAAAGATAAATTTTAAAAAGGGTAAAATGATTCTCATACAAATGTAAAATGTAAAGTGAACATGTATTAAATATTTATATCATAAATGAGGAAACTAGTAAGATGTTACACATAAATCAAAGAATATGTACACATGTATATATGCACACATACGCTATGCAATATATATATATATATATATATACATAATCAGAAATGCTAACGTTAATGCTAATTTGAAGGGCAGACCCAAGCTAGGATTAGAGATTTGGAAATTATCAGTAGATTGATGGGAAGTGAATAAAAGATAAGCGGTCCAGGGGTAGGAAGAGAAAAGGGTGTAAGAAACTCTCTTGTCTGTAAAAAGACACAGAGCTGCCCAATATCAGCAGGGTGATAATCAATTGCATTTTACTGAACATGAGAAGTGACATCTGAGGCAGGTAGGAATTAACCAGATGATAGTGGAGAGACAGTAGAAAGGGGAAAGAGGACTGCTAAGTCTGGAGGTGAGTGTGAGTTTCAAAAATTTGGGGAATCGAATGCAGCTTAGTCTGATGGAGTACTGAGTTCAGGGTGAAGGGAGAAAATGGTCAGAAATTAAAATAGAAGACCTTAAAGAGCCTTGAGCACCATGTCTAAAAATTTGGGTTTTAAGAGCAAGAAAGAGATATTGAAAGTTTGGTATACAGAATTGGTAGAAAGTGGTGTGCATTTTAACAAGGTCTTACGGTTGAGGTACAAAGAACTGTGTAGAAAGAAACCAGACTGAAGGGAGGAAGACAAATTCTTTTTTTCCCAGTAATCCATGCTAGAGATGGTGATAGCCTCAACCAGGGGCTAAAAGTAAGAATATATAAAAATAGAATCAAAATTATATATGAAGTAGCCCTGACTTAGTGATAGATTGTGATGGGTGAAATGAAGAGAGAAGGAGAAATTCAAACTGCAACCCATGTTTCTAACTTGGGTACCTGAGGAGATCATGTTGTCATTCTCTAGGATAATAAAAAATAGAGGAGACAAGTTTTGGAGGGGAAAATAAACTGAGTTTTGGACATGTAGAGTTTGAACAGCCTATGGGGCATATAAATGGAAATGTTTAGTAAGTATTTCAGATATGAAGTTTAGGGCATTGAGGCAGTTTGGGGTCATTGCGATATAAGAAAGAATTGAAATAACGTTTGGGATAGCTCACCCAAGGAGACTGAGAAGAGAAGACCTAAGAAAAAACCCTGAGGAACATTAACATTTAGAGGATGGTAGAGAAATAGTACCTGCTAAGGAGATGAGAAGCAACACTGGACAGGTCTCTGGAAAGCTGGAGGAGTGCAGAATGGCTGAAAATAGTGTTTCAGGAATGAAGAAGGGAGTGGTCAATAATAATACTAACACTTAGAGAGTGCTTACCCTGTGCCAGGCACCCCTGTGCTAAGTGCTATACACAGAGCTCGTCACATCCTCCCAACAATCCTATAAGGTAAACACCATTACTAACACCCTCATATTCCAGGGAAGAAAACCAAAGCCAAGTGAAGTTAGAGAACTTACTCAAAGGTAATAAAAGGAGTAATCAGAGACAGACCATGGCACTGTGGCTACAGAGTTCATGCTCTAACCACTATGCTATACTGCATTGTCACACACCACAGAGGCTGAGAAGGTAGGACATGAGAAGTGTTCATTGGATTTAGCAAGAGAGTTCCTGTCAACTTTGGTAATAGGAACTTTAATGGCATGAATTGGAAAGACATATTTGAGTAGAAGAGTGAGTGGGAGATAGTTGTGTTATGTGTGTGTTTTAAGAAGTTTAATTGTAAAAGAAAGGTGAGAGGGTAATATCTGGATGGGAAGAAGGGATAAAGGGAGAAGGTGTTATGGCTTTATATGTTGTTTCTGTGTTACAAGGGAAGAAAATTAACATCATTTAACAATAAGTGGCAAGAAACCAGTAGGGAAGAGGTGGTTTAAGATACAGGGGGAGAAAAGGGTAACCTATAGGTGAAAACTTCTGAGAAAGAGGTCGCATAGGATCCAGAGACCTTTCCCTCTCTAGAAGGAGAAAAGTAGAAAAGAATGACTAAGGATGCAGGTTCACTTATGGATCTAGGGGCCAGAATTGGAGTGAGGTTACATCTGATGGAAGAGAGAAGTCCAGATATTTTGAAGGGCCAGAAATTGAAAAGAAGTAGAGAAGGTATGAAACAGCCTTGTGAAGATGGGGAAGTATAGAAGGAACCTACAGAAGAACAATTGGGAGGCGCTGAGAGACCACTCATGGCTGGAGACTCAGATCAGAAAGTCCAGATCGCAATCGTTACAATAAGGGCTAGTCAGCAGTTTCTCAGACCTTACCTTATCCAAAGCCCTGACCACAGGTTCCTCAGGCCTTCAGCCACAAACCCTGAATATGTATCCCTAGGTTTTTCCTGGTGAAATCATCCCTGCAGTTGTCAATCACAGGAATGGGAGGCTTTTAGAGTTCGGTAGGTCTCTACAGGATCCTTATCACACCCAAACACACTTCTGGAAGACAGCACGTCCCTCCTACAATATTGTTCATGGAGAACGTTTTGGAGGGCAAATATTTGTCTTAGTATTTTGAAAGAAAAGAAAGACTAAATATCTACCTTGAGCTGGAAAACTTTGTCTTTTTCTGGTTTCCACTGAAAGAATAAACCATTTTCCATCCCTGAAAATTGCAAATGAAGTCTGAAGGGAGAGAATGTATGTATGCCTGTCTTACGGTTTTATAAAATATTTCCCACAAAAACCAAACATTTTGCAGTTTCACAATTCTAAATGTATTCTAGTCTGTTGCAGTAGGTATGTTTAGAGGATAGATGATAGCCAGATAGGTATCTAAGCAACTCTTCTATGACTGACTTAAATTGGGGAGCTGCAAGTGGGATTATAAAGAACACAGAAACATCCTAAAAAATTATCACAAGGTCAAACAGCATTGCCAGTGGCTTCTGGCAAGGGACTGCAATTGAGCACCAGAGCTGCACTGGAGATAAGACACCTCAAGGCCTCCACGTGATGTTGTCAAAGTGATCTCAGTTCAACTCTTTAGAGGGGTCATTCTTTCTCCTCTCCTAACCCATCCCCACTTTAAATAAGTGGTATTTCATTGTATGGATGTATCACTTTAACCATTCATCTGTTGATGGACATTTGGGTTTCTTCAAGTTTGAGACTATTCCAAATTAAGTTTCTATGAAAATTCATGTATAAGTCATTATATGGACGTATGCTTTAATTTATCTTGGATAAATGTGTAGGAGTGGAATAGACAAATCACAGTAGTTGTATTTTTTAACTTTTTAAGAAATTGTGAAACTGTTTTCCAAAGTGGTTGTACCATTTACATTCCCAGCAGCAGTGTATAAAAATCACAGTTCCTCCCCATCCATGTTTCTCAGTAGTTAATATGGTCAGTCTTTTTAATTTGAGCTACACACACACACACACACACACACACACACACACACACACTTCAAGTTCTGGGATACAAGTGCAGAAACTGCAGGTTTGTTATGTAGGTATACAGGTGCCATGGTGGTTTGTTGCACCCATCAACCCATCATCTTATGTTAGGTATTTCTCCTAATGCTATCCCTACCCTAGGCCCCCACCCCCTCAACAGGCCCCAGTGTGTGATGTTCCCCTCCATGTGTCCATGTGTTCTCATTGTTCAACTCCCACTTATGAGTGAGAACATGTGGTGTTTGGTTTTCTATTCCTGTGTTAGTTTGCTGAGAATGATGGTTTCCAGCTTCATCCATGTCCCTGCAAAGGACATGAACTCATCCTTTTTTATGGCTGCATAGTATTCCATGGTGTGTATGTGTCACATTTTCTTTATCCAGTCTATCATTGATGGGCATTTGGGTTGGTTCCAAGTTTTTGCTATTGTGAATAGTTCTGTAATAAACATATGTGTGCATGTCTTTATAATAGAATGATTTATAATCTTTTGGGTATATACTCAGTAATGGGATTGCTGGGTGTCAAATGGTATTTCTGGTTCTAGATCCTTGAGGAATTGCCACAGTCTTCCACAATGATTGAACTAATTTATACTCTCACCTACAGTGTAAAAGCGTTTCTATCCTCTGCAGCATCTGTTGTTTCCTGACTTTTTAATGATAGCCATTCTAACTGGCGTTAGCTGGTATCTCATTGTGGTTTTGACTTGCATTTCTCTAATGATCAGTGATGATGAGCTTTTTTTCATATGTTTGTTGGCCGCATAAATGTCTTATTTTGAGAAGTGTCCGTTCATATCCTTCACTCACTTTTTGATGGGGTTATTTTTTTTTTCTTGTAAATTTAAGTTCCTTGTAGATTCTGGATATTAGCCCTTTGTTAGATGGATAGATTGCAAAAACTTTCTCCCATTCTGTAGGTTGCCTTTTCACTCTGATGATAGTCTCTTTTGCTGTGCAGAAGCTCTTTAGTTTAATTAGACCCCATTTGTCAGCTTCAGCTTTTGTTGCCATTGTTTTTGGTGTTTTAGTTATGAAGTCTTTGCCCATGCCTATGTACTGAATGGTATTGCCTAGGTTTTCTTCCAGAGTTTTTATGGTTTTAGGTTTTACATTTAAGTCTTTACTTCATCTTGAGTTAATTTTTGTATAAGGTGTAAGGGAGGGGTCCAGTTTCAGTTTTCTGCATAGGGCTAACCAGTTTTCCCAGCACCATTTATTAAATAGGGAATCCTTTCCCCATTTCTTGTTTTCATCAGGTTTGTCAAAGATCAGATGGTTGTAAATGTGTGGTGTTATTTCTGAGGTCTCTGTTTTGTTCCTTTGGTCTGTATATCTGTTTTGGTACCAGTATCATGCTGTTTTGTCATTCAGGAGCAGGTTGTTCAATTTCCATGTAGTTGTGTGGTTTTGAGTGAGTTTCTTAATCCTGAGTTCTAATTTGATTGCACTGTGGTCTGAAAGACTGTTTGTTATAATTTCCATTCTTTTGCATTTGCGGAGGAGTGTTTTACTTCCAATTATGTGGTTGATTTTAGAATAAATGGTACGTGGTATTGAGAAGAATGTATATTCTGCTGATTTGGGGTGGAGAGTACTGTAGATTTCTATTAGGTCCACCTAGTCCAGAGCTGAGTTCAAGTTCTGAATATCCTTGTTAATTTTCTGTCTCATTGATCTGTCTAGTATTGACAGTGGGGTGTTAAAGTCTCCCGCTATTATTGTGAGGGAATCTGTGTCTCTTCATAGGTCTCTAAGAATTTTTTTATGAATTTGCATGCTCCTGTATTAGGTGCATATGTATTTAGGATAGTTAGCTCTTCTTGTTGCATTGATCCCTTTACCATTACGTAATGCTCTTGTCTTTTTTGATCTTTGTTGGTTTAAAGTCTGTTTTATCAGAGACTAGGATGGCAACCCCTGCTTCTTTTTGCTTTCCATTTGCTGGGTAAATATTCCTCCATCCTTTTATTTTGAGCCTGTGTGTGTCTTTGCATGTGAGATGGGTCTCCTGAATACAGCACACCAATGGGTCTTGACTCTTTATCAAATTTGCCAGTCTGTGTCTTTTAATTGGGGTATTTAGCTAATTTACATTTAAGATTTATATTGTTATGTGTGAATTTGATCCTATCATCATGATGCTAGATGGTTATTTTGCACATTAGTTGATGCAGTTTCTTCATAGGTCATTGGTCTTTATATTTTGGTGTGTTTTTGCCATGACTGGTACTGGTTTTCTCTTTCCATATTTAGTGCTTCCTTCAGGAGCTCTTATAAGGCAGGCCTGGTGGTGACAAAAATCCCTCAGCATTTGCTTGTCTGTAAAGGATTTTATTTCTCCTTCACTTATGAAGCTTAATTTGGCTGGATATGAAATTCTGTGTTGAAAATTCTTTTCTTTAAGAACGTTGAATATTGGCCTCCACTGTCTTCTGACTTCTAGGGTTTCTGCAGAGAGATCTGTTGTTAGTCCAATGGGCCTCCCTTTGTAGTTAACCTGACCTTTCTCTCTGACTGTCCTTAACATTTTTTTCTTCGTTTCAACCTTGGAAAATTTGACAATTACGTGTCTTGGGGTTGTTCTTGAGGAGTATCTTAGTAGTGTTCTCTGTATTTTCTGAATTTGAATATTGGCCTCTCTTGCTAGGTTGGGGAAATTTTCCTGGATAATATGCTGAAGTGCATTTTCCAACTTGGTTCCATTCTCCCCATCACTTTCAGGTACACCAAACAAATGTAGGTTTGGTCTTTTCACATAGTCCCATATTTCTTGGAGGCTTTGTTTGTTCCTTTTCATTCTTTTTTCTCTAATCTTGTCTTCATGCCTTATTTCAGTGAACTGATCTTCAATCTCTGATATTCTTTCTTCTGCTTGATTGATTCAGCTATTGATACTTGTTTATGCTTCATGAAGTTATCATGCTGTGTTTTTCAACTCCATCAGGTCATTTATGTTCCTCTCTAAACTGGTTATTCTAGTGAGCAGTTCCTGTAACCTTATATCAAGGTTCTTAGCTTCCTTCCATTGGGTTAGAACATGCTTCTTTAGCTCAGAGGAGTTTGTTATTACCCACCTCCTGGAGCCTACTTCTGCAAATTCATCAGTCTCATTCTCTGTCCAGTTTTGTGCCCTTGCTGGAGAGGAGTTGTGACCATTTGGAGAAGAGGCATTCTGGTTTTTGGAATTTTCAGCATTTTTGCACCTTTTTTTTTTTTTCATTTTTGTGGATTTACCTACCTTTCATCTTTGAATCTGATGACATTTGAATGGGGTTTCTGTGTGGGGGTCCCTTTTGTTGATTTTGATGTTGTTGCATTCTGCTTTTTAGTTTTTCTTCTAACAGGCCTCTCTTCTGCAGGTCTGCTGCAGTTTGCTGGAGGTCCACTCCAGATGCCGTTCATCTGGGTATCACCAGCAGAGGCTGCAAAACAGCAAAGATTACTGTCTGCTCCTTCCTCTGGAGCACTGGCCTGATTCCAGCTGGAGCTCTCCTGTATGAGGTGTCTGTCAACCCCTATTTGGAGATCTCTCCCAGTCAGGAGGCATGGGGGTCAGGGACCCAGGGACCCACTTGAGGAGGCAGTCTGTCCCTTAGCAGAGCTGGTACGCTGTGCTGGGAGAATCCGTCTTGTCAGGATCAGCTGCTCTCTTCAGAGCAGGCAGGTGGGAGAGATTAAATCTGCTGCTGATGTGCCCACAGCCAACCCTTCCCCCACGTGCTCCATCCTAGGGAGATGGAAGTTAATCTGTAAGCCCTTGACTGGGGGTGTTACCTTTTCTTCAGAGATGCCCTGCCTAGTGAGGAGGAATCTAGAGAAGCAGTCTGGCCACAGCTGCTTTGCCATGCTATGGTGAATTCTGCCCAGTCCACACCTCCCAGCCTCCTTAGCACTGTCAGGGGAAAACCGCCTACTAAAGCTTCAGTAACGGTGGGTGCCCCTCCCGCCTCCAAGCTGGTTCGTCCCACGTCAACTTCAGACTGCTGTGCTGGCAGTGAGAATTTAAGCCAGTGGTTCTTAGCTTGCTGAGCTCCATGGGAGTGGGACCCACTGAGCAAGACCACTTGGCTCCCTGGCTTCATCCCCCTTTTCATGGGAGTGAACGGTTCTGTCGCTGGGGTTCCAGGCACCACTGGGGTACAAAAGAAAAAAAAAACTCCTACAGCTATCTCAGTGTCTGCCCAAACAGCCACCCAGTTTTGTGCTTGAAACCTGGGGCCCTGATTGTGTAGGCACATGAGGAAATCTCCTGATCTACAGATTCCAAAAACCGTGCGAAAAGTATAGTATCTGGGCAGGGTAGCACAGTCCCACATGAATTCTCTTGGTTGGGGGAGGGAGGTCCCCCTGGCTCCTTGCACTTCACAGGTGAAGTGACGCCCCACTCTGCTGTTGCTCACCCTCCATGGGTTACACCCACGGTCTAACCATTCCCAGTGAGATGAACTGGGTACCTCAGTTGGAAATGCAGAAATCACCTGCCTTCAGTGTTGGTCTCACTAGGAGCTGCAGACTGGAGCTGTTTCTTTTTGCCCATCTTGGCCCCAGTGTTTTTTTTTTTCCCTCACTCTGTCTCCCAGACCGGAGTGCAGTGGTGCATCTCGACTCACTGCAGCCTCTGCCTCCTGGGTTCAAACGATTCTCCTCTTGAGTGAGTTTTTGGTAGTTTGTGTATAAGGAGCTTGTCTATTTCATCTAAGTTATGGAATTTATTGGCATAAAGTTGCTTGTAATATCTTTTTACTATCCTTTTAATATCTGAAGGATCTGTGGTGCTGTATTTTCTCCCATTTTTAATATTGGTGTTTTGAGTGTTTTTCTTTTTTCCTTATCAGTCTTGCTGAAAGCTTATCAATTTTATTAATATCCTCAAAGAGCCAGCTTTTGATTTTGATATTTCCTTTTTTTGTTTTTGATTTTATTTATTTATTTATTTTTATTATACTTTAAGTTCTAGGGTACATGTGCACAACGTGCAGGTTTGTTACACAGGTATACGTGTGCCATGTTGGTTTGCTGCACCCATTAACTCATCATTTACATTAGGTATTTCTCCTAATGCTATCCCTCCCCAAGCCCCCCATCCCACGAGAGGTCCTGGAGTGTAATGTTCTCCACCCTGTGTCCAAATGTTCTGATTGTTCAATTCCCAACTATGAGTGAGAACATGCAGTGTTTGGTTTTTTGTCCTTGCGATAGTTTGCTGAGAATGATGGTTTCCAGTTTTATCCATGTCCCTACAAAGGACATGAACTCATCATTTTTTATGGCTGCATAGTATTCCATGGTGTATATGTACCACCTTTTCTTAATCCAGTCTATCGTTGTTGGACATTTGGGTTGGTTCCAAGTCTTTGCTATTGTGAATAGTGCCACAATAAACATATGTGTGCATGTGTCTTTATAGCAGCATGATTTATAATCCTTTGGGTATATACCCAGTAATGGGATTGCTGGGTCAAATGGTATTTCTAGTTCTAGATTCCTGAGGAATCGCCACACTGACTTCCACAATGGTTGAACTAGTTTACAGTCCCACCAACAGTGTAAAAGTGTTCCTATTTCTCCACATCCTCTCCAGCACCTGTTGTTTCCTGACTTTTTAATGATCGCCATTGTAACTGGTGTGAGATGGTATCTCATTGTGGTTTTGATTTGCATTTCTCTGATGGCCAGTGATGATGAGCATTTTTTCATGTGTTTTTTGGTTGCATAAATCTCTTCTTTTGAGAAGTGTCTGTTCATATCCTTTGCCCACTTTTTGATGGGGTTGTTTTTTTTTTCTTGTAAATTTGTTTGAGTTCATTGTAGATTCTGGATATTAGCCCTTTGTCAGATGAGTAGGTTGTGAAAATTTTCTCCTATTTTGTAGGTTGCCTGTTCACTCTTAAGTCCAGGACCAGATGGATTCACAGCCGAATTCTACCAGAGGTACAAGGAGGAGCTGGTACCATTCCTTCTGAAACTATTCCAATCAATAGAAAAAGAGGGAATCCTCTCTAACTCATTTTATGAGGCCAGCATCATCCTGAAACCAAAGCCTGGCAGAGACACAACAAAAAAAGAGAATTTTAGACCAATATCCTCGATGAACATTGATGCAAAAATCCTCAATAAAATACTGGCAAACTGAATCCAGCAGCACATCAAAAAGCTTATCCACCATGATCAAGTGGGCTTCACCCCTGGGATGCAAGGCTGGTTCAACATACGCAAATCAATAAATGTAATCCAGCATATAAACAGAACCAAAGACAAAAACCACATGATTATCTCAATAGATGCAGAAAAGGCCTTTGACAAAATTCAGCAACTCTTCATGCTAAAAACTCTCAATAAATTAGGTATTGATGGGACATATCTCAAAATAATGAGAGCTATCTATGACAAACCCACAGCCAATATCATACTCAATAGGCTAAAACTGGAGACATTCCCTTTGAAAACTGGCACAAGACAGGGATGCCCTCCCTCCCCACTCCTTTTCAACATAGTGTTGGAAGTTCTGGCCAGGGCAATTAGGCAGGAGAAGGAAATAAAGGGTATTCAGTTAGGAAAAGAGGAAGTCAAATTGTCCCTATCTGCAGATGACATGATTGTATATCTAGAAAACCCCATTGTCTCAGTCCAAAATCTCCTTAAGCTGATAAGCAACTTCAGCAAAGTCTCAGGATACAAAATCAATGTACAAAAATCACAAGCATTCTTATACACCAATAACAGACAAACAGCCAAATCATGAGTGAACTCCCATTCACAATTGCTTCAAAGATAATAAAATACCTAGGAATCCAACTTACAAGGGATGTGAAGGACCTCTTCAAGGAGAACTACAAACCACTGCCCAATGAAATAAAAGAGGATACAAACAAATGGAAGAACATTCCATGCTCATGGGTAGGAAGAATCAATATCGTGAAAATGGCCATACTGCCCAAGGTAATTTATAGATTCAATGCCATCCCCATCAAGCTACCAATGACTTTCTTCACAGAATTGGAAAAAACTACTTTAAAGTTCATATGGAACCAAAAAAGAGCCCGCATCGCCAAGTCAATCCTAAGCCAAAAGAAGAAAGCCGGAGGCATCACACTACCTGACTTCAAACTATACTACAAGGCTACAGTAACCAAAACAGCATGGTACTGGTACTAAAACAGAGATATAGATCAATGGAACAGAACAGAGCCCTCAGAAATAATGCCCCATATCTACAACCATCTGATCTTTGACAAACCTGACACAAACAAGAAATGGGGAAAGGATTCCCTATTTAATAAATGGTGCTGGGAAAACTGGCTAGCCATATGTAGAAAGCTGAAACTGGATCCCTTCCTTATACCTTATACAAAAATTAATTCAAGATAGATTAAAGACTTAAATGTTAGACCTAAAACCATAAAAACCCTAGAAGAAAACCTAGGCAATACCATTCAGGACATAGGCATGGGCAAGGACTTCATGTCTAAAACACCAAAAGCAATGGCAACAAAAGCCAAAATTGACAAATGGGATCTAATTAAACTAAAGAGCTTCTGCACAGCAAAAGAAACTACCACCAGAGTGATTTGCATATGTTAATCCAGCCTTGCATCCCAGGGATGAAGTCAACTTGATTGTGGTGGATAAGCTTTTTGACGTGCTGTTGGATTTGGTTTTTTGGTATTTTATTGAGGATTTTCACAATGATGTTCATGAGGGATATTGGTCTAAAATTCTCTTTTTTTGTTATGTCTCTGCCAGGCTTTGGTATCAGGATGATGCTGTACTCATAAAATGAGTTAGAGAGGATTCCCTCTTTTTCTATTGATTGGAACAGTTTCAGAAGGAATGGTAACAGCTCCTCTTTGTACCTCTGGTAGAATTCAGCTGTGAATCCGCCTGGTCCTGGACTTTTTTTTGGTTGATAGGTGATTAATTATTGCTTCAATTTCAGAGCCTGTTATTGGTCTATTCAGAGATTCAACTTCTTCCTGGTTTAGTCGTGGGTGGGTGTATGTGTACACGAATTTGTCCATTTCTTCTAGATTTTCTAGTTTATTTGCACAGATGTGTTTATAGTATTCTCTGATGGTAGTTTGTATTTCTGTGGGATCGGTGGTGATATCCCCTTTATCATTTTTATTGCATCTAGTTGAGTCTTCTCTCTTCTTTATTAGTCTTGCTAGCAGTCTATCAATTTTGTTGATCTTTTCAAAAAACCAGCTCCTGGATTCTTTGATTTTTTTTGGAGGGTTTTTTTGTGTCTCTATATCCTTCAGTTCTGCTCTGATTTTAGTTATTTCTTGCCTTCTGCTAGCTTTTGAATGTGTTTGCTCTTGGTTCTCTAGTTCTTCTAATTGTGATGTTAGGGTGTCGATTTTAGATCTTTCCTGCTTTCTTTTGTGGGCATTTAGTAGCATAAATTTTCCTCTACACACTGCTTTAAATGTGTCCCGGAGATTCTGGTACATTGTGTCTTTGTTCTCATTGGTTTCAAAGAACATCCTTATTTCTGCCTTCATTTTATTATTTACCCAGTAGTCATTCAGGAGCAGGTTGTTCAGTTTCCATGTTGTTGTGTGGTTTTGAATGAGTTTCTTAATCTTGAGTTCTAATTTGATTGCACTGTGGTCTGAGAGACAGTTTGTTCTGATTTCTGTTCTTTTACATTTGCTGAGGAGTGCTTTACTTCCAATTATGTGGTCAGTTTTAGAATGAGTGTGATGTGGTGCTGAGAAGAATGTATATTCTGTTGATTTGGGGTGGAGAGTTCTGTAGATGTCTATTAGGTCTGCTTGTTCAACTCAGTTCTGAGTTCAAGTCCTGAATATCCTTGTTAACCTTCTGTCTTGTTCATCTGTCTAATATTGACAGTGGCATGTTAAAGTCTGCCATTATTATTTTGTGGGAGTCTGTCTTTGTATGTCTCTAAGGACTTGCTTTATGAATCTGGATGCTCCTGTTTGGGGTGTGTATGTACTTAGGATAGTTAGCTTTTCTTGTTGAATTGATCCCTTTACCGTTATGTAATGGCCTTCTTTGTCTTTTTTGACCTTTGTTGGTTTAAAATCTGTTTTATCAGAGACTAGGATTGCAACCCCTGCTCTTTTTTTTTTTCTATTTGCTTGGTAGATCTTCCTCCATCCTTTATTTTGAGCCTATGTGCATCTTTGCACATGAGATGGATCTCCTGAATACAGCATACTGATGGGTCTTGACTCTTGATCCAATTTGCCAGTCTGTGTCTTTTAACAGGGGCATTTAGCCCATTTACATTTAAGGTTAATATTGTTATGTGTGAATTTGATCCTCTCATTATGATGTTAGCTTATTATTTTGCCCATTAGTTGATGCAGTTTCTTCCTAGCATCAATGGTCTTTACAGTTTGGCATGTTTTTGCAGTGGCTGGTACGGGTTTTCCTTTCCATGTTTAGTGCTTCCTTCAGGAGCTCTTGTAAGGCAGGCCTGGTGGTGACAAAATCTCTCAGCATTTGCTTGTCTGTAAAGGATTTTATTTCTCCTTCACTTATGAAGCTTAGTTTGGCTGGATATGAAATTCTGCATTGAAAATTCTTTTCTTTAAGAATGTTGAATATTGGCTCCCCACTCTCTTCTGGCTTATAGAGTTTCTGCTGAGAGATCAGCTGTTAGTCTGATGGGCTTCCCTTTGTGGGTAACCCGATCTTTCTGTCTGGCTGCCCTTAACATTTTTTCCTTCATTTCAACCTTGGTGAATCTGACAATTATCTGTCTTGGGGTTGCTCTTCTTGAGGAGTATCTTTGTGGTGTTCTCTGTATTTCCTGAATTTGAATGTTGGCCTGCCTTGCTAGGTTGGGGAAGTTCTCCTGGACAATATCCTGAAGAGTGTTTTCCAACTTGGTTCCATTCTCCCTGTCACTTTCAGGTACACCAATCAAATGTAGGTTTGGTCTTTTCACATAGTCCCATACTTCTTGGAGGCTTTGCTCATTTCTTTTTACTCTTTTTTCTCTAAATTTCTCTTCTCACTTTATTTCATTAATTTGATCTTCAATCACTGATAACCTTTCTTCCACTTAATCAAATCGGGTATTGAAGCTTGTGCACGTGTCACGAAGTTCTCGTGCCATGGTTTTCAGCTCCATCAAGTCATTTAAGGTCTTCTCTACACTGTTTATTCTAGTTAGCCATTCATCTAATCTTTTTTCAAGGTGTTTAGCTTACTTGTGATGGGTTTGGGGTTTGAACATCCTTCTGTTTGTTATTACTGACCTTCTGAAACCTACTTCTGCAGCTTGTCAAAGTCATTCTCCATCCAGCTTTGTTCCACTGCTGGCGAGGAGCTGTGATCCTTTGGAGGAGAAGAGGCACTCTGGTTTTTAGAATTTTCAGCTTTTCTGCTCTGGTTTCTCCCCATCTTTGTGGTTTTATCTACCTTTGGTCTTTGATGTTGGTGACCTATAAATGGGGTTTTGGTGTCGATGTCCTTTTTTTTGATGTTGATGCTATTCCTGTTTGTTAGTTTTCCTTGTAACAGTCAGGACCCTCAGCTGCAGGTCTGTTGGAGTTTGCTGGAGGTCCACTCCAGACCATGTTTGCCTGGGTATCATCAGCGAAGTCTGCAGAACAGCAAATATTGCAGAACAGCAAATATTGCTGATTGATCCTTCCTCTGGAAGCTTCGTCCCAGAGGGGCACCTGCCTGTATAAGGTGTCAGCCAGCCCCTGCTAGGAAGTATCTCCCAGTTAGGCTACACGAGGGTCAGGGACCCACTTGAGGAGGCAGTCTGTCCATTCTCCAAGCTCAAACACTGTGCTTGGAGAACCACTGCTCTCTTCAGAGCTGTCAGACAGAAATGTTTAAGTCTGCAGAATTTTCTGCTGCCTTTTGTTCAGCTATGCCCTGCCCCCAGAGGCAGCAGGCCTCGCTGAGCTGTGGTGGGCTCCTCACAGTTTGAGCTTCCCTGGCTGCTTTGTTTACCTATTCAAGCCTCAGCAATGGCAGATGCCCCTCCCCCTGCCAGGCTGCTGCCTCGCAGGTCAATCTCAGACTGCTGCGCTAGCAGTGAGCAAGGCTCCGTGGGTGTGGGACCCACTGAGCCAGGCACAGGATATAATCTCCTGGTGTGCCATTTGCTAAGACTGTTGGAAAATTGGAAAAGCACAGTATTTGGGTGGGAGTGTCCTGTTTTTCCAGGTACCGTCTGTCATGGCTTCCCTTGGCTAGGAAACAGAAATCCCCTGACCCCTTGCACTTCCCAGGTGAGGCGATGCCCCACCCTGCTTTGGCTCACCTTCTGTGGGCTGTATCCACTGTCCATCCAGTCCCAATGAGATGAACCAGGTACCTCAGTTGGAAATGCAGAAATCACCCATCTTCTGCATCAGTCATGCTGGGAGCTGTAGACTGGAGCTGTTACTATTTAGCCATCTTGGAATGGAATCCTGTTTTTTATTTTGTTAATAGCCACTGTAATATTTATTTTTATCTTATGCTTACCTTGGATTTAGTTTGTTCTTTTTCTAGCTTAAGATAGAATCTCAAGTCATTGATGCAAGATAGATCTCAGGTCATTGATGCGAGATCAGCTCATTGATGTGAGGCTTTTCTAATATATGCATTTGATTTTCCCTATTTACTTCTTTAGTAGGATCTTAAATATTTTGATCTGTTATGTTATTTTCATTCAGTACAAAATAATTTCTAATTTCCCTTTAGACATCTTCTTTGTCCCATGGGTTATTTAGAAACTCATTTTTGTTTCCAAATATTTGGACATTTTCCAGGTATCTTTCTGTTCTTGATTTTGTATTTAATTGCAATGTGGTCAGAGAACATGAGAACATGCTTTATATGATTTTTTTTCATTTCAAGTATACTGAGACTTGCTCTATGAGCCAAGGTATAGTCTATCTTGGTAAATATTCCTCATGTACTTGAAGGGAATATTTACTCTGATATTGTCAGCCAGAGTATTCTATACATACAAATTTGTTTGAGTTGGTTGATAGTCAAGTCTTCTACATTCTTACTGATTTTTATGGGTTTGTTGGTTTGTTTGAGATGGGATCTCACTGTGTCACCCAGGCTGCAATCTCAGGTTACTGCAATGTCTCCCTGCCGGGTTCAGGTGATTCTCCTGCCTCGGCCTCCCAGGTAGCTGGGAATACAGGCTCACACCACCATGCCTGGCCAATTTTTTTTGTATTTTTAGTAGAGACAGGATTTCACCATGTTGGCCAGGCTGTTCTTGAGCTCCTGACTTCAAGTGATCTGCCTGCCCTGGCCTCCCAATCTGCTGGGATTAGAGGCACGAGCCACCATGCCTGGCCTATGTATTCATATTCTATCAAGTTTTGAGAGAAAGTATTGGAAGCTATTGCTACAATTATGGACTTGTCTTTCTCCTTGAAGTTTGGTCAGTTTTTGTTTTATGTATTTGAATTTGTTATAAGATTTATAAACATTTAGAATTGTTATGTTGCACTGACCCTTTTATTATGTTTAAATGATCTTTTTATTGTTGGCTGCATGTATGTCTTCCTTTTAAAAGTGTCTCTTCATGTTGTTTTCCCACTTTTCAATAGGTTTCTGGGAAAGAGGTGGTGTTTGTTTACACGAACAGGTTCTTTAGTGGTGATTTCTGAGATTTGGGTGCACCTGTAACCTGAGCAGTGTACACTGTACCCAATTTGTAGTCTTTTATCCCTCACCCCCATCCCACCCTTTCCCAAGCCCCCAAAGTCCACTGTATCATTCTTACGCCTTTGCGTCCTCATAGCTTAGCTCCCACTTATGAATGAGAAACAGGTGATCTTTGGTTTTCCGTTCCTGAGTTACTTCACTTAGAATAATGGTCTCCAGTTTCACCCAGGTTGCTGTAAATGCCATTGTTTTGTTTCTTTTTATGCCTGACTAGTATTCCATGGTGTGTGTGTCTATATGTAAATATGTGTGTGTGTTTGCAAATATGTTTGTGTATATATATACACACACACACATATATATACATACATATATATACACACAAAAACATATATATACACACACACACACTTGTTGCTTGATGGGCATTAGGGCTGGTTGCATATTTTTGCATTTGTGAATTGTACTGCTATAAACATGCATGTGCAGGTATCTTTTTTGTATAATGACTGAGCTCAGACTCTCCTTGGGCAGGGCTTGCTACAGCTGCTATGGCAGATGGGGATGTGGTACCCAGGCCAATGGAGTTATGTTATGGGGAACTATGGTTGTGTCTGCTGTGTCACACAGGTCACCAGGGAAGTGGGGAAAAGCCAGCAGCCACAGGCTTCACCTAGTTCCCATGCAGCCTGCCATGTGAAAGGCCCATCTCACTCCCACCATGTCCCCGCAACAGTACCAAGTTTATTTCCAGGCAGCCAATGAGCAGGGCTGAGAACTTGCCCCAGGCTACAAGCCTCCCAGCTGAGAAACCAAGCAGATTCACAGTTCCTTGGCTGTCCCATGGAGCCTACAGCAGCAGCTCACCTCCTTCAAAGGGTCTGTGGATTTTCTCAGTTTTCCTAGTATGTTCCTGTGGTAGTTATTGGAGTAAAAGTTCACAATGTGAGTCTTCACATGCTGCTCTGTCCATCTGAGTGGGAGCTGCCCGTTAGTCCTGTCTCCTATCTGCCATTCCCTCCAACCCTTTCCCACTTTTTAATGTTTTTTTCTTGTAAATTTAAGTTCCTTATAGATGGTGGATATTAGTCCTTTGTCAGATGTATAGTTTACAACATTTTTCTCCCATTCTGTAGGTTGTCTGTTTACTATGTTGCTAGTTTCCTATGCTGTCCAGAAACTCTTTAGTTTAATTAGATCCTGTATGCCCATTTTTCCTTTTGTTGCGATTGCTTTGGTGTCTTTGTCATGAAATCTTTGCCCATTGTTATGTCTAGGTATTGCCTAGATTGTCTTTGAGGGCATTTATAGTTGTGGGTTTTACATTTAAGTCTTAATGCATCTTGAATTAATTTTTGTATATGGTATAGGGAAGGGGTCTAGTTTCAGTCTTCTACATAAGGCTAGCCAGTTATCCCAGCACCGTTTATTGAATAGGGAATTTTTTTTCCCATTTCTTGTTTTTGTCAGGTTTGTTGAAGATCAGATAGTTGTAGGTGTGTGGCCTTATTTCTGGATTCTCTATTCTGTTCCTCTGGTCTATGGGTCTATTTTTGTACCAGTACCATGCTGTTTTGTTTACTGTAGCACTGTAGTATAGTTTGAAGTTGGGAAACATGATGCCTCTAGCTTTGTTCTTTTTGCTTAGGATTTCCTTGGATATTTGAGCTCTTTTTTGGTTCCATATACATTTTAAAATATTTTTTTTTTAGTTCTGTGAAGAATGTCAATGGTAGTTTAATAGGAATAGCTAACAATCATATGAAGAAAAGTTTTTCTTCATATGATTATAAGAATGGCTATTATTAAAAAGTCAAAAAATGACAGATGCCTGTGAGGTTGCAGAGAAAAAGGAATGGTGTACCCTGTTGGTGGGAGTGTAAATTCATTCAACCATTGTTGAAGACAGTGTGGTGATTCCTCAAATATTTAAAAACAGAAATTCCATTCTACCCAGTAATCCCATTACTGGTTATATACCCAAAGGAATATAAATTATTCTATTATAAAGACACATGCACGTGTATGTTCATTGCAGCACTATTGACAATGGCAAAGACATGGAACCAACCTAAATACCCATCAATGGTAGATGGGATAAAGAAAATATGGTACATATATGGTACATATACACCATGGAACACTGCGCTGCCAGAAAGAACAAGATCACGTCCCTTTCAGCAACATGGATGGAGCTGAAGGCCATTATTCTAAGCATACTAATGCAGGAACAGAAAACCAAATACCACATGTTTTCACTTTAAGTGGAAGCTAAATGATGAGAATACATAGACACATAGAATGGAACAACAAACACATGGACACATAGAGTGGAACAACAGACACTGGGCCTGAGGGTGGAGTGTGGGAGGAGGGAGAGGATCAGAAAACATAAGTAATGGGTGTTAGGCTTAATACTTGGGTGATGAAATAATACGTACAACAAACCCCCATGACACAAGTTTACCTATATAAGAAACTTGCATATATACCCCTGAACTTAAAATTTAAATTTAAAAAGTGATCTTCTTTATCTCTGTTAATATTCTTGTTATGATATTAAAACAATCCCTCCAACCTTCTTGTATTTTTTTTTCCCATAGATTACTGGGGTACAGGTGGAGTTTGATTACATGAGTAAGTTATTTAGTGGTGGTTTGTGAGATTTTGGTGCATCCATCATCCGAGCAGTACACACTGCACCCTGTTTGTAGTCTTATCCCTCACCCTCCTCCTACCATTTCCCCCAAGTCTCCAAAGTCCATTGTATCATTCTTATGCTTTTGCATCCCCATAGCTTAGCTCCCACATATCAGTGAGAACATACAATGTTTGGTTTTCCATTCCTGAGTTACTTCACTTAAAATAATAGTCTCCAATCTCATTCAAGTCACTGTGAATGCTGTTAATTCATTTCTTTTTATGGCAGAGTTAATATTCCATCATATATATATACTACAGTTTCTTCATCCACTCATTGATTGCTTGGCATTTGGGTTGGTTCCATGATTTTGCAATTGCTAATTGTGCTGCTATAAGCATGCATGTGCAAGTACCTTTTTTGTATAATGACTTATTTTCCTCTAAACAGATACCCAGTAGTGGGATTGCTGGATCAAATGGTAGTTCTACTTTTAGCTCTTTAAGGAATCTCCACACTCTTTTCCACGGTGTTTGCACTAGTTTACATTCACACTAGCAGTGTAGAAGTGTTCCTTGATCACTGCATTAACGCCAACATCTACCATTTTTTGATTTTTTTATTTTGGCCATTCTTGCAGGAGTAAAGTGGTATCGCATTGTGGTTTTGATTTGCGCTTCCCTGATTATTAGTGATGTTGAGCATTTTTTCATGTTTGTTGACCATTTGTATGTCTTCTTTTGAGACTTGTCTATTCATGCCCTTAGCCCACTTTTCAGTGGGATTGTTTGTTTTTTGTTACTAATTTGAGTTTCTTGTAGATTCTGGATATTAGTCCTTTGTCAGATGTATAGATTGTGAAGATTTTCTCCCACTCTGTGCGTTGTCTGTTTACTCTGCTGGCTGTTCCTTTTGCAGTGCAAAAGCTCTTTAGTTTAATTAAGTCCCAGCTATTTATCTTTGTTTTTATTGCATTTGCTTTTGGGTTCTTAATCATGAAATCCTTGCCTAAGCCAATGCCTAGAAGGGTTTTTCCAATGCTATATTCTAGAATTTTTATAGTTTCAGGTCTTAGATTTAAGTCCTTGATCCATCTTGAATTGATTTTTGTGTAAGGTGAGAGATGAGGATTCAATTTCATTCTCCTACATGTGGCTAGCCAATTATCCCAGCACCATTTGTTAAAAAGGCTGTCCTTTCCCCACTTTATGTTTTTGTTTGCTTTGTCAAAGACCAGTTGGCTGTAAGTATTTGCCTTTATTTCTGGGTTCTCTATTCTGTTCCGTTGGTCTATGTGCCTATTTTTATACCAGGGTCATGCTGTTTTGGTGACTATGGCCTTATAGTATAGTTTGAAATCAGGTGGTGTTATGCCTTCAGATTTTTTCTTTTTGCTTAGTCTTGCTTTGGCTATGTGGGCTCTTTTTTGGTTCCATATGAATTTTAGAATTGTTTTTTCCTATTCTGTAAAGAATGGTAGTGGTATTTTGATGGGGATTGGGTTGAATTTGCACATTGCTTTTGGCAGTATGATCATTTTCACAATACTGATTCTACCCATCCATGAGCATGGGATGTATTTCCATTTGTTTCTGTCATCTATGATTTCCTTCAGCAGTGTTTTGTAGTTTTCCTTGTAGAGGTCTTTCACCTCCTTGGTTAGGTATATTCCTAGGTATTTTATTATTTTTGAAACTGTTGTGAAAGGGGTTGAGTTCTTGATTTGATTCTCTACTTGGCCACTGTTGGCATATGGAAGAGCTACTGATTTGTGTACATTAACCTTGTACCCGGAAACTTTGCTGAATTCACGTATCAGTTCTAGGAGCTTTCTTGAGGAGTCTTTAGGGTTTTTAAGGTAAACGATCATATCATCAGCAAACAGGGAGGGACAGTTTGACTTCCTCTTTACCAACTTGGATGCCCTTTATTTCTTTCTCTTCTCTGATTGCTCTGACTAGGGCTTCTAGTACTATGTTGAGGAGGAGTGGTGAGAGTGGGTATCCTTTTCTCGTTCCAGTTCTCAGAGGGAATGCCTTCAACTTTTCCCCATTCAGTATTATGTTGGCTGTGTGGTTTGTCATAGATGGCTTTTATTTCATTGAGGTATGTCCATTGTATGTTGATTTTGCTGAGAGTTTTAATAATAAAACGATGCTGGATTTTTTTGAATGCTTTTTCTACATTTATTGATATAATCATGTGTGTGTTTTTTTGTTTTTAATTCTGTTTATGTTGTATATCACATTTATTGATTTACATATTTGAAAGCATTCCTGCATCCCTGGTATGAAACCCACTTGATCATGGTGGATTATCTTTTTGATATGCTGTTGGATTCAGTTAGCTAGTATTTTGTTAAGGATTTCAACATCTATGTTCATCAGGGATATTGGTCTGCAGTTTTCTTTTTTGGTTATGTTCTTTCCTCGTTTGGGTATTAGGGTGATGCTGGCTTCATAGAATGAATTAGGGAGGGTTCCCTCTTTCTCTACCTTGTGGAATAGTGTCAAAAGATTGGTACCAATTATTATTTGAATGTCTGGTAGAATTCTGCTGTGAATCTATCTGGACGTGGACTTTTATTTGTTGGTAATTTTTAAATGACCATTTCAATCCCACTGCTTACTATTGGTCTGTTCAGAGTATCTATTTCTTCCTGATTTAAGCCAGGAGGGTTGTATATTTCCAGGAATTTATTCATCTCTAGGTTTTCTAGTTTATGCATGTAAAGGTGTTCATGGTAGCCTTGAATGATCTTTTGTAATTCTGTGGTATCAGTTGTGATATCTCCCATTTTGTTTCTAATTGAGCTTATTTGGATCTTCTCTCTTCTTTTCTTGGCTAATCTCACTAACGGTGTATCAATTTTTTTTTTACCTCTTCAAAGAACAAGCTTTTTGTTTCATTTATATTTTGTATTTTTTTGTTTCAGTTTTATTTAGTTCCGCTCTGATCTTTGTTATTTCCATTCTTCTGCTGGGTTTTGGTTTGGTTTATTCTTGTTTCTCTAGTTCCTTGAGCTGTGACCTTAGAATGCCAATTTTTGCTCTTTCAGCCTTTTTGATGTAGGTGTTTATGGCTATGAACTTTCCTCTTAGCACCATCTTTGCTGTATCCCAGAGGTTTTGATAGGTTTTCTCATTATTGTCATTTAGTTTGAAGAATTTTTAAATTTCCACCTTGATTTCGTTTTTGGCCCAATGATCATTCAGGAGCAGGTTATTTAATTTCCATGTATTTGCATGGTTTTGAGGGTTCCTTTTGGAGTTGATTTCCAGTTTTATTCCACTATCATCTGAGAGCATGCTTGATATAATTTCAATTTTCTTAAATTTATTGAGGCTTGTTTTGTGGCCTATCCTATGTTCTGTCTTGGAGAAAGTTCCATGTGCTGTTGAATAGAATGTGTATTCTGTGGTTGTTGGATGAAATGTTCTGTAGGTATCTGTTAAGTCCATTCGTTCCAAGTGTAGTTTAAATCCATTGTTTCTTTGTTGACTTTCTGTCTTGATGACCTGTCTAGTGCTGTCAGTGGAGTATTGAAATCCCCCACTATTATTGTGTTGCTGTCTGTCTCATTTCTTAGGTCTACTAGTAATTGTTTTATAAATTTGAGAGCTTCAGTGTTAGGTGTATATATGTTTAAGATTGTGATATTTTCCTGTTGGACAAGGACTTTTATCACTATATAATGTCCCTCTTTGTCTTTTTAAATTGCTGTTGCATTAAAGTTTGTTTGTCTGATATAAGCATAGCCACCACTGCTTGCTTCTGGTGTCCATTTGCATGAAATGCCTTTTTCCACCCCATTAAATTTATGTGAGTCCTTATGTGTCAGGTGAGTTTCCTGAAGACAGCAGATAGTTGGTTGGTGAGTTCTTATCCATTCTGCTGTTCTGTATCTTTTAAGTGGAGCATTGAAGCCATTTACATTAAATATTAGTGTTGAGATGTGAGGATCCATTCCAATCATCATGCTGTTTGTTGCCTGTTTACCTTGATATTTTTGGTTTTTGTTTTTGCTTTTTAAATTGTATTTTTGTTTAATAGGTCCTGTGTGCTTTATGCTTTAAAGATGTTCTGTTTTGATATCTTTCCAGGATTTGTTTCATGATTTAGAGCTCCTTTTAGCAATTTTTGTAATGGTAGCTACAAGAATTCTCTCAGCATTTGTTTGTCTGAAAAAGACTGGATCTTTCCTTCATGTATGATGCTTAGTTTTGCTGGATACAAAATTCTTGGCTGATAATTGTTTTGTTTGAGTAGGCTGAAGATAGGGCCCCAAACCCTTCTAGCTTGTAGGGTTTCTGCTGAGAAATCTGCTGTTAATCTGATAGGTTTTCCTTTATGGGTTACCTGGTACTTTTGTCTCACAGCTCTTAAGATTCTTTCCTTCAATTAACTTTAGATAACCTGATGACTATGTGCCTAGGTGATGATCTTTTGTGATGAATTTCCCAGGTGATCTTCATGTTTCTTGTATTTGGGTGTCTAGGTCTCTAGCAAGGCTGGGGAAGTTTTCCTCAATTATTCCCCCAAATACATTTTCCAAGCTTTTAGATATCACTTCTTCCTCAGGAACACTGATTATTCTTAGGTTTGGTGGTTTAACACAATCCCAGACTTGGAGGCTTTGTTCATATTTTCTTATTCTTTTTTCTTTGACTTTATTGGATTGGGTTAATTTGAAGACCTTTTCTTTGAGCTCTGAATTTCTTTCTTCTACTTGTTCAATTCTATTACTGAGACTTACGAGGGCATTTTGCATTTCTATAAGTGTGTTCAATGTTTCCTGAAGTTTTGATTGTTTTTTCTTTATGCTATCTATTTCCTTGAATATTTCTCCCTTCACTTCTTGTATTGTTTTTTGGATTTCCTTGCATTGGGCTTTGCTTTTCTCTGGTATCTCCCTGATTAGCTTAATAACCTCCTCAATTCTTTTTCAGGTAAATCAGAGATTTCTTTTGATTTGGATCCATTGCTGGTGAGCTAGTGTGATTGAGGAGGGGGAATGTTAAAGAGCCTTGTTTTGTCATATCACCAGAGTTTGTTTTCTAGTTCCTTCTCATTTGGATAGTCTCTGTCCAAGGGAAGGTCTATGGCTGAAGACTGTTCAGATTCTTTTGTCCCTTGGGGTGTTCCCTTGATATAGTACTCTCCCCCTTTTCCTATGGATGTGGCTTCTTGAGAGCCAAGCTGCAGTGATTGTTACCTCTCTTCTGTTATCTCTCTAGCCACCCACCAAGTCTACCAGGCTCTGAGCTTGTACTGGGGGTTTTCTGCACAAAATCCTGTGATGTGAACCATCTATGGATCTCTCAGCCATGGATATCAGCACCTGTTCCAGTGGAGGTGGCAGGGAGGTGAAATGGACTCTGTGAGCATTCTTAGCTTTGGTGGTTTAATGTTCTGTTTTTGTGCTGGTTGGCCTCATGCCAAAAGGTGGCACTTTCCAGAGAGCATCACCTATAATCGTATGGAGAAGAACTGGTGGTGGGCAGGGCCCTAGAACTCCCAAGTGCATTGCCTTTTGTCTTCAGCTACCAGGGTGAGTAGGGAAGGGCTATCAGGTGAGGGCAGGGATAGGTGCGTCTGAGCTCAGACTCTCCTTGGGTGGGACTTGCTGTGGCTGCTGTGGGGGGTGGGGGTGAGGTTCCCAGGCCAATGGAGTTGTGTACCTAGGAGGACTGTGACTGCCTCTGCTGAGTCATGCAGGTTGTTAGGGAAGTGGGGGAAAGCTGGCAATCACAGCCATCACCCAGCTCTCACGCAGTCCAAAGGGCTGGTCCCACTCCCACTGTGCCCCCCCACCCCCAACAGCATCAAGTATGTTTCTAGGCAGTGGGCAAGTAGGGCTTGAGAACTTGCCCCAGGCTACCTACCTCTCAGCTGCAAAAGAAAAGGGCTTTGGTTCTTCCCCCACCTATGGAGTCTGCATGTTGGATTCATGCCCTCCCTGAGTTCTGGCCAGGAGGCTTCTTGCCCCATTCAAATTGTTACAAAGTTCAGCTGGAGACTTCTTCCTCCCTGTATCATTTTCCCCATGCCTCTGGCCACCCTCCTGAAGGATCCTTGTGGTGCCAGGAAGGAATGGCCTGCTTGGGGACCCTGCGAGAGTTCCCAGGGCCTTTCCCACTGCTTCCTCTGCCACTGTATTTTTCTCAGCATTCTAAGTTGACTCAGCTCCAGATAAGGTCAGAAACTTCTCCCACAAACTACACCTTCAGTTTCCATAGTGGGGATGTACACTTGAGAGTGAAGGATCTCCCTTTCCCACTTTTGCAGTTTGGGCACTCACAGTATTTGGGGTGTCTCCCAGGTCATTCAGGAGCAATCCACTTCCTTCAGAGGGTCTTTGGGTCCTCTTGGGATTCCTGGTTTGTTCTTGCAGTTGTTCAGGAGCTAAAATTCACAATGTGAACCTCCACATGCTGCTCTGTCCATCTGAGTCAGAGCTGCAATCTAGTCCTACTTCCCATCTGCCATGATGATAGATGATTATCACACTCACACTAATCAAAAGAAGGTCAAGTCCCTCTGACCTTCTTTTGATTAGTGTGAGTGTGGTAATCTTTTTCCATCATTTTACTCTTAAGCTATTTGTGTCCTCATATTTGAAGTATATTCCTTGTAGTCAGCATACAGTTGGGTCTTACTTTTTATCCAATGTCATAATCTCTGCCTTCTAGTTAGGGCACTTTGACCACTTATATTTAATGTGATTATTAAGATGGTTAGGTTTGGGTCTATTATATTATTTGTTCTCTATTTGTTCCCTATGCATCCCCCTTCTCCCACCTTTTCCCCCTATATTTGCCACCTTTTGGAATATTTGAATAGATTTTATTATTTCATTTTATCTAATTTTTTGGATTATTAGCTACATCTATTTTTTATTTTAGTATTTGTTTTAAGGTAAATAATATACTTCTTTAACTTATCAGAGTCTACCTTCACTTCATATATAATAGAAGAAATTTATGATAGTGTATTACTTCCCTTCTGAACTTTATGCTATTTTAGTCATCTATTTTACTTTTACAGATGTTTAAAACTGTAATAAACTAAATATCACAATGTATCATTTGTGTCTAAGCAGCTAATTATTGTTAAAAGTGACTTAAATAATAATATATATATATTTACCTATGTAGTTACAATTTCCATTGTTCTTAATTCTTTTTTACAGATCTGTATTTCCATCTGGTATTACTTTCCTTCTGCCTGAAGGACTTCTTTTAACATTTATTATAGTGCAAATCTGCTGTAAAAGAAAAGCTGTAACATTCTTTTAGTGTGAAAAAATATTTAGCCTTAATTTTTGAAAGCTATTTTCACTGATTATAAAATTCTAGGTTGATAGTGTTTTTTTTTAGTATTTTGAAGTGTGACATCACTGTCTTCTCAACTTGCATTGTTTCCAATAAGATGTCTGTTTTCTTTTTTTTTTTTTTAAGATGGAGTCTTGCTCTGTCGCCTAGGCTGGAGTGCAGTGGTGCGATCTTGGCTCACTGTGAGCTCTGCCTCCTGGGTTCACGCCATTCTCCTGCCTCAGCCTCCAGAGTAGCTGGGACTACAGGCGCCTGCCACCACGCCTGGCTAATTTTTTTGTATTTTTAGTAGAGATGGGGTTTCACCACATTAGCCAGGATGGTCTTGATCTCCTGACCTTGTGATCCACCCGCCTCGGCCTCCCAAAGTGCTGGGATTACTGGCTTGAGCCACCATGCCTGGCTTGTTTTCTTTTTTATCTTTGTTCCTCAGCCATTAATGTCTTTTATTCCTCTGGTTGCCTTTAGGATTCTCTATCATTGGTTTTGAGCAGGTTTCTTATTCAATGTGGTGTAATTTTCTTTAATTTTTTGTGCTTGGGTTTTGTTGACTTCCTTGGATCTGTGTCTTATTGTATTTCTCAAATTTGGGAACATTTCAGTCATTTTGTTCTGTAAATATTTATTATAACATTTTTTTCTCACCACTCCTCCCTCTCTGTCTCTGTCTCTGTCTCTGTCTCTCTGTCTGGGTATTCTAGTTTTAAAAATATTAAGCTGCTTGAAGGTATCCCATAGCTCACTGCTGTTTTATTTTTAATTCTTTTTTTCCTGTGTGTTTCATTTTGAATAGTTTTTGTTGCTCTGTCTTTATAGTTTACTGATCTTTTCTTTTGCCATCTCTAATCTGCTATTTCCAACTAGTGTGTTTTTATGTTAAACATTGTCATTTTCTTCTCTAGAAGTTTTCTTTAAGCTTTTTTCATAGAAATATCTCTAGTTACTTTTTGACTTATATAGAGTACAGCCATAATAACTGGTGGTTCCATGTCCTTGTCTGCTAACTCTAGCATCTGTGTCAATTCTGGGTTATTTTCAATTACTTGGCTTATCTCCTCATTATGAGTTATATTTTCTTGCTTCCTTTTATGGCCAGTAATTTATTTTTGTTGTTGAATGCCAAACATTGTGAATTTTATCTTGTTGACTGCTGGGTATTTTTGTATTTCTATAAATACTCTTGGGCTTATATACTCTGGAATATAGTTAAGTTACTTGGAAACAGTTTAATTTTTTTCTGTCTGGTTTTAAGTTTTGTTAGGCAGGATTGGAACAGTTATCAGTATAGGACTAATTATTCCATACCACTGAAGCAACAACCTGTTTGACCTACACATTGACCTTTGAATCTTGAGGTCTTCCATTCTGGGTATTAAGAATAGGTGCTATTTTTGGCCCTATGTGGATGCTGGATGCTGTCACTTCTAGTCCTTTTAGACAGTTCCCCCAACCCAGTCTTAGGTAGTTTTCTTATACATTTTCAATATTCAGTTGAATATTCAAGGGGTATATTTGCACATATCCAAAGTGCTCACACTTTCATTCTCTCTCTTTGTAGCTCTTTCTCTCTGGTATTCTGTCCTTAGAATTCTACCAGCTTAATCTCACCAGACTCTGCTTTCTCCTTCCAGCTCAAGGAGTCCACTAGGCTCCACTCTGCACCAGAGCCTAGAAGCTTTCTCAGGTTTCTCAGGTAGTAAGCTTGGGATAATCAATGCTTACCTAATGTTTTTCCCATGTCTCCAAGATTATTGTCCTTCCTTTTTTTTCTATGTGAAGTGCCCTGTAGAACATTGTTTTATATACTTTGTCCATTTTTGGCTATTTTAAATGGGAGAGTATCATGATCTGTTATTCCATCTTAGCCAGAAGTGGAGGTCTCAGATATTCTCAGTAAGTGTGGGATTGGGCTCAACGAAATGACTCTGAGGAGCGATCAAACTTGAGAGCCACTGCTTCAGGTAAAGAACCACCTTAGTAAAAATGATATTTTCATTTCCATAATCAAACAAGTAACACAATATAGGCAAGCTTTATTTTCCTTCCTCAATTATCCAATATTAGAAGCGATTTCCTTTCTGCTGCTATGGCCCTTTGTTTAGTCTAGAGAATAATCAGTCTTATATCCTTCCCTTTCAATGCTAAGATCCCAGGAAGTGCTTTTTTCATTGCCCACTTTGTTCTCTAAGTTACTGCTTTTCTCCCTCACATATAGTTATGGTAAAAACTCACCATAACTCTTTGAGGAAGATAGGTGTCGGTTATATGTTGCTGTATTTTGCAGACTGAACAACTGATGCCACAGGGTTAGTAAATAGCACAGGTCCTGCTATAGTTTTGATATTTGACCCTCCAAACCTCGTGTTGAAATTCAATACTCAATATTAGAAGTGAGCCTAATGGGAAGTGTTTGGGTAATAGGGGCAGATTCCTCATGAACGTCTTGGTGCCATCCTCACAGTAATGAATGAGTTATTGCTCCATTAGTTCTCATGAGAGAGAGTTGTTATAAAGATCCTGACACCCCCCTCCCATCTCTCTTGCCTCCTCTCTCACCATCTGCTCTCTGCACAAGCCAGCTCCCTTTTGTCTTCCACCATAAGTGGAAGCAGCCTGAGGCCCACACCAGAAGCAGATACTGACATTATGCTCTTTGTACAGCCTGCAGAACCATGATCCAAATAAGCCTTTTTTCTTTACAAATCACCCAGCCTCAGGTATTCCTTCATGGCAACAAATGGACTAAGAGGCTGAACCCCAATTAGAGGCAGATATAACAAGGAAATCTCTGACTTCCCGGGGGAGTTCATAGATTTTATCAGAGGAAGGTATGCAGCCCTTGAGGGAAGACTCACTATAGCCAACTGCAGCTTGAGACCTGGAAACTAATGTCCTTTGTAATTTTGCCCAGGTGAGTATTGCTACAAAAGCTATTCTTATCCTCAGGCTCTAATTTGAGATGAAAGCCTAGTGGTTTTTCTGTCTAGTTCACCACTTTAGCTGTCACTTCCCCATCTGAAATTACAGTTAGAGATTTTTTTCACCTTGACTGAATTTGTGGGTAAAAAGCGTACCCCAAAAGAGCTTCATAATCTCCTCATTGTCCCACATTCCAGATTCAGGGGATTCCATTGGAGAAGGTGTGACTCATTCAGGCTAATATTTAAATTAAATGTTTATGTAATATATATTAAATGTTTATTAGACCTTTTTTTATAAATGAGGACACTTAGACCCTGATGAATTATATGGCTATGCCTGTTCAGAGAAAGCTCTATGTTATGCAGAATTAAGTGCTTGCTTAAGACCTTGAAGTTGCAAAACATTAATCTCTGGCTTCACATTAGACTGCAACACAAGGTAAAATAAAAAATACCCCTAAGTGGGTGTTTCAGACACTATTATATAAAACTGCTAGAGGGGTTACCAAACTCCACCCCCTTATGAAAGGAATTCATTAACTGCTGGTCAGATCAAGTGGAGCACAGTCAAGTTAAGCTATGCTGAACTCAGCAATATATGGAATAATTTCTAATTCTACTAGTCAGAGTTGTTTGTTGTTGTTTTCAAGCTATCAGAACTTTGATAACTAAAATGAATCTAGTTATTTTGTATGTATTAAGCACCATATATAATTTTTAAAAACTGAAGTATCTATAAGGTAAACTTAAATAAAAAACAAGCCTATGTTCATCATAAGTATGTCTATAAGTAGAAATGTGCAAAGGACAGAAAACTTGAATCAAGTTATGCAAAAACACAAAGAAGGAGGCGGTCTTTAGAGGAATGTTTTGCCTCCTGTGTGAGTTTTGTCTAGGACTTGACTACTTCAAGTTACCTCTAATATGTGACTAGAAAGTTCAGAGCTAGAATTATCAGTTCTTGGTACTTAGTTGGGTGGCTGCCAAATACACACTGAATGAATTAATGAAAGAAGAAAGGAATGAGACTCTTCTGTCTGGTTTCTGCCTGAATCCCTGGACTCCTCACCTGTCTCCTCCACTGTTACCATCCTTTAGATTCCCTGTTCCTCTTGTTTTGTCTGAGTCATGACCACTCATTCTTGCTTTCAGGTCTTTACACAAGCTGTTAGCTTTGGCTAAACAATTCTTCCCCAGATCTCAGATCAGCTGGAGCACAGTCAAGTTTAGCTATACTGAACTCAGCAATATATGGAATAACTTCTAGTTATTCTTTCTTGTTGACCTTTCCTAGCTTCCAAATCTAAAATGGTTCATTAGTCACCATATCACATAACTCTCCTGATTTTCACCTTAGTATTTTCACCACCTAGTATTTTTTCTATATATTTCTCTATCTCCTTTACTAAAACACAAGCTCTATAATAACTGATGTTTATATAGACCTTCTAACCTTGCACCATTCTAAGTACTTTACATATTATTTTTTTCCTCAGCTTTTATTTTAGGTTTGGGGGGTACACGTGCAGGTTTGTTACATGGGTAAGTTGCATGTTGCTGGGGTTTGGTGTACAAATGATTTCATCACCCAGGTAGTGAGCATAGTATCCAATAGGTAGGTTTGTTTTTTTTTAAATCTTTACCCTCCCCTCACTCAAAGTAGGCCTCAGGGTCTGTTGTTCCCATTTTTATGTCCATATGCACTCAAGGTTTAGCTCCCACTTATAAGTGAGAACATGTGATATTTGGTTTTCTGTTCCTGTGTTAGTTTGCTTAAGATAACGGCCTTCAGCTGCATACATGTTGCTGCAAATAACATGATTTTATTTTTTATGGCTGTATAGTATTCCATGGTGTATACATACCACATTTTCTTTATCCAGTCCATTGTTGGTGGGCATTTAAGTTGATTCCATGTATTTGCTATTGTGGATAGTGTTGTGATGAACATACATGTGCATATGTCTTTTTGCTAGAACGGTTTATATTCCTTTGGGTATATACCAAGTAATGGGATTGCTGGGTCAAATGAGAGTTATTTTTTAAATTATTTGAGAACTCTCCAAACTGCTTTCCACAGTTGCTGAACTAATTTACATTTCCAATAGCAGTGTATAAACATTCCCTTTTCTCTGAAGCCTCATCAACATCTGTAGTTTTTTGAACTTTTAATAATAGCCAGTCTGACTGGTGTGAGATGGTATCTCATTATGGTTTTGACTTGAATTTATCTAGTGATTAGTGATGTTGAGCATTTTTTCACATGCTCATTGACCATGTGTATATCTTCTTTTGAGAAGGGTTTTTTCATATCCTTTGTCTTTTTTTTTTTAATGGGGTCGTTTTTTGGTTGTTGGTTTAAGTTCTTTATAGATTCTAGATATTAGGCCTTTGTTGGATGCATAGTTTGTGAATAATTTCTCCCATTCTATAGGTTCTCTTTATTCTGTTTCTTTTGCTATGCAGAAGCTCTTCCATTTTAATTATGACTCACTTGTCAATTTTTTGTTGTTGCAATTGCTTTTGGAGACTTCTTGAAATCTTTGCCAAGGCCTATGTCCAGAATGGTATTTCCTAAGTTTTCTTCTAATGTTTTTATAGTTTTAGGTCTTACATTTAAGTCTTTACTTCATTTTGGGTTGATTTTTTTATATGGTGAAAGGAAGGAGTCCAGTTTCAATCTTCTGCATATAGCTAGACAGTTATCCCAGCACCATTTATTGAATAGGGAGTCTTTTCCCTATTGCTTGCTATTGTTGAGTTTGTTGAAGATCAGATGGTTGGTTTTAAGTGTGTGGTTTTGTTTCTGGGGTTGCTAACCTATTCCATTGTTCTATGTATCTGTTTTTGTACCAGAACTATGCTGTTTTGGTTACTATAGACTTGTAGTGTAGTTTGAAGTCAGGTAGTGTGATGCCTCCAGCTTTGTTCATTTTGCTTAGGATTGCTTTGGCTATTCGGGCTCTTTTTTGGTTCCATGTGAATGTTAGAGTAGTTTTTTTAAAATTCTGTGAAAAAATGACATTGTTATGCTTAATAGGAATAGCATTGAATCTGTAAATTGCTTTGGGCAGTATGACCATCTTAACAATACTGATTCTTCTTGTCTACAAGCATGGAATGTTTTTCCATTTGTTTGTGTTGTCTCTGATTTCTTTCAGCAGTGTTTTGTAAATCTCATGGTATTTAAATATAACAACATGTTTAATCCTAACTACAATGCTATGAGATTAATATACTATTATTATCCTCATTTTACAGATGATGAAACTGAGGCAAAGTTGCTGATGAAATGGAGGCAGGGAGAAATTAGACAGCCTGTTAGTAAATGGCAGGGCAGGGCTTCAAACCAGGCAGTCTGACTCCAGAGCCTGTGCTCTTAACCACTCTCTTTGCCACCTCCTGCACAGAGTTGGGGACTGCTAGTCAGGGCCCTCTAAGAAGCAGACATCAAGATGGGGTTAGAGATGTGATATAGTTTAGATGTCTGTTACCTCCAAATCACATGTTGAAATGTAATCTCCAATGTTGGAGGTAGGGCCTGGTGGGAGATGTTTGGGTGTGGCTGTGGATCCCTCATGAATGTCTTGGTGCTGTCTTCATGATAGTGAGTGAGTTCTCATGAGACCTGGTTGTTTAAAAGTGTGTAGCACCTCCCCACTTCTCTTGCTCCTGCTCTCACCATGTGAGATGCCTGCTCCCTTTTTACCTTCTCCCATGATTGTAAGCTTCTTGAGGCCCTCACTGAAGAAAAGATGCTAGAGCCATGCCTATAAAGCCTACAAAACCTTGGGCCAATTAAAAATCTTCTCTTTATAAATTACCCAGCCTCAGGTATTTCTTTATATCAACACAAAAATGGCCTAATACAAGACACAATAGACATACTGGGGGAAACACCAGTAAGGGAATATGGGGAAGAAACCAGAGAAAGCTGGAAAACAGGTTAGACTATACTGGAGTTCTGACTCTTGTGAAGGAGGGAAAGTAAGAAAGACAGACCATGGATTGCAGTATAATTTTAAGAAAGTTTCTGGAAGGCCAAGGAGTCCCTAAGCCAAAGTCATTCATTATAGGAAGCCTACGTCTTTCAGGACCTGGCCTATCCTAGTACCTCAGCCATGTTCAGTTAACAGCTGGAAGCAGATTATGGGAAGTGTAGCCTTGGCAGGAATATTGTGACAGATTTCAGAACACAACAGCTAGGGGTGTCAGTGACATTCCCTGAAATAGGAGATCTGAGAGGTGCATTTTCATGGTAGCCACAGGGACATTGTCTTGTTCACTACCATATCTCCAGTGCATATACCAGCATTTTACACATGGCCAGCACTCAAATATTTGTCAACTAAACAAATTTACATATTCCTTGGATTATGCAAAAAGTACTCAATGGTTGACTATCTGTGAAAAAATAAATGAATAAATAAACACAAAAAATAAAAACAAGTCTCTTAACTCCTTCACAATTTTCCCACCACCATTGCTGCTCTGGTGGAAAGTGAGAGTGAGCAAACTGGGCTTAGGATCACAGGAGATAAAGTTTATCTGCTTCACTCTTTCTTCCTGGTGATGCCCCACTTAGACAGTGATTTACGAAGACAAGTAGCTTCCCCCAAGGAAAAGAATGAGACTTGGCTGTTGTTTGGGCAGGTACATTTACAGACACTTCAGACCTGCACATTTCAAGCACTTAATCCATGTGAAATAATGATACTTCACCCTCCTGAATCCATTCCAAGCTGGCTAGATATATCGCTTTGTGTAATGTTTCACAGAAGCTTCAGATTGGGGCTCTAAGGCTCGTGAGTTCGTTTTTTTCTTGGCTTAAAACAACAAAAATTTATTTTTACAGTTCTGGAGGCTAGATGTCTGAAATCAAGCTGTCAGCTGGGCTGTGTTCCCCTAGGGCTCTAAAGGAGAATCCCTTCTTGCCTCTCCCCAGCTGCTGGTGGCTGTTAACAGTCCTTGCTTGGCATTCCTGGACTGCATCATTCTAGTCTCTGCCTCTGTTGTCACATGGTGTCTTCTCTGTGTCTTTCATCTCTGTATCCAAATTTCCTCCTTGTTTTTTCTTAAATTTTATTTTTAAATTGTGGACAAAATACTTAATATAAAATTTACCATTTAACTATTTTTTTAGTGAATAGTTCAGTGGCGTTAAGTATATTTACATTGTTGTACAACCACCACCATCTATCTCCAGAACATTTTTTCATCTTCTCAAACCGAGACTCTATACGAATTAAACAGTAATTCCTCATTGTCTCCTCTCAGCCCCTAGAAACCACCATTCTACTCTCTGGCTCTATGAGTTTGACTACTTTAAGTATCTCATGTAAGTGGAGTCATTTGCCTGTCATAAGTGGTTTATTTTACTTAATGTAATGTCCTCAAAGTTTATATTTTAGCATGTTGTCAGAATTTCCTTCATTTTTAAGACTAAACAATATTCCATTGTATGTTGTATTAGTCTGCTAGGGCTGCCATAACAAAATGCCACAGACTGGGTGGCTTAAAAAACAGAAATTTATTTTCTCAAAGTTCTGGAGGCTGGAAGTCCTAGATCAAGGTGTTGGCAGGTTTGGTTTCATTTGATGCCTGTCTCGTTGGCTTGAAGATGGCTACTTTCTCACTGTGTCCTCACATGGTCACCCCTTAGTCTGTGTTTTCTGTGCCCTAATATCTTCCTATAAGCATACCAATCACATGGCATAGGGGCCCACCCATAGAATCTCACTTTATCTTAATTACCTCTTTAAAGGCTCTATCTCCAAATAGTCACATTCTGAGGTACTGGGGGACTTTAACATAGGAATTTTAGGAAGATGCAAATTCAGCCTATTGTATATGGTACAGTTATCAAAATCAGGAAATTAACATCGATACGATTTTATTATGTATTTACCAGACCTTGTTCAAATGTTGCCAATTATCCTATCTCATTTTCCTGATCCAGGATCCAATCTGAGATCACACAGTGCATTTAGTGGTTGTCTTGTCTCTTTAGTCTTCTTTAATCTGAAACAGTTCCTTGATCTTTCTTGTTTTACTTTAACATTTTTCAAGAATACTGTTCAAAATATTATGCAATATTCCTCAATTTATATGATGTTTCCTCATGATTGGATTCAGAAAAGTCATTTTTTTTCAAGAATTCAACAGAAGCGATATCATGTCCTCCTCAGTGTATCATATCAGGAGGCACACAATGTTGACTTGTCTCATTGCTGGTGACATTATCCTTGACAGTTGGTCAACACGGTGTCTGCCAAGCTCTTCCACTGTATTTCCCCTTTTAAATAAGTATCTTATGGTAAGATACTTTGAGACTATGTAAATACCTTTTTTTCTCATCATATTTTGTCTAATTATAGTTTCTATTGATGATTCTTGCCTAAATACCTGTTACTGAGGTATTTGATGAATGGTGAACTTCTCTTTTCAGCATTCCTTCTACATTTATTAATTGGAGTCTCATAAAAAAAGTGTTTTTCTTTCTTTACCATTTATTATTTATTTATATAAGCATGGACTCACAGATTCTTTTTATTCTATGAGTAATAATTCATCACCATTATTCATTTTGTTGCTCCAATTTTTCTGATCACCAGGAGCTCATTCAATTAGCTCCAGTGTCCTTTTGATATGGCCCTATCATTCATTGAGTGCTTTTAGATCTCTGGCACCCCAAGATGGTGGAGGCTTATCTTATACTTTCCCTGTCCTAGCCCTGGAGTGTGCCTTTTC
Source organism: Homo sapiens (assembly GCF_000001405.40). Classification (NCBI taxonomy): domain Eukaryota; kingdom Metazoa; phylum Chordata; class Mammalia; order Primates; family Hominidae; genus Homo; species Homo sapiens. The sequence goes on along the minus strand of NC_000001.11, from coordinate 181,861,377 downwards.
TTCAAGGAGTCCCGGCTTCTTTTACTGACAAATGATATTTTATTGAAAGCATTCCTTTTTTCTAGAGAATAAGTGTTAGGTTCATTCACTGATATGTAGGTATAATTGCTCCTAGTCCTCAGAAGACAGGCCTATGAAATACATGTATGAATATATACACACACACATATTCCTATAGCTATTTCTCTATCTAGATGCATTTTCAAACCTTGAGCTAGTACTGATAACTCCAGACAAGGTTTTTTCTAGCCTTCCCCTTTTCTTATTCACAATGCCCTTCCCTAACAAAAACCAACCTATTATTATTATTAATATCATAGGCTGATTCATAGAATACATGCAAAGTAGTTTCAGGATACGTAAGCCTGTGGAAAACAAACCTAACTAAAGTACAATATTTGTGCACAGTTTTTCTTTTGTCTTTGACCTTAAAAATTTATAGTCAAAATGATGTTTTTTAAAGTTAATTGGTTAGTTAGCTACAGGCACCACCCCTTCAGTGTGGTTATATTACAGTCACACACCACAATATGATATTTCAGTCAACAATGAACCACATACACATCAGTGATCCCATAAGGTTATAATACCATATTCTTACTGTGTCTTTCCTGTGTTTATATATGTTCGGTAGGCTATACCATCTGGGTGTGTGTAAGTACACTCTATGATGTTCATGCAAAGACAACATTACCATTTCTCAGAGCATATCCCCATTGTTAGGTGACACATGACTGTATTTGTAATGGAGTGTGGCTCATTCTTTTCTGTTATATCCTATTTGAGGTCTCCTTCCCCACTTTGTTAATTATTATATTTACTCCAAGTCTGTGAGAAATTACCATAGTTCTAAAAGTCATATATATATTTATTTATTTATTTATTTTTTTACTAGAGAAGTGTCACTCCCCCAGTCCCTTATACTCCATTCCCCTTCTTTTTCACCTGGTTTCTACCCACAGTCTGTAGGTAAACACTCTTATTAGTTTCTGGTTTGCCTTTTCTGTTTCATTTTTTCACAAATGAACAAAGTAATGTGTATTTTCTTTTTTTTTTTTTTTTTTTTTTTTTTTTTTTGAGACGGAGTCTCGCTCTGTCGCCCAGGCTGGAGTGCAGTGGCGGGATCTCGGCTCACTGCAAGCTCCGCCTCCCGGGTTCACGCCATTCTCCTGCCTCAGCCTCCCAAGTAGCTGGGACTACAGGCGCCCGCCACTACGCCCGGCTAATTTTTTTGTATTTTTAGTAGAGACGGGGTTTCACCGTTTTAGCCGGGATGGTCTCGATCTCCTGACCTCGTGATCCGCCCGCCTCGGCCTCCCAAAGTGCTGGGATTACAGGCGTGAGCCACCGCGCCCGGCCGTGTATTTTCTTATTCCTCCTTTCTTATACTCAAAGTAGCTTACTACTGGCACTTTTGTGTAGGTTGCTTCTATTCAACTAACATTCTATGCTAACAATTACTCTTTATCAGTTCATAGATAACTCATTCTTTTTACAGCTGTATAGTATTGCACTGTGTGGATGTACCATAGTTTATTCATCACTTTGCTATATTTTATTCTTTAAGTTATTTCAAATACTGAACAATTACAAACAATGCTGCCATAAGTAATATTGTACATGTGTATTTTCATATTGCTGAGGTTATATTTTTAGGGTAAATTCTTAAAACTACTTCTCACAATTGCTTCGACTATTTTGCTGGGCCAAGAGGTAACTGCATATATATATTTTAAATTATGTATTGCCAAATTCTCCTCCAAAAGAATTGTACTAATTTATATTCCCACCATCAATGTAAGAGGGAGCCATTTCCACATGGCATCACCAACGAAATGCCTTTTGTTGTAGTTTTCACCTTTCTGATAAATGAGAAATGGTATGTCAGTGTAATATAATTAGTATTAAATTAATTTGCATAAAATCTAATGAGTGAACATTTTTTCATATGCGTGAGGGTCATTTTGTATGTTTTTGTGAGTTGCCTATTCATGCCTTGCCTACCTTTATATCAGGATTCTAGTCTCTCCTCTTAATTTTTATGAGACATTTACATATTAGGGATATTAGCTTTTATCTCTGATATATGTTGCAAATATTTTCTCTTGGCTTTTCTCTTTTGACTTCAGTTATGGTGCTTTTTTTATCATGTAGTTTTTGGTTTATATACTAAATTTATCAGGAAGGTAGATTATTTCAAAACTGTACCCTACATGGTAGTTGAAAGAATTTCTAGGAAAGAGCTTGAGATAGAAAGTAATCCCTAATCTTCACTATTTAAATGACTGTCATGTTAAAGGAACAGACTTATTCTGTGTTTCTCCAAGGGAAAGCACTAGGTTAAGTGACTTGAAGTTAAAGGAAACACCTTCTGCCATTATGCAAAAAAAGGGCTTTCAAGTGACATGTGACCCTTGTATTCACAAATGGCTTGTTCTGTATGACTAGGAGAATTAAAAGTTTCTGTCATGATGTCTGTTATTTAAATGATTAAATATTAGCACTTGGTACAAAGTGAGATGCCGGTTAGCTGGAATAGTGAGCCTAAAATAAATTGTCAAGAGCTGGGGGTGGGGGGGTTATAGGAAATGTGACATTCAATAACAAAGCCAGACTAAGGTAGCAAAACCAAGGAAGTCCAGAGTTACACAAAGCAAGTCAGAATGCATAAATAGAAAGGAGGCTGGACCAGTTCTGGAAATGTGTGTTCATATCCTTTATGATTTACATGGGTTCCTGCTGCATGTCTGTCTAGGTGGGTTGAGTAAACCTAAACCATACCAATAGACACTTTGATTCATTTTCATATTCTATCAATATTTCTTGAGCATCTTTATGGCCCCAACACTGTCAGGGTGTTTGAAACATCGCAGAACAAGAAAAACATTTTCTGTTTCACAAGGCATGCAGTCTTAGCAACAGTTGCTTACCAGCTGTGAATCTGCCTACTGGAACTTTGTCCTGGGCCAAATTTTTGCACCTAGCACATAACAATATCAGGAAATGTCATTCCACGGAAATTCAGGTGACTTTCCTGGCTGGGCTAACCGGAATTAATTACCATACCTTTCATTCCAAATACTAAGAACATTTTGTATGATGTAATCATCATGACTATCCTAGGAAAAGTGTTTTCAGTATCTCCATGATAGTTTTGAAAGGAGGTGATAAGTTAGAGAGTAATAAACATCCCAGGTTTGGTGTGAGTCAGCAGAGGACCCAAAGCAGGACCAAAGACCTCGTACTCAGAACCTCCACTCAATGGCTATATCACACAGCAGGAAAATTTGGAATCCTTGTGCTTTGTTTCCATGACAACACACAGAGACATCCCTAAAATTCATGGAATAGGGAAAAATTGCTTGAGACATCAGGCTATACTTTACCCTAAACTATACCCTGTAGTGTACCTCTAGCTACATTTCTCTCAACCCCCAAATTTAAATTGTGGGCTTCTGGAACATGGAATAATTGAATGTCATACATTCTTTCAACCTCAGAATTGGAAGGGTTCTTACAGTTCACCCACTCCAGTATCCTGTACTATGATGGCCCAAGGAGGTCTTCCCAAGATCATAGCTGTTGGATGTTATCTCAGGGTCTTCCATATTCTGCTCCTGTGTACCTCCTCTTCTTTGTCTCAGGATATTTTCCTCCTGTTCTCTATGATCTAACTCATCTGAACTTCCTTTAATTCCTCATGTGTGATGTTCTCTTTTGCCGCTAAAACTTCACCACACGTGTTTCCTACTGTTTGGATTACTTTTCCTTTACCTTTCCCTGGATAACTGTCACTTAACTTTCTCATCTTCACTTAACTCTCAGTAAGTAAAAGTCCCTTCATCTATGCCCCCATAGTATCTTTCATATCCCTCTTGGAAATGCTTATATCTGCAATTACATGTTTAGTGCTTATCTCCCCCAATGAATTAGTAAGCTATTTTTGTCTTATTTGCCATTGTATCTCCAGAATCTAACCCAACATTTTTGCACATACTGGTTACTCAATAAATGTTAGATTGAATGGAAACCGGGGCTCAAATTTAGTTTTTCTGTTCCTAGTATGACTTTATTTCCACACTACAGCCCTGCCTCCTGACTGAACATTCTTTTCTTATGGATATGTTAAGGGATAATTGACAAGGCCTAAGTATTTGCTCTGAGGATCATATGGTTACTTATGGTACTTACTTGACTAAAGAAAGATATTTGAAAGATTAAGATGACTCAAAGTTAGATGGATGTGGCCTCACACAGGATTATAATGTAAACAGCCATTTTCCAATGTGTAGGGCAAAGATACACATTTAGTTTGGTCAAATCCTGGATTACAGCAAATGTCATCCTGGATTGTCTAGCTAACAAGATCAGTCCATCAGCTCTGTCATTCAATGGTGTAATAGTTTGCCCTTATACCCACGGGTTCTTTTGAGTTCATGAATACTTGTAGCAATTCAAGAGTACTTGGGGGAAATTTGAACAAAGTTTCATTTGTTTACGGGCTCTAATAAATCAAATATGCTTGTTTAAAACTAAATGTTTAAACGGGACAATAAAATCTTAGGTAGAATATTAATATATTTTTCTATTTGTTTTTTCTTTATATAGAAGTTAAAAATAATGGAAGTTAATGAGATTGGATTGTAGACATTTAGTTCACTCATGCATTTTAGAGTACAGTTAAACAGTGTTCTGAAAAATTAAGCGACTTGCCTATGTCCACATGAATAGTAGTAAAACTGTGCTGTTTTTGTCCTCAGTGTGCTACAGTATGATCATGTTTTTGTGTATAGGAACATGTGCAGATTTAGATATGCAAAAAAATCTTAAGGAAGTTGATATCACACTTAGATTTAGGCACACATTCATACATGAAAAATAAACAAATAGACAATACCCATGGCTCCAGACTAACATAGGACATTTGACCTCATCATAATCATCAGAGAGGAAGCTAATGTCACAAATGATGCTTGTTATCTGTGGGATTCTTCTGGAGCAATGTTTAAGAAACCAAATTCTGTTGGATTGGAGGTATGGAAATATTCTGTGAGTCCTATAGGGAAACTTTCAGCCACACAGGCAGCCATTGGCCCTGATCATGATTTAGATAATATTCAATATTTCTGAAAGCACTTTTGCAGGCATCCCAGGACTTTTCATTGATTAGAAATTTGTTTCAACAGGCCCTGAGGTTTACTTTTGATTTACAAACTCTTCCTTCATAGAGAGCGAAATTCAAGTGTGCTAATATGATTTTTGAGGGGATAATCAGTCCAGAAGTCACGATAGCCCACTGACTTATTTTCATAGGACTTTGTATCTATAGAGCTAAATAAATAGCAAACATTTTTTCACTGTAGAGGAAGATAGCATTGTTATTAAAGTAATGACTATTAGTCCCCTTGTCTCCAACTCTCTGCTACAGGCATAAATATGCTTGTTTCATCCACCAGTCACATATTTAATTAGAGGCATTTGTTATCTCTGATTGACACTTGAATATGTCCTAAATTTATCCTAATGAATAGTCACCAGTCTCCCCACTATTTGGGCCTTCCAAGCCTTCATCTCATTTAAGGAGATGCCAAGCTCACTCCCATAGGGCTAGACCAGCACTGTTGAATAGAACCTTCTGTGATGAAGGAAATGCTTTTTATCTGCACCATCCAGTATGAAAGTCACTAGATATGTGGCTGCTGAACACTCAGAATGTAGCTAGTGTGACTAAGAACAAAGTTTTGTTTGTTTATGGGCACCAATCTGTGAGTCAGCAGAGGACCCAAAGCCGGACCAAAGACCTCATACTCAGAATCTCCACTCAGTCTGCTTACCAGAACTTTGTCCTTGGCCATATTTTTGCACCTAGCACATAACAATATCAGGAAATGTCATTCCACTGAAATTCAAGTGACTTTTCTGGCTAGGTTGACTAGAACTAATTACCATACCTTTCATTCCAAATACTAAGAACAATTTTGTATGATGTAATCATCATGACTATCCTAGGAAAAGTATCTTTTAAATTTTTAGTATTTTTTATTTTTATAGAATTAGGGGGTACAAGTGCAATTTGGTTCCATAGATATATTGCATAGTGGTGAAGTCTGGACTTTTAGTGTAACCATCAACTAAATGGTGTACATTGTACCCAAGAGGTGACTTTTCTTTCTTTTTTTTTTAATTTATTCTAAAAAAATGTGATACATGTGCAGAACATGCAGATTTGTTCCATAGGTATATGTGTGCCATGGTGGTTTGCTTCACCTATTGACCCATCTTCTAAGTTCCCTCCCCTCACCCCCCAGCCCCCAACAGGCCCTGGTGTGTGTTATTCCCCTCTCTGTATCCATGTGTTCTCAATGTTCAAATCCTACTTAAGAGTGAGAACATGTGGTGTTTGGTTTTTTGTTCCTGTGTTAGTTTGCTGAGGATGATGGCTTCCAGCTTCATCCATGTCCCTGCAAAGGACATGATCTCATTCCTTTTTATGGCTGCATAGTATTTAATGCTCTATATGTATCACATTTTCTTTATCCAGTCTATCATTGATGGGCATTTGGGTTTGTTCCATGTCTTTGCCATTGTAAATAGTGCTGCAGTAAACATACATGTGCATGTGTCTTTATAGAAGAATGATTTATATTCCTTTGGATATATACCCAGTAATGGGATTGCTGGATCAAATGGTATTTCTAGTTCTAGATCCTTGAGGAATCCCCATACTGTCTTCCAAAATAGTTGAATGAATTTACATTCCTACCAATAGTGTAAAAGCGTTCCTATTTCTCCACAGCCTTGCCAGCATCTATTGTTTCCTGAGTTTTCAATAATCATCATTCTGACTGGCATGAGATGGTATCTCATTGTGGTTTTGATTTGCATTTCTCTAATGATCAGTGATGTTAAGCTTTTTTTCATATGTTTTTGGCCATGTAAATGTCTTCATTTGAGAATTGTCTGTTCATGTCTTTTGCCCATTTTTGATGGTTTTTTTTTCTTGTAAATATGTTTAAGTTCCTTGTAAATTCTGGATATTAGACCTTTGTCAGATGGGTAGATTGCAAAATTTTTCTCCCATTCTTTAGATGGCCCGTTCACTCTGATGATAGTTTCCTTTGCTGTGCAGAAGCTCTTTAGTTTAATTAGGTCCCATTTGTTAATTTTGGCTTTTGTTGCAATTGCTTTTGGTGTTTTAGTCATGAAGTCTTTGTCTATGCCTATTCCCTGAATGGTATTGTCTAGGTTTTCTTCTAGGGTTTTTATCGTTTTGGTTTTTACACTTAAGTCTTTAATCCATCTTGAGTTAATTTTTGTGTAAGGTGTAAGGAAGGGGTCCGGTTTCAGTTTTCTGCATATGGTTTGCCAGTTTTCCCAGTACTATTTATTGAATAGGAGATCCTTTCCCCATTGCTTGTTTTTGTCAGGTTTGTCAAAGATCAGATGGTTGTAGATATGTGGTGTTATTTCTGAAGTCTCTGTTCTGCCGCATTTGTCTATGTGTTTTGGTACAAGTACCACGCTGTTTTGGTTACTGTAGCCTTGTAATATAGTTTGAAGTCAGGTAGCATGATGCCTCCAGCTTTGTTCTTTTTGCTTATACTTCTCTTGGCTATACAGGGTTCTTCTTTGATTCCATATGAAATTTAAAATAGTGTTTTCTAATTCCATGAAGAATGTCAGTGGTAGTTCGATTGGAATAGCATTGAACCTGTAAATTACTTTGAGCAGTATGGCCATTTTCATGATATTGATTCTTTTTATCAATGAGGATGGAATGTTTTTCCATTTGTTTGTGTCCTCTCTTATTTCCTTGAGCAGTGTTTTGTAGTTCTTGAAGAGGTCCTTCACACCCCTTGTTACCTGTATTCCTAGGTATTTTATTCTCTGTAACAATTCTGAATAGGAGTTCATTCATGATTTTGCTCTCTGCTTGCCTATTGTTGGTGTAAAGCAATGCTTTTGATTTTTGCACATTGGTTTTGTATCCTGAGACTTTGTTGAAGTTGCTTATCAGCTTAAGGAGTTTTGGGGCTGAGATGATGGGGATTTCTAAATATAGAATCATGTCATCTGCCAACAGAGACAATCTGACTTCCTCTCTTCCTATTCAAATGCCCTTTATTTCTTTCTCTTGCCTAATTGCCCTGGCCAGAACTTTGAATACTATGTTGAATAGGGGTGGTGAAAGAGGGCATCCTTGTCTTGCACCGGATTTCAAAGGGAATGCCTGCAGCTCTTGCCCATTCAATATTTTATTGGCTATGGGTTTGTTACAAATGGCTGTTATTATTTTGAGGTATGTTCCATCAATACCTAGATTATTGAGAGTTTTTAACGTGAATGGGTGTTGAATTTTATCAAAGGCCTTTTCCGCACCTATTGAGATAATCATGTGGAATTTGTCATTGGTTCTGTTTATGTGATGGATTACATTTATTGATTTGTATATGTCGAATCAGCCTTGCATCCCAGGGATGAAGACGACTTGATCATGGTGGATAAGTTTTTTTGTGCTGCTGGGTTCAGTTTGCCAGTATTTTATTGAGGATTTTTGCATTGATATTCATCAAGGATATTATCCTGAAGTTTTCTTTTTTTGTTGTGTCTCTGCCAGGTGTTGGTATCACAATGATGCTGGCTTCATGAAATGTGTTAGGGAGGAGTCCCTCCTTTTCAGTTGTTTGGATTAGTTTCAGAAGGAATGGTACCAGCTCCTCTTTGTATTTCTGGTAGTATTCAGCTGTGAATCTGTCTGGTCCTGGGCTTTTTTTGATTGGTAGGCTATTAATTACTGCCTCAATTTCAGAGCTTGTTATTGGTATATTCAGGGATTCAACTTCTTCCTAGTTCAGTCTTAGAAGGGTGTGTGTGTCCAGGAATTTATCCATTTCTTCTAGATTTTCCAGTTTATTTGCATAGAGGTGTTTATATTATTCTCTGATGGTAGTTCTTATTTCTCTGGGGTCAGTGGTGATATCCCTTGTATCATTTTTATTGTGTCTATTTGATTCTTCTCTCCCTTCTTCATTAGTCTAGCAAGTGGTCTATCTATTTTAATTTTTTCAAAAAAACACCTCCTGAATTCTTTGATTTTTTTGCAGGGTTTCTCATGTCTTTATCTCCTTCAATTCTTCCCTGCTCTTAGTTATTTCTTCTCTTCCAGCTTTTGGATTCGTTTTCTCTTGCTTCTCTAGCTCTTTTAATTGTAATGTTAGGGTGTGAATTTGAGATCTTTCTAGCTTTCTGATGTGGGCCTTTAGTGCCATAAATTTCCCTCTAAACACTGCTTTAGCTGTGTCCCAGAGATTCTGATATGTTTTCTTTGTTCTCATTGGTTTCAAAGAACTTCTTCATTTCTGCCTTAATTTTATTGTTTACCCAGGAGTCATTCGGGAATAGGTTGTTCCATTTCTGTGAAATTGTGTGGTTTTGAGTGAATTTCTTAATCCTGAGTTCTAATTTGATTGTACTGTGGTCTGAGAGACTGTTTGTTATAATTTCAGTTCTTTCCCATTTGCTGAGAAGTGTTTTACTTCCAATTATGTGGTCAATTTTAGAATAAGTGCCATGTGGCACTGAGAAGAATGATTATTCTATTGATTTGGGGTAGAGAGTTCTGTAGACATCTACTAGGACCACTTGATCTAGAGCTGAATTCAAGTCCTAATATCCTTGTTAATTTTCTGTGTCATTGATACTGACAGTGGGGGTTTAAAGCCTCCCACTATTATTGTGTGGGAGTCTAAGTCTCTTTGTCAGTCTCTAAGAACTTGTTTTATGAATCTGGGTGCTCCTGTACTGGGTGTATATATATTCAAAATAATTAGCTCTTCTGGTTGAATTGTTTCCTTTACCATTTGGTAATGTGCTTTTTTGTCTTTTTGATCTTCATTTGTTTAAAGTCTGTTTTGTCAGAGACCAGGACTGCAACCCCTGATTTTTTTTTTTTTTTTGTTTCCATCTGCTTGGTAAATTTTCCTCCATCTCTTATTTTGAGCCTATGTGCGTCTTTGCATGTAAGATGGGTCTCCTGAATACAGCACACCAATGGGTCTTGACTCCTTATCCAATTTGCCTATCTGTCCTTTAATTGGGGCATATATCCCATTTAAATTTAAAGTTAGTATTGTGTGAATTTGATCCTGTCATTATGAGGCTATTTGGGTATTTTGCACACTAGTTGATGCAGTTTCTTTGTAGTGTCATTGGTCTTTATATTTTGGTGTGTTTCTGCAATGGCTGGTACTGGTTTTCCCTTTCCATAGTTAGTGCTTCTTTCAGGAGTTCTTGCAGGACAGGCCTGGTGGTAATGAAATCCCTTAGCATTTGCTTGTCTGGAAAGGATTTTATTTCTCCTTCACTTATGAAGCTTAGTTTGGCTTGATGTGAAATTCTGGGTTGAAAATTCTTTTCTTTAAGAATGTTCAATATTGGCCCCCAATCTCTTCTGGCTTGTAGAGTTTCTGCTGAGAGGCCTCCTCTTAGCCTGATGGGCTTTCCTTTGTAGGTGACCTGGCCTTTCTCTCTGGCTGCCCTTAACAGTTTTTCCTTCATTTAGACCTTGGAGAATCCGATAATCATGTGTCTTGGGGTTGATCTTCTTGTGGATACCTTACTGGTGTTCTCTATATTTCCTGAATTTGCATGTTGGCCTGTCTTGCTAGGTTGGAGAAGTTCTCCTGGATAATATCCTGAAGTGTGTTTTCCAGCTTTTTTCCATTCTCCCTGTCTCCTTCTGGTACTCCAATCAATCATAGGTTTGGTCTTTTATGAAGTCCTATATTTCTTGGAGGCTTTGTTCATTCATTTTCATTCTTTTTTTTCCCTATTCTTGTCTGCATGTCTTATTTCAGTAATGTAGTCTTCAAACTCTGATATCCTTTCTTCTGTTTGGTCGATTTGGCTGTTGATACTTGTGTATGCTTCATGAAGTTTTCATGCTGTGTTTTTCAGCTCCATTAGGTCATTTATATTCCTCTCTAAACTGGTTATTCTAGTTAGCAATTCCTCTAACCTTTTGTCAATGATCTTAGCTTCTTTACATTGGGTTAGAACATGTTCCTTTAGCTCATCATAGTTTTTTATTACCCATCTTCTGAAGCCTACTTCTGTCAATTTGTCCATCTCATCCTCCATCCAGTTCTGCACCCTTGATGGAGAGATGTTGTGATCATTTGGAGGAGAAGAAGCGTTCTGGCATTTTGGGTTTTCTGCATTTTTTCATTCATGTGGCTCTTTCTCATCTTCATGAATTTGTCTAGTTTTGGTCTTTGAGCCTGCTGACCCTCAGATGGGGTTTTTGTGGGGGCCCGTTTTGTTGTTATTTTTGTTGATGGTGTCATTGTCACTTTCTGTTTGTTTTTCTGTCAATGGTCAGGTCCCTCTTCTGTAGGGCTGCTGCAATTCGCTGGGGATTCACTTCCAGCCCTATTCATCTGATTCGCTTCCATGCCTGGAAATGTCACTCAGGGAGGCTGGAGAGTAGCAAAGATGGATGCCTCCTGCTTCTGGGACCTCTGACCTCAAGGAGCATCAACCTGATGTCAGTAGGATGCTCCTGTGTAGGGTGTCTGACAAACCGTGTTGGAGGGTCTCACCCAGTTTGGTGGCACCAGGAGCAGAACCCATTTAACAAAGCACTTTGTGCCTTGGTGGAGATGATATGTTTCGCTGAGGTGAAACCCACTCATCTGGGCTTCCTGGATTCCTCAGAACTACCAGGAGGAGAGGCTAAGTCTGCTGGTTCACAGAGACTGCGACCACCCCTCCCCTAGGCCTAGGGAGATCCTAATTCTGTCCCTGAGCCTCTGGCTGGAGTTATTGGAGATCCTGCAGGGAAGCCCCACTCACTGAGGAAGGATGGGTCAGGGTTAGAGCTAAAGAGTCACTCTGGCCACAGATTGCCACAGCCAGTGTGTTAGTTTGTGGAGGCAAGTCTTTGGACCAAGCCATTCAGCCTCCCTGGTTCCAGCAGGGGAAAAGCACAGCCTGCAGCTATAGAAATGAGTGCCACCCTTCACCCACCCAGGGAGCTTAGCACGTTAAGTAGTTGTGCATCCCAGTTCTGGCTGCTGCCTCTCCCCCAATGAGCTCAAACGACTTAGACAGCTGGCAGCCACAGCCGGTGCTTGTTGCCCCTACCCCTGGGAGTTCAGTAGGCTCAAGCAAATTCCAGCTGAGAGGCTGTAAGTATCTGTGCATTCTAGGGTTGGTATGCTAGGCTCCAGTGGTGTGGGTTCACGAGTGGGGTCTTCCAATCCATGGGTTACCCAGTAAAGCACAGTTTCCCTGGCTAGGTAGCAAGCTCACTCACTGCCTCTCTTGGCTTGGGGGAGAGGGTTCCCCTTTCCCATGTGGCTCTCACATGGGCCGCTGCACCACACTGCTCTTCCTTCTCTCTCTCAGTCATGCCAGCCTTCTAGTCAATTTTGATGAGAGAACATGGATACCTTTGTTGCCGGTGAAGGATTCACACGCTTATTATGGTTTCTTTTCAATGGGCGCCTTGGAACACCACTGCTTCTAGTGGGCCATCTTGGCCCCACTGACCAGTAGGTAATTTTTCATCCATCACCCCCTCCCACCTTTTGGAGTCTCCAATGTCTGTTATCCCACTCTGTATATCCATGTATACCCATTCTTTAGCTCCCACGTATAAGTAAGAACATGTGGTATTTGATTTTTTTGAGTTGTTGCACTTAGGATAATGGCCTCCAGTTTCATCCATGTTACTGCAAAGGACATAATTTCATTCTTTTTTGTGGCTAAGTAGTATTCCATGGTATATATGTACCACATTTTCTTTATCTAATCATCTATTGATGGACACTTAGGTTGATTTCATAACTTTGCTATTGTGAATAGTATTGTGATAAACATATAAGTTCAGGTGTCTTTTATATATTATATATGTATATATATAAAGTGATTTTATACATACATAAAATGTGTGTATATATAGACACATGCACACACAACACACATATATATATATACAAACACACACACACACACACATACACACACACACACATAAAATGATTTATTTTCCTTGGGGTACTCAGCAGGGGGATTGCTGGATCAAATCATAGTTCTATTTTTAGTTCTTTGAGAAATCTCCATACTGTTTTCCTTAGAGGGTTCATTAATTTACATTCCCACCAACAGTGTATAAGTGTTCCCTTTTCTCTGAATCCTTACCAACATCTGTTGTTTTTTGACTTTTTAATAATAGCTATTCTGACTGGTGTAATATGGTATCTCATTGTGGTTTTAAGTTGCATTTTTCTGATAATTAGTGATGTTGAACATGTTTTCATGTTTTTTGGCCACGTGTATGTCTTCTTTTGAAAAAGTGTTCATGCCTTTTGCCCACTTTTTAATGGTTTTCTTTTTTCTCGTTTAGCTGTTTGAGTTCTTCATAGATTCTAGATATTTTTCCTTTATCAGATGCATGGTTTGCAAATATTTTCTCTCACTCTCTAAGTTGTCTGTTTGCCCTGGTTATTTCTTTTGCTGTGAGGAAGCATTTTAGTCTCAGTCCCATTTGTCTATTTTTGCTTTTTGTTAATTTGCTTTTAAATAGTTACCTGTGGCTAGGGGCCACTTTATTACTTATTGGTAACAGTGAGTATGGATGATCACTTTTATCCACATCCCACTTGCCAGAACCCATTCTTATTGTTCCAACATAACTGCAAATTATACTGGAAAATGCAGGCTTCTGTGTGCTTGAGAAAAACAGGTTTGATAGTGGACAGCTAGCAAGCCTCTTCATGAACTGCCCATCTGATCAGAGAAGTCTCTTTCATTCTTGCTTTTATACATAGGACATGCTCTCCAAGGGCATCACCAAAACCCCCTCCCTCAAGTCCCTGCATCCAGCTTAAAGTTCAAGAATCCTGATAGTTGTACAGTCATCCTTTCCATCATATCTAAATGTTGCTTTTTTAAGCCTGGCAACTCATGAAATAAAAAAGTTATATTCCCTTCCCCCCAGTATACAATGATGGAACAGAGGTAGGATAACCACAATAAGTACCCTTCAGAAAGGGAAAAAGTAGAGACACTGTTCAGTTACTTGTTTGTAACACTTCTGGAATCCTGTTAGGCAGATGTCATAAGGGTTCCTTAGCTATGCCCTGACTATGGAAATAACTCTCTTGTTCGTTATTCTCGATGGCTCCTGATTTCTCTCAGAGGCCTCCTATTATATGTAATTTTTCTTAACCACATATGAAAGTACAGGGAGTTTTGTGACCAAACCTAGAAGTGATGCATATCACTTCCAGACACATCCCATTGGTGAGAATCTGATGGCCTCAATGTAATTCCAGAGGAGGGTGGGAAATGTAGCATTTCTTTGTGCACAAGAAGAAGTTGGATTGATGAGCATCTAGCCTGTCTCTGACCACTGAAGATGTTCCAGGAACTTTATCATTGTTATTCTCACAACAATACTATGCAGAAGGTGTTAACCTCATTTTGTGGGTAGGAACTAGAAAGAGCTAACACTCTTAGTCATGCCACCTTTTGTTGCCCAAAATTAAGAGTCTCCATCACAAGGCAAGGTAGCTATCAGGGAAGGTTACCTGATTGCCCTTTAACCAGCTGACTTCACCTAAGTCCAGGTTTTAGCCATCAGTTTTGAACACCTGAAACCTGTTTTGGTTTTCTGAGAGTGAGTGAGTCAGGGGTAGCATTACGTTAGTCTCACATGAGTTAATGTACATATTACTTAAATTATTTATGAACTTATGAAAAGAAATATAATTGTCACATGGGTTTTAATTTCATGTAGGTGTGATATACTCTTTTTCTGAAGGCTGGTAATATTCAGAAATGGGTGATGGCATGAATGCCAGGGTCACTGGAGAGGATTTCAGCAAACACATGGCCACTTGCCTTCATCGTGACACACTTGCACCTCCTGGAAAGTTTCCTAGGTGCGGACAACCTCTCTTTGTCGTTCTCCAATTGACCACATTCATTATAAATAGGCATGTTTTTCTGGACAGCTAAGTGTTCCAGGATTAGGCAAATAGAAACAGTGTGTTTCTTTAGATGGGGTCCCACTCTAGCTAAGGTGGCTTGAAACTCTTCAGTGCATTATGAAGGGTCCTTTACCAGTGGGAACTCTCCAGTTTGCAGTCAGACTTTCTTCTGTCCTAGACAGTGCTCGAAGACTCTGCCAACGCTGGCCTCTGGCTTTGTATTTTCTACCCCTTTTATGTAGTTGAAGTCATCCCTCTATTTATTTTTTTCTAAGTTTCTCTTGCTGTTCATCCCTATCCTGATTGCCATATGCTTTCTTGGACATCCAAGAAAGGTTATATATAACCTGAATGGACATCCATTCAGGTTATAGTCAAATCTTGCTGTCTTTTAAGATGACTTTACATATCTCTGCTGTAACTTATTATGTCCTGTAGGCCGGGCATGGTGGCTCATGCCTGTGATCCCAGCACTTTGGGAGGCTGAGGCAGGCAATATAGTGAAACCCCATCTCTACTAAAAATACAAAAATTAGCGGGACCTGGTGGCACCTGCCTGTAGTCCCAGCTACTCAGGAGGCTGAGGCAGGAGAATTGCTTCAAGCTAGGATGCAGAGGCTGTGGTGAGCCAAGATTGCGCTACTGCACTCCAGCCTGGGCAACACAGCGAAACTCCATCTCAATAGTAATAATAATAATAATAATAATAATAATAATAATAATAATAATGATGATGATAATAATTCTGCAAGGCAGCTTTACCTCCTTTCCAAATTCTGGATGGTGTCTTATTTTGTCTTCATGACCCCTGTGCATTATAACAGAGAAAGCATGGCATGAAAGAAGTAAACAACTTCCCTCTGCTTTGGGATTTCTTCTCATTTTCTCTAATGCTATGATGATCAATTTTCATACATGGGGAAACCTGAGAGGAATATATTCTTTTAAGTCAAAGATGACAGATTTGTGGTGTTAGCACAGTTACTTGCCTCCCCTGTGTCCATGGCAGGTGGCACTGATGGATCATGGCTGAGTAGTCATCTGTAGTTTGCAGTCAATATAAAACATCCCTCTTTAAGTTTTGTTCATATTTGGAAAAGACATAGATTCTCAGTATATTTTAGGATTATCTGAGTCATAATTTTCTTAAGACATTGGTTAATTAAAGGATAGAGAAACTGAGTTGAAGAGAAAGAAATCAGTGAACTCCAGGGGACATTCAGATTCTTCTCTGGGGGAGTACATGGTCCTGGGTGGGAGGTAAGTCCAGATTAATCCCAGGAACTCTTCTAACCCTGATATTCTAGCAGCTTTATGGTTCTTCTTAGGCTTCTCAGCCACTCTTCCTGAGGGTAAATCTATGTCCAGCAGCAACTCCAGGTTTGTGATTTATTTTTTTCCCCCACTGGACTCCCTGCCCTCTGCTGAGATTCCCTTCCCTCTGAGAGCTGACTCTCACTTAATCTCTGCACACACCATCTTCATAAATGTCCCAGATGGAGCAGCACCCCTGGATTTTAGAAACCGTTTTTCATTTTATTTTTATTATTATCTTAGTGTTTCAGTAGAAGATGCTGTTTGTGAGTTGCCTGTGTAAAATGAATAATGGCTCATGGAATAAAGAGATAATCACTTAAGGCAGCCTGTTGTGCACACTAACCATACCAGCATAGGCAGTTGTAAAGCATCAAGTAAGCCGGAATAGACTTGTTAAAGAACTCCTCACTATGCTCAACTCAGTCATTCCTAGGACTCAGTAGCATACTGGAGCTTGTTGGCACTGGCTTATGCAAGCCAATTGTTCATATCTCTTCCCAAACCCCACATTAAGTAATCATGCTGGTTGCTTGAAATTGAACATAGTGGGAGGATTTATGCTATAAGTAATGGATAATGCTATAAGTCGATGTGTGTTTGTTTCTTCCTTGAAGAGCCACTTGTTAGATATTTAGCAACACACCATTGTCCAAGGTTATGGTCATGACATTGCTTCAGTTCAGTGATTTCAGAAGAGACTAAGGATAGAGATCTAGTCACCTATATCTCACAGGGCACCACAAAAAAGATGCTTAATGAAGTCTTGTTGCATTATAAATGTATAATAACTATAGTGTGGATATAAACAATGTATAAATACAACATTGATATCTCATTTTTCTCTATATATTCCTATGATGTATTTTGAAGAATCTTTTTAAAAAATGTTTGAGATTGTATAAACTAACTTATAAAACTCCTCCTTTATTTTTCAATTAATGAAATTCAAATTTCATTAGAATTAGTGGATGTCCCAGCTTCCCGATTTCCTAAAATGTGCTGCTATCTTATTTAAATAAAAAGTAATATAAAGGGACGTAGCAGTTATTAATATACTGACACCCAGTTTTCATTAGAAAATTGGAAACCATATCTGCATCAACTAAAATATAATTTTCAAAAGTTGCAAAAATTAGTTTGGGAATTTTTTTGTTTTTTTTTTTTGACACAGTCATACTCTGTCGCTCAGGCTGGTGTGAAGTGGTGTGATCTTGACCCACTGCAACCTCTGGCTCCTGGGTTCAAGCAATTCTTCTGCCTCAGCCTCCCCAGTAGTTGGGATTACAGGCACTTGCCACCACACCCAGCTAATTTTTTGTATTCTTAGTAGAGACAGGGTTTCACCACGTTGCCCAGGCTGATCTTGAACTCCTGAGATCAGGCAGTCTGTCAGCCTCTGCCTCCCAAAGTGCTAGGATTACAGGCATGAGCCGCTGTGCCCAGCTAGTCTGGCAATTTCTCAAAGAATTTAGAACTACCATTCAACCTAGCAATCCCATTATTGGGTGTATACCAAAAGGAATATAAATTATTTCACCATAATGACATATGTATATGTGTATTCATTACAGCACTATTCACAATAGCAAAGACATGGAATCAACCTAAATGCCCACCAATGGTAGATTGGATACAATGTGGTACATATATATCATGGGATACTACACAGCCACAAAAAGGAACAATATCATGTTCTTTGCAGCAACATGAACAGAGCAGGAGGTCATTATTCTAAGTGAACTAACACAGGAACAGAAAGTCAAACACCGCAGGACTTAAGAGACAAATTCTTAAGGACAGATTGTCCTTTCCTTTGCCAGATATTGAAGTGGAATAAGGCAGGAGACTAAAAAGCTAAGCTTAAAACCTCTGAAAGGAATAATAGAAGCACATGCCATCTTTCGGGTGGAAGAAAGATGCTCACTAGACTACAAAAAGCCTTGGAGGGCTAATCTTGGGGTATAGGGACTACCAGAGGTAAACTGAGTCACAGAAAATCTTCAAACCAGACACTATTCAGTAGAAAGCCTGACCAGATTGAGATTATTAACTGTATACTCAATAAGCCTAACAGACAAAAAGGGAGAACAATAGCTATAGAACTTATCATCTGGTGTCTTTATGGTTTTTTATGAACAATAGGTATATTAAAATTAAAAGTTACTGAAAATGCAAACAGGTTAGAAAATAGCCAAAAACAAGGAAAGAAGAAGAACAAGAAGAGGGAAAGAGGAAGAGAAAGAAGAATAAGGAAAGAAGATCCACAAATGATCCAGATATTGGTGTTAACAGACAATAACTTTAAAGTAACAGTGATTTATGGTAAACAACATAAAGAGGACCAAATGGATAAAACATGAAACATTTCATCAGAGAATTGAAAACCAATGAAAGTGTCAGGTGGATACTCTAGAACTAAAAAGTACAAATTAAAAATTCATTGATCTTAAAATGTCATTAGTTTCAACAGTAGACTTAGACACAGAATATAGAATTAGTAAACTGAAGATCAAGAGATAATACTCAAGTTGAAATTGAAGCACCGCAGATTAAAAATTTTTAAAAACAAGAGAGTAACAGATGCGTGGAACTCAGTTTAAAAAAAAAATTGTAGTAGGACGGGAATGGTGGCTCATGCCTATAATCCCAGGACCTTGAGAGGTCAAGAGAGGTGGAGGGCTTGAGCCCAGGAGTTCAAGATCAGCCTGGGAAACCTGGTGTAATTTCACCTCTACAAAAAAATACCAAAAAATAGACTGTGGTGACAGTTGTACTTGTAGTCTCGGCTACTTGGGGGGCTGAGGTGGGAGGATCACCTGACCCTAGGGAGGTAGAAGCTGCAGTGAGCCATGATCACACCACTACACTCCAGCCTGGGTGACAGAATGAGACCCCATCTCAAAAAAAAAAAAAATTATAGGATTACATATAGGTCCCAGAAGAAGAAGAAAGACAGGTTGGGGCAAAAGTAATAACCGAAGAGGTAATGGATAAGAATTTTTCATTCATCGGTGAATGAAAGTCTTCAATTCTAAGATCAAAGCGTTTAGCACATCCCAAACAAGCTAAGTCCAAAGAAAACCAACTATAGCACATACATTCAACCTGCTGAAAACCAAAGACAGAGATAACCTTAAACATAGCTGGGGGCAGAGCAAAGTGGGAACTGCAGATATCACTTCCAATGTAACAACAAGATTAAGGGCTGACTCTTCAACTAAAACTCTTTAAGCCAGAGGCACTGAAATGACATCTTTTAAAAAACTACGTCCAGAGAGAATATCCTTCAAAAAATAAAGGTGAAATTTAAAAAACCCCATAAATTCACATTGATACCAATTAGTAAATGACTAAGAAGGAAAAGCTGTTTCTGATGCTAGATAGCCAATGAATTTAGAAAGAAAAATGTAATTAAAAAATTATCACGGGGTATGGTGGCTCAAGCCTGTAATCCCAGCACTTTGGGAGGCCGAGGCGGGCGGATTATGAGGTCAGGAGATTGAGACCATCCTGGCCAACATGGTGAAACCCCATCTCTACTAAAAAAAAAAAAAAAGCAAAACAACAAAGATTAGCTGGGTGTGGTGACATGTGCCTGTAATCCCAGCTACTCAGGAGGCTGAGGCAGGAGAATGGCTTGAACCAGGCAGTCGGAGGTTGCAGTGAGCCAAGATTGCACCACTGCACTCCAACCTGGCGACAGAGCGAGACTCTGTCTCAAAAAAAACCACAAAAAACAAAAAACAAAAACAAGAAGTGGGGCTGGGGGAGAAGACAGAGAGGGAATGATATGATAAATGCAAAGAAGTAATCATTTGAGGAATCTAGGTGAATATAGAAATTCTTTGTATTATTTCACCTTGTATTACTGCTTTGAATTTTTGAACTCTGAAATTCTGTCAAAATAAAAAGTTAAAAGAAAATTACGGTAAAGATTTTTAGACAAATAAAAACAGCATCCACTGCAAGCAAATAAGCACTAAAAAAACAATAGAGGAGGTTCTTAAGGCTGTATTAAAATAATCCTATTGGAATCATGGAATTATTTGAAAGAATGAAAACAACAGGAGATGGTAACTAAAAATGCTTTTTAAAATGATGATGATGATATAAAGTCCTATGAATTTTATTACATATGTAGCTAAACTATATATCACAATAGTACAAATGGCAAGAGATTGAAGTTAAATACAGTTAAGCTTTTGTTTGGGAGATTGCAAAAGTACTAACTTAAGATGGATGCTAAATACGTAAAATATGAATGTTGAAATTTGTAAGGTAACCACTACAAGATGTTAGCTATAGGTTTTTCATACATGCCGTTTATGAGATTAAGAAAGTGTCTGTATATTCTTGCTAACAGATTTTGTCAGGAATGGAGGTCAGATTTTGTCATGTGATTTTTCTGCATCAACTGAGCTGATCACAGGGTTTCACTTTTATAGATTATTAATATGATTAATTACATCACTTTATTCCAACTTTTTATTTTGGTAAAATACATATAACATAAATTTACCATCTTAACCATTTTTAAGTGTACAGTTCAGTGGTATTGACCATATTGATATTGTTGTGTGACCATAACAACCATCCATTTCCAGTACTCTTCTTATCTTGTAAAATGGAAACTCTATAACCATTAAACCATAATTTCTCATTCCCTCTTATCCCTAGCCCCTGGCAACCACCATTCTATTATCTGCTTCTATGAGTTTGACTATTCTAAATACCTTATATAAGTGGAATTGTGAAATATTTATATTTTTGTTACTGGCTTATTTCACTCAGAATAATGTCCCCAAGGTTCATCCTTGTTGTAGTATTTGTCAGGATTTTATTCCTTTTTAAGGCTGAATAATATTCCATTGTATGTATATAACACGTTTTGATTATTCATCTGTTGATAGACATTTGGGGTTGGTTCCACATTTTAACTATTGTGAATAATGCTGCTATGAGCATGAGTATAAAAATAACTTGTCTAGACCCTGCTTTTAAGTTTTTTGGGCATATGCCCAGAAGTGAAATTGATGGTTCATGTAGTGATTCTATTTTTAATATTTTCAGGAACTGCCCTTTGTTTTCCACAGAGGCTATCCTATTTTACATTCTCACCAATAGTTCACAAGGATTCTAATTCTTCCACATCCTCACCAACACTTGTTTTTTCCTGTTTTTTTTTTTTTTTGACTGTAGATATCCTAATGGGTAAGAGGTGAGATATAAGCACAACTTTTATTCACATTTCTCTGATTATTAGTGAATTTGATCATCTTTTTATGTGCTTGGATATGAGGGTGATCTGGCTGCAGCATCTGTCTCCCCTTTGATTGCCAGTGTTGATTTGGCTGATCTGGCTGGCTAGGCAGCTATGTCCTTCCTCTGTCACTGCTCCATGTGCGTCCCTCTCGAAGCTGCATGCTCAGTCATGGAGGATGACCATCCCCGATAGAGGAAGACAGGACAAGGGTATATGAGTAGGAGTAGCTGCGCTCCCCTGCTAGAACCTCCAAACAAGCTTTCGTGTGCTTATTGGCCATTCGTATATCTTCTTGGGAGGAATGTCTGTTCAAGACTTTGACCATTCTTTATTCAGGTTGTTTGATTTTTGTTTAGTAGTTGTAGGAATTCTCTATATGTTGTGCATATCAATTCCCTATCAGATATATTATTTGCAAATATTTTCTTCCATTCTGTGGGTTTCCTTTTTACTCTGATAGAGTTTTTTGATGCACATTCAAATTTTTTTATGAAGTCCAATTGTTTTTCTTTTATTGCTGGTTTTTGTGATGTCATATGTCAGAAATCATTGCCAAATCCAGTGGTATTAATATTTTGCCTTATGTTTTCTTCCAAGAGTTTTATAGTTTAGCTCTTATGTTTAGGTCTTTGATTCATTTCACGTTAATTTTTGGGTATGGTGTTAGGTAACAGTTTACCTTCACTCTTTTGCATATGGATATTCAGCACCTTTGTTGGAAAGACTTTCCTTTTCCCATTGAATGGTCTTGGCACTATTCAATGTTTATTTCTGGACTCTCTATTCTATTCCATTGGTCTATATGTCTGTATACTAGTACCACACTTTTGATTACTGTAGATTTGTGGTAAGATTTGACATCAGGAAATGTGAGTCCTCCAGCTTTATTGTTCTTTTTTGGGATTGTTTTGGCTATTCAGAGTCCTTTGGAAATCTATAAATTTTAGAATGAGTTTTTCTATTTCTTCAAAAAATGTCATTGGGACCTTGATAGTGATTGAATTAAATCTGTAAAGCACTTTGGGTAGTATTGACATCTTCATGCTATTGTCTTCCAATTCATGAACATGGGATGTTTTTCCATTTATTTACATCTCCTTTAATTTCTTTCAGAAGTGTTTTGTAGTTTTAAAAAATTTTAATTGACAAATAACAATTGTATATATTTATTGGGTACAGTGTGATGTTTTGATACATGTATACATTATATAGTGATCAAATCAGGGTAATTAGTATATTCATCATTCAACCTTTTTTTGTAATGAGAACATTCAAAATTCTCTCTTGTTGCTATTTTGAAATACACAATACATTATTGTTCACTGTATACTCCTTACTGTATAATAGAACACCAGAACTTCTTCTTCTCTAACTGTAATGTAGCTGTTGACCAATCTCTCCCCATTCCCACCTTTTCCCTGCATTCTCCCATCCTCTGGTAACCACTGTTCCAATCTCTACTCTTAAGAGGTCAAATATTTCAGATTCAATGTATAAGTGAGATCATGTGGTATGTGACTTTTGCGCCTGGCTTATTTCCCTTAACATAATGTCTTTCAGGTTTATTCATGTTTTTGCAAATGACAGGATTTCATTCTTTTTTATGGCTGAATAGTATTATGTTGTGTACATATATCACACTTTAAAAATCCATTCATCTGTTGACAGACACTTGATTTCATATCTTAGATGTTGTGAATTTTTGCTGCAATAAACATGGGAGTAGAGATATCTTTTTAACATATTGATTTTGTTTCCTGTAGATGTATACCCAGCAGTGGGATTTCTGAATTACATGGTAGTTCTATATTTAATTTTTTGAGGAACTTCCATACTATTGAATATAGTGGCTATACTGACTTACGTTCCCACCAACAGTGTATAAAAGTTCCCCTTTCTCCACATCCTTGCTGGCATTTGTTATTTTTTGACAGTTTGATAATGGCTCATCTCTTTAACCAGAGTGAGATGATATCTCACTATGGCTTTGATTTGTGTTTCTCTGATGATTAGTGACGTTGAGCACTTTTTCATGTACTTGTTGGCCATTTATATAATTTATGTGTCTTTTTTTTTTTAATTGAGGCAAAGTATCACTCTGTTGCCCAGGCGTGAGTGCAGTGGCTTGATCTCGGCTCGCTGCAGCCTCTGTCTCCTGGGTTCAAGTGATTCTCATGCCTCAGCCTCCCAACTAGCTGGGATTACAGGCGCATGTCACCACGCCTGGCTAATGTTTTTGTATTTTGAATAGAGACAGGGTTTCATCATGTTGGCCAGGCTGGTCTCAAACTCCTGACCTCAGGCGATCCACCCACCTTGACCTCCCATATTTCTGGGATCATAGGGTGAACCATCATACCTGACCACGTCTTCTTTTCAAAAATGTCTATTCAGGTCTTTTATCCATTTTAAAATCAGATTTTTAAAATTAATTTATTTTTGCTACTGAGTTGTTTAAATTCCTTATATATTCTAGATATTAACCCCTTGTCAGATGCATAGTTTGCAAATATTTTCTCCCCTTCTATAAGATGGCTCTTCACTATGTTGATTGATTACTTTGCTGTGCAGAAACTTTTTAATTTGATATAATTCAATTTGTTTATTTTTGCTGTTGTCTGTGCTTTTGAAAGGTCTTATCCAAAAAATCCTTGCCTAGACCAATGTTATAAAGTGTTTCCCCCAGGTTTTCTTCAGTAATCTCATAATTTTGGGTCTCCCTTTTAAGTCTTTGATCAATTTTGAGTTGATTTTGTATATGGTGAAAGATAGGAATCTAGTTTTATTCTTCTGCATATCCAGTTTTCCCAGCACGATTTATTGAAGAGATCATTCTTTCCCCAATGTACACTCTTGGTACCATTGTCAAGAATCAGTTCACTGATTCTTGCATGGATTTATTTCTGCATTCTCTATTATGTTTTATTGGTCTATGAGTCTGTTTTATGCCAATACCATGCTATTCTAGTTACTATGGCTTTGTAGTATATTTTTCAGTCAGAAAGTCTGATGCCTCCAGCTTAATAATCAACCTTCTAAATTCTTTTTCTGGCAATTTGGGGATTTCTTCTTGGTTTGTATCCATTGCTTATGAGCTAGTGTGATCTTTAGGGGGAATTAAAAAACCTTGTTTTGTCATATTACCATGACTATTTTTCTGGTTCCTTCTAATTTGTTGTACTATGTCAGAGGGAAGATCTGGGGCTCAGGGGCTGCTGTTCAGATGCTTTTATCCCAAGGGGTGCTCCCTTGATGTAGTGCTCTCCCCCTTTCCTTAGGGATGTGGCTTTCTGAGAGTTAACTGCAGTGATTGTTATTTGTCTTCTGGATCTAGCCACCCAGCAGAGCTACCAGGCCTCGGGCTGGTACTGGGGGTGTCTGCACAGTGTCATGTGGTGTGAACTATCTTCAGGTCTCTTAGCTATGATACCAGCACCTGCTCTGGTGGAGATGGCAGGGGAGTGAAATGGACTCTGTGAGAGTCTTTAGTTGTAGTTTTGTTGATTGCACTAGTTTTGTGTCGGATGGCCTCCTGCCAGGAGGTGAAGCTTTCAAGAGAGCATCCACTGCTGTAGTATAGGGAAGATCAGGCAGTGAGCGGGGCCCTAGAGTTCTCAAGATATTATATCCTTTGTCTTCAGCTACCAGGGCAGGTAGAGAGAGACCATCAGTTTGGGGCAGGGTTAGGTGTGTCTGAGCTTAGACTCTCCTTGGGTGGGGTTTGCTGCAGCTACTGGTGGGGATAGGGGTATGGTTCTCAGGCCAATGGAGTTATGTTCCCAGGGGGTTTATGGCTGCCTCTGCTGTCTAATGCAGATCACTAGAGAAGTGAGGGAAAGCCGGCAGTTACAGGCCTTACCCAGCTCCCACACAGCCCAAAAGGCCAGTCTCACTCCCACCCACCCCCTACCTCCCAACAGCACTAAGTTTATTTCCAAGCAGTGAGTGAATAGGGCTGAGAACTTGCCCCAGACAACCAGCCTCCTAGCTGAGAAAACAAGCAGGGCTTCAGGTTTCACACCTCCCAGCCTACAGTGGCTTCTGTGCTGTGTCTGCACTCCCAATGCACCCCCTACCCCAAGTTCTGTTCAGGAAACTTTGTGTTTGGGTGAAATTGTTACAAAGTTTAGCTGGAAGTTTCCTTCTCCCTCTGGTCTTTTCACAGATCCTTTGGCAGCCCTTCTCAAGGACCTCTGTGAGACAAAATCAGAAATGGCTTCCCTGGGGACCAAGAGAGCCCACAAGCCTCTTCCTGCTGCTTCTTCTACCCCTGTATTTTGTTTGACTCTCTAAATTTGTCTCAGCTCCAGGTAAGGTCAAATCCTTCTCCAGTGACCTGGACCTTCGGGTTCCCCAGTGTGGGTATGTGTTCGGGGGTGAATGATTCCCCTGTCACATTTTTATGCTTTGGGCACTCACAGTTTTTTGGCTGTCTCTCATGGCCTGCAAGAGCAATCCACTTCCTTTAAAGGGTCTGTGGATTCTCTCAGCTTTTTTGTTATGTTCCTGCAATAGTTCTTGGACCAAAAGTTCATGATGTGAGTCTCCACACGCTGCTCTGTCCGTCCAAGTGGGAGTTGCAATTTAGTCCTGCCTCCTATCTGCCATTTTTCTTCCCTGCCTTTTTGTTTGTCTTCTTTTGATAAATGTCTGTTCAGATCTTGTGCCCATTTTAAAATCAGATTATTAATTTTTTCATAGTTGTTTGATCTCTTTATATATTCTGGTTATTAATCTCTTTATTTCTTTCTCTTGCCTAATTGCTCTGGCTAGGACTTCCAATGCTGTGTTGAACAAAATTGGTGAAAGTGAACATCCTTATCTTTTTCTGAATCATAGAAGAAAAGCTTTCAACTTTTCTTAGTTTAGTATGATGTTAACTGCGGGTACATCATATTTGGCCTTTATTATGTTGAGATATATTTCTTTTATACCTAATCTGTTGAAAGTTTTTTTTTATGATAAAAGGATGTTAAATTCTACCAAAGCCTTTTCTTCCTTTATTGAGATTGTTATATTATTTTTATCCTTCATTCTGTTAATGTGATGTATCACATTTATTTGTGTATGTTGAACCACGTTTGCATTCCTGGAATGAATCCCACTTGTTTATGGTGAATGAATTTTTTAATGTGCTGTTGAATTTGAATTGCTGGTATCTTGTGGAAGATTTCTGCATCTATGTTCCTCAGGTATATTGTCCTGTAATTTTGTTGTTGCTGAGGTGTCTTTGTCTGGTTTTTGTATCAGGGTAATGCTGGTCTCAAAGAATAAATTGGAAGAATGTCCTCCTCTTAAATTTTTTGTAATAGTTTTAGAAAAATTGGTATTAATTCTTCTTTAAATGTGAGGGAAGCCTTCAGGTCCTGGGCTATTCTTTGAGAAAAAGGTTTTCATTACCGCTTTAACATCAGTACTTTCTATTGGTCTGATTATGTTTCTATTTCTTTCTGATTCAATGTTGGTAGGTTTTATGTGTTAAGAAATTTATTCATTTCTTCTAGGTTTTCCAATTTGTTGGCATATTTGTTCTTAATAGTCTGTTATGAGCCTGTTTATGTGGTATTTGTTGTGGTGTTTCCTTTTTCATCTCTGATTTTGTTTGAGTTCTGTCCCCCCTTTTTTAGTCTAGCTAAAGGTTTATCAATTATATTTACGTTTTCAAAAAGCCAGCTCATCATTTCATTAATTTTTTGTATTTTAAAAAATCTCTTCTGCTCTGATTTTTATTATTTCTTTTTTTTCCATTAATCTTCAGTTTAGTTTTTACTTTTTTAGTTCCTCTACATGCAACATTAGACATTTACTTATGGTCTTTGTGTGTCCGGGAATTGGTGGGTTCTTGATCTCACTGACTTTAAGAACCAAGCTGTGGACCCTTGCGGTGAGTGTTACAGTTCTTAAAGGTGGCGTGTCCGGAGTTTGTTCCTTCTGATGTTTGGATGTGTTCGGAGTTTCTTCCTTCTGGTGGGTCTCGCTGGCTTCAGGAGTGAAGCTGCAGACCTTTGCGGTGAGTGTTACAGCTCTTAAGGTGGCGCGTCTGGAGTTGTTCATTCCTCCCGTCTGGAGTTGTTCATTCATCCTGGTGGTCTTGTGGTCTCGCTGGCCTCAGAAGTGAAGCTGCAGACCTTCATGGTGAGTGTCACAGCTCATGAAGGCGGTGTGGACCCAAAGAGTGAGCAGCAGCAAGATTTATTGCAAAGAGCGAAAGAACAAAGCTTCCACAGTGTGGAAGGGGACCCAAGCGGGTTGCCGCTGCTGGCTCGGGCAGTCTGCTTTTATTCCCTTATCTGACCCCCACATCCTGCTGATTGGCACATTTTACAGACAGCCGATTGGTCCATTTTACAGAGAGTTGATTGGTCTGTTTGGACAGGGTGCTGATTGGTGCATTTACAATCCCTGAGCTAGACACAGAGTGCTGACTGGTATATTTACAATCCTCTAGCTAAACATAAAAGTTCTCCAAGTCCCCACTAGATCAGCTAGACACAGAGCACTGACTGGTGCATTTACAAACCTTGAGCTAGATACAGGGTGCTGGTCGGTGTGTTTACAATCCTTTAGCTAGACACAAAAGTTCTCCAAGTCCCCACTAGATTAGCTGGACACAAAGCACTGATTGGTGCATTTCCAAACCTTGAGCTAGACACAGGGTGCTGATTGGTATGTTTACAAACCTTGAGCTAGACACAGAGTGCTGACTGGTGTGTTTACAAACCTTGAGCTAGATACAGAGTGCTGATTGGTGTATTTACAATCCTTTAGTTAGACATAAAAGTTCTCCAAGTCCCCACCAGATTAGCTAGATACAGAGTGCTGATTGGTGCATCCACGAACCCTGAGCTAGACACAGAGTGCTGATTGGTGTGTGCATATATAATCCTCCGGCTAGGCATAAAATTTCTCCAAGTCCCCACCCAACTCAGGAGCCCAGCTGGCTTCACCTAGTGGATCCTGCACCAGGGCCGCAGGCGGAGCTGCCTGCCAGTCCCACACCACGTGCCTGCACTCCTCAGCCCTTGGGCGGTTGATGGGACCAGGCGCTGTGAAGCAGTGGGTGGCACCCATCGGGAAGGCTCAGGCCATTCGGGAGCCCATTGCCGGGGGGCTCCGGCATGGCGGGCTGCAGGTCCTGAGCCCTGCCCTGCAGGGAGGCGGCTGAAGCCCAGCAAGAATTCAAGCGTGGCGCCGGCAGGCTGCCAGTGCTGGGAGACCTGGTGCCCCCTCTGCAGCTGCTGGCCCGGGTGCTAAGCCCCTCACTGCCCGGGGCTGGTGGTGCTGGCCAGCTGCTCCGAATGCGGGGCCCACCAAGCCCATGCCCACCCAGAACTCGCCCTGTCCCACAAGCACTGCGCACCGCCCTGGTTCCCACCCATGCCTCTCCCTCCACACCTCCCCGCAAGCAGAGGGAGCTGGCTCCAGCCTCGGCCAGCCCAGAGAGGGGCTCCCACAGTGTAGCAGCAGGCTGAAGGGCTCCTCAAGCATGGCCAGAGCAGACGCCGAGGCCAAGGAGGTGCTGAGAGCAAGCGAGGGCTGCCAGCATGTTGTCACCTCTCAATCCCCCCTCTAAATAGGACACCCCAACTGCTGTTGTGAATTTGTCCGATGACCGCTCTAGCTACTTCCTGCTGGATGGGGCAATGAAGGGACCCTGCAGTTGTAGGGTCCTCCAGAGGGGAGCTCTCTAGGCCAGTGAAAGTGCCAGTGGGTCAGTCCAGGGGTCCTTGGTAGAAGTTGTTAGTTGAACTCATTTGGAGTTCCATTTGTAAGACTATCTGTAGCTTGATGGCCTTGATTCTAGAGGAAACAAATTTGAAAAGAAGGCTAAAAATACAGGGCTCAAAGGTGAGTAACAGCAAGATGGCTGCCATGGGACCTAGAAAGGGGAGAAGCCATGTTGCCCAACTCCAGAGGTTGGTATAAGAGTTTGAAAGGCATTGTCTGATTTCAGAAGCCTTTTCCTGTAAACACTGGGTGGCATCTCATACTATCCCTGACTGGTTAGTGTAAAAACAACACTCTTCCCCTAAAAAGGTGCAGAGTCCTCCTTTCTCAGCAGTGAGGAGGTCTAGGCCTTGGCAGTTTTGGAGAGTCATGGCTGCCAAAGAGTCTATTTGGGATTGTAAAGTAAGGATAGATTTTGTTATTTCTTGCAAACTGTCTGAGAAATCCTTTGAGAGTGTGTGGTAGTAGGAAAATGAAGTAGATAAACTGGCTATTCCTGTTTCTGTAGCAGTAGCTATTCCTAACCCTATAAGTAGGGGTATTAGTTGTATGGCTCTGTGCTGACAGACTTGAGCTTTGAGGAGTACTGATAAGGTCTGATTTCCAGGGACAATGTTAATGTTGGGACGTAGAAAGACTAAGGTGCAGGTGCCTGTCCAGTTAGTGGGGAGGCAGATATAGGTCGATGTTCCACATAAGAAGAATATACCTTGGCTGGGTAGACAGAACTAGTTATGCATGTTAAACAGGTGTGTGAGTTTGTTGTTTTCATTTTCCCATACTCCTAGAGTACTTGCCAAGGTAGCTTCAGTGAGTGGCTGGAAAGGGGTGTTGGGAGCAAACTGAGTGGCAAGAAGGCATTCACTAGTGGTGGGGGCGCTGCTGGAGGGTGGGGTCCAGGGGTGAATGGTCATGCAGGGGGTATGTTTGCCATTAGAAAACCTGGACTGTTTGTTAAGCAGGGAGGAGGTGATGATTTTGGGGGGCCCTGAGAAGCAGACAAGCCATCTGAATGGAGCTGTTTGGGTGACTCAGAAGTTACTATGATCAGTTGGGGCTTGAAGTCGTAGGATGTAATTACACTCATGCAGTAGTAGGTGCCCCAGGGGCAGGCCTGATAACAGGTTGCATTGGATGCATAAAGGGGCTTGGAAAGTTAAGATAGTATTCATGGTTACAGGGCCTTGTATGGGTTTTCATTTCTTGTGTAATAGGTGAGGTTGGAAATGTAAGAACGTAAAATTTGGATTGCATGTCATATTAGGGTATTCTTGGTCCATCAGATATGGGGAAGTCAGCTAATGATTGCATATTTAGAAGTCAGAAAGGGTCTTTTTCCTTCATAATGAGGGTGATAGGTTAAGTTGGTAAAGACCCAGTTTTTTGCAGGAATGGGAGTGGCAATGTAGGCAGAAGTTGATAGAGATACAAAGCCAACAGTCATTTGCCAGGGAAGGATTGGACTGGTTTAACAGAGAGCGAGTTAAGTTGAGAGCCTTGTAGAGGTAATTAGGAGCTAGTGGAAGGGGAGGGGTGATTGTGTGAGGTATCCAAGGAAGCAGGAGGGATACATAGGCAAAGAGCAAATAGGAAGGTAAAGAGGGTACTCTGGAAAATGAGATCATTTTATCTAGTCTGAGTTAGAGGTAGGAGTAAATTGCTGTCAAAAGGAAGGAAGATAGAAAGAAGGTTGATGTGATTAGGATTTTCATCCTGGCAGGAGCTACAGTATATAGTCCTATCACAAAGAGTATGGTTAGTATGCTGTTTTCACTTATTTTTTTTAAAGAGGAAGGGGTCTTTCCTCAGGATCAGTGGTAGGGGGCTTTTTAGTCTGGAATATTTCCTTCCGAAATAGGAGGTGCAAGTCCTCTAACGGTTCACAGGTGTATCGAGGCTGGTCTGGCTGATCTTGGGATTCCTGAGCTGATGGTCCCGCAGGTTCCTCAGGGGATGTCCAAAGTTTAACTCGGGTGTGGTGAATCCAAGATTCCACTCCTGCCACCTTAACTGCAGTGGGAGTAGAGAGGATTACCAAGTATGGTCCTTCCCACAAAGAGTCCATAGATGGGGAGGTAGAGGGGAGAGATTTCACCAACACTAGATCTCCTGGTTGAAACAACTCTGTTCTCTTTTCTCTGTGACATCCTTCAGGTAGGTTTTTAAGGTTTTGTTGATATTATGCCAAATGAGTTATATCTTTGACCAAGTTGGCCATTTCCTGATCAAGTAGGAGGTCATTTGTGAGAAAAGGTGGTCCATACAGCATTTCATATGGAGTGAGCCCTATTTTGTGAGAAGAATCTTGGATTCTCAACAGGGCCATGGGCAAAAGAGTAGGCCATGGGAGATGAGTTTCTTGTGTTAGTTTCCTTAAATGCCTCTTGAGTGTTTCATTTGCCTTCTCGACCTTCTCTGAGGGAAGATTTCTTAGTTACTTATTTAACTCCTTACTAGTTATAGGTCTATCCAGATTTTCTATTTCTTTGAAGTTTCATCTTGGTAGGTTTTGCGTTTCCTCAAATTTGTCTATTTTATGTAAGTTATCCAACTTGGTGGCATCCAGTTGCTCATAGTACTATCTTCTGATTCTTTTTCTTCGTGTAGAATTAACAGTAATGTCTTCACTTTCATTTCCAGTTTCAGTAATTTGAATCTTCTCTCTCTTTTTTCTTAGTTCATCTAGTTAAAGGATTGTCCATTTTACTGATCATTTTGAAGAACTCACTTTTGGTTTTGTTGATATTTTTTCTCTTATTTTTCTGTTCTCTCTCTCTCTTTTTTTCCACTCTATCTCTGCTCTAATCTTAATTATTTACTTTCTTCTGCTAGTTTTGGGTTTAGTTTGTTGTCCTTTCCCTAGGTGCTTTCATTGTAAAGATAGATTATTGATTTGAGATATTTCTGGCTTTTTTAATGTAAGCATTTATAGCTATAAATTTTTCCCTTAGCACTGCTTTTGCTGCCTCCTGTAAGTATTGGTATGTTGCAGTCTTATTTTTGTTCATCACTAAGTATTTTCTAATTTCCCTCATGATTTCTTCTTTGATTCATTCGTTTTCTAAGTGTGTGTTGTTTAATCTCCATAATGTCAATTTTTGCTTCACATATTTGATGGTCAGTTATTAGGTGCATAAATGTTTATAATAGATATATTGTTATATCTATTATGAAATATGTTATATTTTCTTGCTGGATTAAATATTATATACAATATCTTTCCTTATCCTGTCTTTTTTTGATTTAAAGTATATTTTGCCTGATATTAGTATAGCCATCCTTGCTTTCTTTTGGTTACTATTTGCATACAATATTCTTTTCTATTTTATCACTTTCAGCGATATGGATATCCTTATGTGGATAGCATATGGTTGGATTTTTTTTTTTATTCTGACAATCTCTGTCTTTTTGATTGTATAGTTTAATCTATTTACATTTAAAGTAATTGCTGATATGAGGAACTTCTGTCATTTTGCTACTTTTTCTTTATGGCTTATAGCATTTTTGTCCCTAGTTTCCTGCATTACTATCTTCTTTTGTGTTTAGTTGAATTTTTGTAGTGAAACATTTAAATTATTTCTTATTTTCTTTTTTGTATGTTGTTTAACCATTTTCTTTATGATTGCCATGAGGATTACACTTAAAATCCTAAGGTTGTAATACTTTAATTTTAATTTATACCGGTTTAACTTCAATAGCATATGAAAACTTTTCTTTTTTAACAGCTCTGTTCTCACCCCCTCAGTTGTTGATTTTATACAATTACATCTTTATACATTGTGTGTTCAGAAACATAAATTAGTCGAATTTTAAATGCATTAGTTTCATAAGTTAGATAATATAAAGTTATAAACTTAATAATATTAGCTTTTAGACTATTTAAAAATATATATTAGTCTCTTAAATCATGTAGAAAACAAAGAGTAGAGTTACACAGCATTGCTTCAATAATACTAGCTTTTATAATTGCCCATGATTTGCCTTTGCTGTGATAGTTATTTCTTTTCATCACTTCAAGTTATTGTGTTGTGTTCTTTCATTTCAGCCTGCAGGATTCCCTTTGGCATTTATCCCAAGGCAAGTCTTGTGATAATGAACTCTCAGCTTTTGTTCATCTGGGAATGTTTTAATTTCTCCTTCACTTTTGAAATAAAGTTCTGCTGGATATAGAATTCTTGGTTGACAGATTTTTTTTTTCCTTTTAGCTCTCTGAATATATCAGCCCACTGCCTTCTATCCTCCAAAATTTCTGATGAAAAATCTACTAATAATGTATTGAAGATCTGTTATATGTGAGGAGTCACTTCTCTCTTTCTGCTTTCATGGTTCTTTGTCTTTCAGCAGTTTGATCATCATGTGTCTCACCATAGGGCTTTTTATCTTCATTGTACTTAGAGTTGGTTGAGTTTCTTGGGTGTTTATATCTTTCATCAGGCTTGAAGTTTCACCTACCACTTCAACTATTCTGTATGCCCCTTTGGCTCTTTCTCTCTCTTCTTCCTGGAACTTATTATTAGTAAATTGGTCTGCTTAATGTTGGCCTACAGGTCCCTTAGCCTCTGTTCACTTTCCTTCTGTCTTTTTTGCTTTCCTGTTGCTCAGACTAAGTAATTTCTACTGTTCCAACTTTAGGTTTGCTGATCCTTTTCTCTGCCTGTTCAAATATGCCTATGGACCTCTTCTAGTAAATTTTTCATTTCAGTTATTGTACTTTTTAGCTCCAGAATTTCCTTTCGGTTTCCTATTACATTTTCTGTCTCTAATATTTCCATTTTGTTCATACATAATTTTATTGATTTAGCTTCAGAATTTCCTTTTGGTTTCTTATGTTTTCTATCTCTAATATTTGCATTTTGTTCATACATAATTTTATTGACTTTCTCTACTTCTCCACATCTTCCTCTAGTTCTTTGAGCATTTTTAAGCTAGCTGTTTTTGCCTACAAAATCCATCATCAGGTCTTTTGACAGGGACAGTTTCTGTTGATATTTTTTTCCTTTGAAAGGGCTATACTTTCCTATTTCTTTGTATGCCTTGTGATTTTCTGCTGTTGAACACTGAATATTTGAATCTAACAATGTGGTAACTCTGGAAATTTAATTATCTTTCTTTGCCAGTGTTTGCTGTTTTTGTTTTTAGTTATTGTAGGCAGTCTCTGGCCATAGTTCAGCCTGAGGTATAAACTTAAGGCTTTTTTGCTAATCCTTTGGGATATCTGTCTTTGGGAGGCATGGTGACTTTCTACTTATGCCTCATATGTATGGTTGCTTTTGAATGACCTAGTCTTCAATATCTGGGTCCCTGTCAGGGAAAAGAAAAAATAGAGAAGGGGGCACTGCAAATAAAGGAGGTGGCAAAGCAAAGCACTAGATCATTAAATACTATGAAAGTCATTTCAGCCAGAGGAGGAGGGTCTTGAAACAATGTAGTGGGGAGGTGTAACAACATTGGCTGTCATCTCTTTGTCTATATCTCTAAGATGAGAACACAGATCTTCACTGTTGGAAGGACATTGTACTTTTGCCCACCTTGGCTCCCACAAACTGTGCAAGCTACTCCAGGAAAACATGCACAGCTGTCTCCTACAGGAATGAGGAGTGGAGAATTAGGAGTAGCTACTAATTTGCTAAGAGCTGAAACTAGCTGAAATTAATTGTAATTTATTGTCTAAAGCTTCCTTTGGAAGTTACATGCCTTCAATAGACTTCAGTTTCAACATTTTTACATCAGACAGATTCTACCAGTGTAATTGTTGTCTAGGTGGGAAGACAGATTTCTGGTCATTCCTACTCTGCATCTTCCCATAATTCTATGTTAATTGACTTTTGCATGATGAACTAATCTCACATTCCTGAAAAAATTTCACTTGATCATGATGTATTATTATTTCTACATACTGATGGATTTAATTTGCTAAAATTTTATTTATAACTTTTGCATTAATATTTATGAGGATAGTAATTGATAGTTCACTTTTTGTAATGTTTTTACCTGATTTTAACATCAATTTAGTAATAACCTCATAGAATGACTTGGGAAGTAGTCCATCCTTTTCAATTTTCTGGAACAGTTTGTATAGTATTTGTATTACTTAACCAGTGAAGCCATGTGAGCTTGGGGTTTTCTTTATGGGAAGGTTTTAACTACAAATTTAATCTAAGTGGTCAAATGTATTGAGATAAATTTATTTATAATATTCCCTTATTAGGTTTTTAATATTACTAGAGTATGTAGTAATGTCTTCTATCTAATTATTGATACTACTTGTTTGTATCTTTTCTTTTTCTTTTCCTAATCTGTCAAGCTTGAGATTTATCACTTCATCTCAAAGAACCAGCTTTTCATTTTATTGATTTTTTTCCTATTTTCTATTTCATTAATTTCTTATCTGAAATTTACTTTCTTCTGCTTCCTTCAGATTTAATTTGTTCTTCTTTCTCTAGTTATCTAAGATGGAAGCTGAGGTCATTGATTTGAAGCTTTTCCCCTCTTCTAATGTTGACATTAATGCTATAAAATTATGGCATCTCACAAATTATATATAGTCTTTTCATTTTCATTAATCTCAAAATACATTTTAATTTCCCTTTTGATTTCTTCTTTGACTTGTGTTATTTAGAAGCATATTATTTAGTTTCCAATTATTTGAGTGATTTTCCATAAATCTTTTTGTTACTGGCTTTTAATTTCATTTCATTGTAATGAAAGAACATACTTTGTGTTAGCTGAATATTTTTTAATTTCTTGAGGCTTTTTAATGGCCCACAGTATTGTCTATTTTGATAAATATTGCTTGTTCATCTGAAAATATCTCTTCTATTATTGTTTAATCTTCTATGGTCTTCAACTACGTCAAATAATGAGGGAGGTATTCAAGTCTGCAATATCCTTACTGATTTCCTGTCAGTTTTATCAACAAATGTGAGAGGAGTATAGAAATATCCAACAATAATTGTGAATATGCTTATTTATTCTTGCAGTTCTATCCATTTTTGTTTTATGTGTTTTGAAATTCTGTCACATGGTGCATAAACCTCTATGATTATTTCTACTGGATGAAATGACCCCTTTAGCATTATAAATTAACTTCTTTCATTCCTAGTAATCTTTACTTTGCAATCTATTTTCTTTAATATTAGTATTACCACTTCAGCTTTTTAAAAACTATTATCAGCGTTGCATATTTTTCCTCCTTTTATTTTAAATCTACTTCTGTCTTTATATTTGAAATGTGTTTCTTATAAGCA
This sequence comes from Homo sapiens, assembly GCF_000001405.40. Lineage (NCBI taxonomy): Eukaryota > Metazoa > Chordata > Mammalia > Primates > Hominidae > Homo > Homo sapiens. The sequence goes on along the minus strand of NC_000001.11, from coordinate 181,824,826 downwards.
GCATAAAGTTGAGCCTTAAATTTCATTTTAATCTGACAGTCTCTCCTTTTAATTGGTGTATTTAGACCATTTAATATAATTCTTGAAATGTCTAGTTTTAATGTATCATGTTGCTAGTGTTTTCTGTTTCCCATCTGTTTTTCATTTTCTTCTTTTTTCTGCCTTCCTTTGGATTAAGTTAGTATTTTTACAATTCCATTTAGTTTTTTATTGGTTTATTCACTATAACTCTTTGCTTTGTTATTGTAGTGGTTGCCTTAGGGTTTGTCATGTATGTCTTTAACTTATTCTTTGTCTATTTTCAAGTGATAAACCACTTCTAACAGGATATAAGACACTTATAATACTACACTTTCATTTCTCCCCTCATTTCAGGAGGGGAGACTTACAGTAGACTTACACTAGTAAGTCTATTTACTTACAATAGACTTACAGTAGTACACTTTTCATTTCTCCCCTCCTGAAATGAGAAATGAAAATTGTACTACTGTAAGTCTCTTGTCATAAATTTTACTTTTACAGATGTTGTAAAAATACATTATTTCTTTGATTTAAAACTTTATCTTTAACAAATATTTAAATAATAAAAATACTATACATTTACACATGTAGTTATTTCCAGTGCTTTTCATTTTTTTTGTGTGTAAATTCATATTTCTATCTGGGGTCATTTTCCTTTTGCCTGAAGGACCTCCTTAAACATTTATCTACTGTGTCTTTCAGCTTTTGTACATCTGAAAGAAACTTTACTTAACCATCATTTAAAAAAAAAGTTTCACATTTTAAAAAATTTAGTACTTTAAAGATGTTAAGCCATCTTCTCTCTTGCAATGCTTCCAATAAGAAATCAGCTGTCATTCTTTTATTTGTTACTTTGTCTATTGACTTTTTATTTGCTGCGGTAACAAATTACAAGAATCTTAGTAGCTTAAAACAGTACAAATTTACTTCCTTTCAGTTCTGGAGGTCAGAAATCTGAAATGGACTCATGAGCTACATTCTTTTCTGGAAGCCCTAGGGGGAAACTTTTTTTTTTTTTTTTTTTTTTACCTTTCCCAGATTGTAGAAACCTTTCACATTTTTGGCTCCTGGTCCCCTCTTTTGTCTTCAAAATCAGCAACATTAGGCCATGTCCTTCTCACACTGCCATCTCTGGTCCTCTCTTTTGCCTCCCTCTTCCACTTCTAAGAACTCTTGTGATTACATTGGGCTCACTCAAATCAACCCAAATAACCTCTCTGTCTTAAATTTAGCTGATTAGCAAACTTAACTTTCTCTTCTCCCTTGATTCTTTCTTGCCATGAAACCTAACATTTATAGGTTCCAAGGGTTAGGACATGGATATCTTTAGGAAGAAATTGTTGTGCACACCACACTCTGTATGTATTATGTCTTCTTTTCTCTAGATGCTTTTGAGATTTTCTTATATCACTGACTTTGAGCAATTATATGCTATCCCTTGGTGTATATCTACCTCTGTTTCTTGTGTTTGTGTGGTTCATTTTCTTGCGTTTGTGGTTCATTTAGCTTCCTGGGTGAGCTTATAGTTTTTATCAACTTTGGAAATTTTTCAACCATTATTTTAAAAATATTTTTTCTGTCCCTCCACCTTAAAAAATTCAAGTCGCACTTTAGTTTGGCTTCATAAAGTTGGCCCAAAGATCACTGATGCTCTATTCATATTTTTTAATTTTGTTTTTTGCATGTTTTCTATTTACTATGTATGTTTTAAAATCACTAGTCTTTTCTTCTGTAAAATCTAATCTGCTATTAATCTCACCCAGTTTATTTTTCATCTCACACTTCGTAATTTTCATCTCTAGTAGCTCAATTTGGGTAATTTTAATGTCTTCTATGTCTCTTCTTAATGTTTTGAACATACATAACACAGTTATAATAATTGTTTCAGTGTCCTTGTCTGCTAATTCTAACATCTCTGTCAGTTCCAAGTCAGCTTCAATTTTACTAATTTATCTCATGAGTTGTATTTCTTGCTTCTTTGCCTCATGAAAATTTTTGATTAGATGTTGGACACTTTACATTTTACTTTGTGGGGCACTGCATATTTTTGTATTTCAATTAATATCCTTGAATTCTGTTCTGGGTTGTTTTTATGTTACCTGGAAATAATTTGATCCTTTAAAGTTTTGTTGTTAAGATTTGTAAGGCAGAATTAGAAATGTTTTCCTATAACTAATTGTTCCCTATTATGAGTTAAATACCTTTTGGGAAATATACCAAATACCCCATTAATCTGGTTTTTCATTCTAGTTTCTTGCATTGTCTTATCACCAGACATTGTTACCTGTAATCATTTGAAATCATTCTTCCCAGCTATGGTTAGTTTTTTCGTATGCATGGGCTGATCAGTATTCAGTTCAATTCTCAAGGGGAAATCGCTACAGAGCTCCAGGGTTCTCTTTGAAGCTCTTTCCTTTCTGGTACTCTATTCTGCCAGTGTGAACTTCCATGGTCTCCCACAACCTCTCCTCTCCTCTCCTCTCCTCAGCTCAAGGACTTCACTGGGCTCCATATGGGCCCCCTTCTCCCAGCCCTTAAACCATGGCCTGCAAACTTTCTCAAGAAACTGTGCTGGGGCAATCATAGTACTCACTTCATTTGTTTCCTGTGTCTCAAGGATTACTCTTCTTCATTGCCAGATATGCAGTGTCTTACAAACCATTGTTACCTATAGATGGTCCTTTTTTTTTTTTTTTTGGTTGTTTGAAGTTAAACATAGACCCTATTATTCCATCTTGGATGGAAGCAGAAGTTTTTATAGCCTCACTTTTTGGAAGTAGAATTATTTTACATTTAGGGGTAGGGGGGAGGAATGAAATTCTAGAAGTCATATGGGCTGCCCTAGAGGAAAATACTGTTCTCTAGCATTTCTCAGCAGCAGACATTATTTGGCTTCTCTTTTACTAGCAGACTCTGTAGTATCCAGATTGGATCCTCCATCTGCTTTTGTGTAATGCTGCAACTTTCTGGGAATCATGCTTCCTGGTTGTATATTGTGGGTAGAGAGCTAGAGTGAGCCTAATATTGATAACTAATGAGATAGCAACACAGCATTTCATTATAAAATATCCTCCAGAAAGAATATTAGAAAAATCATTCAGAAACATCTCTTTCTGATATATCTGGATTACACAGGCCTGTAGCATAGATGAAGGGCAAAATTATTCAAATAGTATTCTTATAGTCCCCAGTCTTTTCCCCCTGCTCAACAATAGTTTATTCAATAATTGTATTTAAGGGATATGACCAGAGATACTTATTCATCATCCATGTATCCACTAAATAAATATTTATTGAGAACTTATAATGTGGCAGGAAGTAGCTGGCACTTTCACCCTCTCAGGTTGTATATATGTGCCTCTTTATAGCATTTTAAACCTTATTACTCTTTCCTATGTCCTAGAATTATGTATATGAATGTTTATGTTCTCATCTGATTTGTAAGCTTATTTCATTCAAAGTCCCTTCCTTATTTGACATCTGTGAATCCCTCATAGCCCTTAGCACAGTTCCTAGAATCTAGAAAGGTCTCAATAAATTATTGCCATTTGAAATGAACTTTTTTAAAAAACTTATTTCCATAAGTTTTTGGGGAACAGGTGGTATTTGGTTACATGAGTCAGTTCTTTAGTGGTGATTTGTGAGATTTTGGTGCACTCATCACCTGAGCAGTATACACTGAACCTAATTTGTTGTCCTTTATTCCTTACCCCCTTCCCACCCTTTCTCCCCAAGTCCGCAAAGTCCATTTTATCATTCTTATGCCTTTGCATCCTCATAGCTTAGCTCTCACTTATAAGTGAGAACATATGACGTTTTGTTTTCCATTCCTGAGTTACTTCACTTAGAATAATGGTCTCCAATCCCATTCAGGTTGCTGTGAATGCCATGAATTCATTCCGTTTTATGGCTGAGTAGTAATGAACTTTTAAATACACATCTGCATTTGTGGTTTTAATATGTAGATATATACCCTACTTGTATGTGCGTGCATTTGCTACTTACAGCCTTATAGCTTTCGCACAGGAAACAATTTTAAGGAGACAGTATGGTTCTTTCTAAAAGTCATTCCTTCTAAACAGTAACAGTTGCTGCTCTGCAAGTTTGATCAAAACAAGGCAAGAGTGCCCTAAGAGGCCCTAGTTGGTGAGTTTAAAAGGAAGAGGGTTTTATTTCTTATAAATATGAATACTTGTAAAAGGAAGTTTTTTTACAAGTATTCATATTTAATACTCGTGCTTGGAAATTATGATGCTAATCATTTACAGTGAAGGACATAGCCATTCCTATGGATGCACTACAGCTTTAGGCTGAAAGGTAGCAAGAGGAGTGCAGACATATACAAATATTACCCATTTCCCCCGATACATTTCAGCTCAGACTGAATGATAACAAATGAGAAAACTTTTCAGCAGAGGTTATTTTTACCTTTATTTAGGCCCTATTGACTTCTCCATTTAGTTATTTGATAAATTTTACCAGGGCTGGGAATCAGTTTTTGGTCTCTACCTTTATCTTTTCTGTAATACTCCTCTGCACACATTCAGGTCTATATCAATGAATCTCAGGCTCACAGGGAGGGCTGATCATTGTCCAGGGTAAAAGGACTTTGGGGAACACCAGGATGGGTTTATTGCTTGAAACTAATTCTAAATCTATAGAGTTAGAGGTGCACATCAAAACCTCTCTCAAGACATGAGGCTGTCATTATTCTTATCCCCAAAATATTACAAGAAAAAAAAACTATAGACCAATATTTCTCATAACCATAAATGTAAAAATCCTTGATAAAATATTAACAGATTTGAAGTAAGCAATTTATAAAATTAACCCAACAATATTTGAAAGGATTTAATACAATCCAGATAATAATCATAACAGGCTACTGTTGAGGAAATTGACAAGGTGATTCTACAATTTATGTAAAAATACAAAGAACTAAGAATAGTCAAAACAATTTTGAAAAAGAAAATGTTGGGCTAACACTATTTGATTTCAAGATTTATTATAAAACTACCAAGACAGTATGGTTGGTATAAATATAAACTTATAGAATAATAGAACATTATAAATATTCCAGAAACAGACCCACATGTATATGGTCAGTTGATTTTTGTTTTAACAATCCAATATAATTGAATGGAATAAGTTTAGTCTTTTGCTTTTGTTTCTGTTTTAAGGGTGCTAGAACAACTTGATATCCATATGGGCTAAAAAGGAGCTTCAATTCTTAATACCATAAACAAAATATACAAAATGTTTGTCCTATAAGAAAATATAGGAGAAAGTTATCATGGTAGGCCAGCAAACTTTCATCTGTAGTCTCCTTGTGGTAGGCAGAATAATGGCCTTCTGAAGATGTTCACATCTAATTCCTCCAACCTGCATGTTACATTATTACACGGCAAAAAGGAATTAAGGGAGAGGGTGGAATTAAGTTTGCTTATTGGTTTACCTCAAAATAGGGAGATTATCCTGGATTATTTGAGTGGGCCAAATGTAAAACCAAGGGTATTTAAAAGCAGAAAAGGGAGGCAAAAGAGAGAACCAGACAGATAGCAGTATGAGAAGGACATGGCCAGATGTTGCAGACTTTGAAGACAGAAGAGCAGGCCATGAGCAAAAGAATGTGGGAGGTCTCTAGAAGCTAAAAAAGGAAAGGAAATGCATTCTCCCCTAGAGTTTCCGGAAGGGAATACACCCTGCTTACTTGTTGACCTTTGCCAGGTAAGATCCATGTTGGCTTTCTGCTCTATAGAAGTGTAAGATAACAAAATTTGTGTCACTTTAAGCCACTAAATTTTTAGAAATTTGTTATAACAGCAATAGAAAACTAATATACTCCTGCTGAAGACAAACTATTGAGCAGATTCTAATACAGACATGGCCATGTTCTGTGCCATATGACTCCTAATCCCAATTTAGCTGCAGCTAATTTATGCCTGAAAGACATCTCAAATAAAAGCTGCCCATCTATAGTTTGGCCAGTAGCCCATTAAATGTTGCTTAAATTGGGTTAATCAGGGTTTTTTTACCCCCCCTTGAGCTTTTGAACTCTGCGATATGAGAGAATCAGAATTACATAAAAAAAAGAAGAAAGAAGTGGAAAGACCAGGGGGAATCAGCCATGGGGAGAGTAGCTGAGTCATGCTGATGGTGTGGGCTGGGGATACGGGGTTGCCTTGAATGGATGCCTGCTTCTAAGGGGTCAGTTGTTAGCCTATCTGCCAGGTCACCAGAATTCTGCAGACTACAAACTTTTTCCAGTCTCAGTGGCATCTGGTCATATGGTCAAGATTACTGCTATTCTTATGTCCAGAGATAGCCTTATGAAATTTCCTCCAGTACTAGTGCTAACCTGAGTGGATGTAGCTATTCTTTGCAAGCAATAGAGCTTAAGTAATGCTAGTATCTAGAATTTCAAAGGCTCTGAATGGTGGGTGATTGTTTGGAATACTTATGCTTTGTTTTTATTTTAGTTAACGAAAGGCCTAAGAAGCTATAACAAAGACCTCAAAGCATAGGAGTTTGAACAAGTTATAGGTTTATATATTTCCTCATTTAACAATCCAAAGTTAGGCAGCCAGTCATCATAGGTCAGACAGTACTACCTTACCCTACACGATCATCCAAGAACTTTGTTTCCTTCTACCTGGCTGCTTCCCCATCCCTTGGGCATATGTTCCACCCTCACCTGCTCCCATTTGGCTTACCAGCACCATATCTGCCTTCTAGCCCAAATAAAGAAGGGAAGAGGAAAAAGTCGATTGTAAGCATTTCTTTTTAAGAAAGTTGTATGTATCACTTGCACTTTTGTTCCCAGACCAAAATGAGGGTCAGGCTGCTTATTCTCGTGGCCCAATAATGAGATGCAGATGAACTGGGAAAGAAGAGAGTTTATTTCTGTAACCAGGTACAGGGAGAAGGCCTGGAAAATACTGCCAGAAAAACTCAAAAATGACAAAGTTTTCCATAGCTTATATACCTTCTAAGCTATATGTCTATGTGCAAGTGTGCATTTATCTAAAGACATAGTGATTAATTTCTTTTAATCTATAACCAAGATCTGAGTCCTGAAGACCTCCTTCTGGATCCTTAGTAAATTTACTTAACCTAAATGTGTCCAGGTGCTGGGGTGATTACCCTTATCTTGTCTTCTGCTAAATTATGGAGGTTTGGGGAGTTCCTTCAGACCCCCAGTAAACTTGTTCGTGGAAGTCTGGAGAGTTTTTTCAAAACCCCAGTAAAACTCGTTTAATTCTAAACGGGCCCTGTTAAGAATTCCTTCATTGTCTTGTTATCTTAGTTATCGTGTAAGGCCCAGGAAAGGTGTGGGCAAAACTCTTGGTGGGCTTTTGTTACATTCCAGCCTTTGTGTAAGGGCACTGGCTCTATCAGCTTTTAATATTTAACTTAACCACTCAGTCAGTGCTGAATCAGTTGTTATGGAGGCCTGCATTAGTAAGACCAGGCCTGCCACACTTTGATTCCACTGGTGAAAACTTAATGACTGTCTACATCTAGCTCCAAGGTGGGCTGGGCAATGCTGTCTCTGGTTTGGTAGTCATGTGACCTAAAATACCAGTGAGAAAATTCTGTTCTTAGAAGAAGAAGGGAGAACAAATATTGGGAACAATCATCAGTTCCTTCCATGGTTTCTAATGTTCCTCTGAAAATATTATTACTCTATGCTAGGTCCCTGTTGTGTCAGAAATAAAAACTGTTGAAACATTAACACAGTCCTTGCCTTTGTGTAGCTTACATTCTAGTAGAATGGATTGACCAATTATAATTTGGTGTGATTCTATAATATGGCGATAACAGGGAAAGTACAAGGTACTATGGGAGTACATAGAAGAAGTGCTCCACCCAGACTTATTTGCCATTGGGGAAGATTTTTCGCCTCAGCTCCTCCTGAAGGTTGAGTAGGAAGCTGGCAAAAGATAGTTGGGAAAGATTTTCAAGGTAAATAAAATGCATGCCTCAGTCCGGAGGTGAGAGAAAGCATGTTGCAATAAAGAAACTGAAAGGTCAGTGACTCTTTTATATCACTCTAGCATATTCTAAGTGAATCATCCATTTCCTTCAATTAAACATTTTAGTACCTATTATGTACTAAGTACCATTCTGGGCACTGGCAAACTTAAATGACAGAAAACCTTGTTTTTAAGCCAAGAACTGCCATTCGGTAGCTGTGTGAACTTGAGTGAATAAGTTACCTCTCTGAGCTTCTTTTTTGTTTCCTTTTCATTCATTAAATAAGATTAGACTATCTCTATTTTTTCTCCCAGGTAAAACATCCGATCATGAATAATTTCAAAGATATCTCATTCTAACCACATTCTTGATGCATACTGAACTGCTGGCAGAGTATATGTACAAATACAAAATCTCACAGCCTTCAGAGTCATGAAGGATTACCCTAGTAGAAGGTCAGAATATATAGGATTACTTTATATACAATAAGATTAGCAAACACTGATTGAGAACCAGCTCTGTCCTAAATATTGTGCATATTAATCTATTTAATCCTTGTAAGAATCATATGAGGTAGGAACAATGATTGTCTTCATGTTTCCCATGGAAATGACTTTCCCAGGGTCAGGAGGTAGTGAAAGCAATATTTGAACCCAGCCAGTTTGGCCCCAGAGTCTTTGCTCTTAGTTGCTATACAAAATTGGCATAGTAATAAATAAATGGCATAAATAAATACATGGCATATTAATATTGTACACCAGGGTCATTTAGTCTCCAAGTAGTAAATCTCCCTCTTTATTCCTCATTCTTTCATATTGAGTTCTTATAATATTTAGTACTGACTGGACAGTCATTACTATACAAAGTAAATGTCCTGTAAATGGGTGAAATTAGTAAATAAATTGATTAAGACAATGCCTAAAATTTGATTATGTTTTTGAGGTGATGAAAACATTCTAAGGTTGTCAGTGGTGATAGTTGCACAATTCCATATAATAAAAACCATTAAATTGTAATTATACATGGATGCACTGTGAGATATGTGAATTGTATCTCACTAAAGTTGTTAAAGGACAAAAATGTTAAGGCAAAACTCTACAATTCATGAATAAAGAATGTTTTATTGAAAAAAAATGCTTTTCTTTGAAACATATGCAACCCAGTCTGTAGGAACTGTGGCTCAAGAAGTTGGTTATCATACTCAGCTCCAGCTGTTATAACACATTACCACAGACTGGGTGGCTTAAACAACATTTATTTCTCACTGTTCTGGAAGCTAGGAAGTCCAAGATCAAGATGCAGCAGATACGGTGTCTGGTGAGGGCCTGCTTCCTGGTTTGCAGGTGGCCATCTTCTTTTTTTTTTTTTTTTTCACATTTTTTCAAAGCAGCTTTATTAAGATATAATTTACATACCATAAAACCTATTTTATTTTATTTTTTCTTTTTTTTATTATACTTTAAGTTTTAGGGTACATGTGCACAACGTGCAGGATTGTTACATATATATACATGTGCAATGTTGGTATGCTGCACCCATTAACTCGTCATTTAACATTAGGTATATCTCCTAATGCTATCCCTCCCCCCTCCCCCCACCCCACAACAGGCCCCGGTGTGTGATGTTCCCCTTCCTGTGTCCATGTGTTCTCATTGTTCAATTCCCACCTATGAGTGAGAACATGCAGTGTTTGGTTTTCTGTCCTTGCAATAGTTTGCTGAGAATGATGATTTCCAGCTTCATCCATGTCCCTACAAAGGACATGAACTCATCACTTTTTATGGCTGCATAGTATTCCATGGTGTATATGTGCCATCTTCTTGTTGTGTTGCTTATGTGGTGGAAAGAGTACTAGCTACCTTTCTGGCCTTTCCTTGTAAGGGTATTACAGTGGTTTGATTGATGGTGCCACTCCAAAATTCATGTTAAAACTTAACCTCCAATACAAAAGTATTAAGAGGTGTGGCCTTTGGCAGGTCACATCTGCCATGAAGTCATGAGGGTGGAGCACCCTTATAAAAGGGCTGGAGGTTGAAGGGAGCACTCTCTTGCCCTCCTGCCTTCTGCCATGTGAAGACACAGCTACTAGATGCCATCCTGTAAGAGACAGCAGCCCTTACCAGGCACCAATGCTGGTGCCTTGATCTTGGACTTCACAGCCTCCGCAACTCCAAGAAATAAATCTCTGTTCTTTATAAATCACTCAGTCTATGGCATGTTGTTATAGCAGCACAAGTTGACTAAGACGGATACCCATCCCATTTATGAGGGCTCTACCCTCCAGATCTAATTAGCTCCCATTGGCCTCACCTCTAAATACCATCACACTGGAGTTAGAGTTTTAACATATGAATTTTGGGGAGACACAAACATTCAGTCCATTGCATCAATCATACCAATGTTTTGAATGGATTGTCTCCACATCTCCACTTGGCTTCAATTTATTGTCACCATTGCTAAAACAATTCCCAGTCCACACCTGGAAGGTAAGAGGAATGGATGCTTTCTCCCTCCATATTCTGGATGGGGCCCTTTTCACAGGGTGAAAGATTCCACAAAGATTCCACAAAGATTGTGGAAATCTTTGTGCTTTTCTGTGGGTCTGTGGGTCTCCTCCGTTCACCTCACCCAGTTCTAATGATAGATGCTGCATGGGAGGAGATGGGGTGGGGATGAGGATCTGGGTTCAGTTCTGGATGATGCACTTTAAAAAGACAGTAATGTTGTAAATCACACCTGGAGGAGAACTAGGAGTTTGGAAAGGGGGCTTGACACCTGAATAAATTAGGGATGTATAGCCTAGGTAGGTCTTGATAACTTTTTCCAAATATTTGAAGAATTGTCTTCTGGAATAGGAATTAGACTTAGGTAGCTCCAGAGGACAAGTCTATGAGCATTATTAGATAAAAGTCACATGGAGGAAGATTTCTGAAGACTAGCAGTATGCGTTCAGATATAAAAACAAAAAATAAAATGGGAGAAGACAGACACAGAATAAAACAACATGAAACGGGTCGCATCCCAAATTGCCAGCTTTTTAGTTAAAGCCAGCTTAAAATACCACATTAGAAAGCTTACCCTTTGCCCTGAAATTTAAGGACTGATTCTATATGCTATGGAAAAACCAGAGATGAGGCATACTGACATGAAATGCCTTGGGTCCAATTCTATAAACTGCAAATTTGGGAGCCTGAATTGTTTTATTATGTCTAATCTCAGGTACCTTTAAAATTAACATCCCCTGCCCTGGCTGAATCAGTGTGAGGTCTCGGAACCTTGTATACAAAAGCAGACTGGCTCAAAGCAGCTGGTGCTTCTAAGAAACTTCTCAAGAAGGAAAACAAGACATTACAGCTTCTGTTCCTTTGAAGCTGGCATCAGCTACTCACAGAAAAGAAATGCCAAACCCTATAAATATGGCTACATCTAGTGAAGTCTCTATTTTCTTTTTGTCAAATATTTTCTGAAATGATATTTTCGAGAAGGATAACATGATCAGACAGTCGCAAGGAAAGGGACCATGTAATCCCGAAATGCTATAAATGAAAATAAATTTGAACCAGGAGTGGAGTGCATATTTGAGGCTTTATTTTAGACCAGGTTGCAGTTGCGTATTGTGTGGCTTCAGGCAACATAGACTTCTTATCCATAAAATGAGCTGTAATTAAATCCCTGCTTTCCAAACATAGGTCCTTGGACCATGTATAATCAGAGTCATCTAAGGTGCTTATAAAATTGCAGAATTTGGGACCCTACCTAAGACATATGGATGGAATCAGATTTTTGCAATAGAACCCAGACATTTACATTTTCAATAAGCAGCCCAGGGGGTTCTGATACACACTGAAGTTTGAGAACTACTGGATCAGGTAGTTACTAATATCCCTTTCATCCTGCACATTTTCTCATTCAATGATTTTTCACCAACTGTGGAGAACCTGGAACAGCATTCAAGCCAAAATTTGGCCTTGCATCTTACTCTTTGTGAGGAGAGCAAAGATGACCAATTGTTGGTTTGCAGTGAACTAAGGGGATTCCCAGGTTGTAGGATTTTCCATTTTAAAACCAGGACAGTCTGGGTAGACTGAAAATGAATCAGTCACACCACGAGGACCCAGTTACGGTGGCTTCTTATTGCAGTGCAGAGACCTACCGGTTCACAAAATTACCAGTAATTCTCTGTCCAGCGTGCATTCAAAACAAGCTGAGGATTATTTTCCCGGACACTCTGTTTAGCAAAAGGTCAAGCTGCCTTTGTTTACCCCCTGGCCTGAGGATCAGGTCAGAAACCATGTTGCTCACTCTACAGTCCATTTGCTCCCAGTGAAGATGGAGGTGGGTGGTCTTCAGTCTCCGAGGAGTTGTCAAGGAGGTTTTAATCGGCCACTCCCAGCCATCTGTACAGCTCTTAAGATCGGCAAACGTGAGTCACCTCTGCTGCATCCATGCAAACCACCCATGGAGAGTTCGACCTCCGCCTATTTCTAGAGAGGCATTTAACGAAGACTGACCTAATTCAAGCAAAAATAGGTCTTGATTAGTGTGTGACTAACCTGCTTATTTCTCTAATTAAAAAAGAGCCTTTCTTCTATGCTTAGTGACTAGATTGTGATGCTTGATAATGGTAAAGTTGCCAGTTACCATTTTTCTCCTTTTTCTTCTCCTTCCTCTTCCTCTCTTTTCCATACCTTTTTTTCTCTCTCCCTCTCTTAAAAAAAAAACAAAACAACAACTTATGCTGGTATCCAATTATGCTGCCTGAGAACCTCTGTTATTTCCTCAATCTTGCAGAGCAGCTGCCATTCAGAACTCTAGTTATTGCCCAAGGTTAAAGTCATCTCTTCCCAGTTCAGATCTGAGCGGCAGCTGCTTCTCCCTACAGACACGAATTCAGTGTGCAAAGACCCACCTGGCACCAGGAACTCCTTGTTAGCTCAGCTACTCCACTGCTAGCCGAGGGAGCATTACCAATCTCCCCAAGAAGCACTCATGCCCATACAACATCGCTTATTTTAAATTGATTCTAAGAATCAGGGAGTTATTTAAAACTTCTTTGAAACTGTTCACAATTACAGTCTATCTATGGAGACCCTCTCCTTTATTTTTATGACGCACACCACATTGAACAAAAGAAAAGTGATTGAAAAAGATAGTTTCCAAATGCCTGGAAAATAAGAAAGGTGATCTGATAGGTCTGGGGCAGAAATATAACAGGGAAATAGAGTCCCAGGCAAAGGGACTTAATACAAGAGAGGACTTTAAGTAGAACTGGTTAACCAGTTTTACCACAGCCACTAGTTTGCTTCTCCTTAGACAAATATTTGAGGTGAGTTTCACTTTAAGATATGCTCCTGGAAATTGTTCATGCATCAATTTATTAACACAATCCTATTTTTAAGGGACCATTATTGTGTTTTAATGAAGCAAAGACTGCTTTGATGACATACATCAAGCTTCTATAATTTATCTCAACCACTGGCCATGATTCTATCAGAGGATTTTCTTACTAGAAAATGAGACTGTGGTCTGATTTCTTTTGGTCCTTGGCTCATCCTGTGAGAAATGTTCTGAAGAAGCTGAAGATGTTCATTACAGAGCTGTATATGCCCTTAAAGGAAACTTGAAAGGTATCGTACGGACGGTCCCTTGGGTCTCTCAGGGCAGTGCAGAATCAGCAGGGAACGTCTGAAGGCTTCACTAGGGCTGGTCAAACTGACTGCCTTCCACTGGTGGGTATAGACATGTGGAGCTTATGTTGCTGAAAGAATTAAATGAGACCCTCTGTGGTAGGCTAAAAATGGGGGAGAAAATCAGGTCTCCAGAGGGTCTGGTGTGACCTTTACTCATTCATGTTTTCACTTTTAGCTGTGTACCCTCTCATGCAGAATTCAGTGGCCAGAAGCTTGTATCTTGGTCTTGGATAATACAGTTATCTCTGTATTTTGAGTTTCTTCCTTATTCAGGTAAGTAAACCTGGTTTGGTTTTATCGATGTGTTGTCTGTGCCTAATCTCCCCATGATTTAATACTTGCCATTGCTGTTTGCCAATACAGGGATGGTGTGAAGGCTAAACTCTGAGAAATGGCTTGTAAGCTCTCCCTTCACTCTCCAGCCTGTCCTTTAACAAGCTCTCTCAAATATCTGCTCTTGAACTAGAGCAAGATACCTCCTCCTGCACCTCTACCTGACATCTTCGCCCCATCCTTATGGCCCAGCCAACCCTTGTTATTCTTTAGGTTTTGTCTCAAATAGCAGTTCTCCCTGGAAGCCATTTCTGACTCCCCAAGTTGTTTTAGGGGCTTCCATAGTACCCTGAAAATTCCTCACCCTCACAAAGATTACACCATGGTGCAGTGGTTTGTTTTCTTATCTGTAGCTTCCATTAGGCTGTGAACAACTTAAGGACACTGCTTCATCTGGCTTGCTTATTAAAACCCTAGTGCTTGGCACCATAGTAAATGGTTAATAAATACATTCAATGAATGAGTGAACAACAATAATAGCAGTCATGTTTTATTGCATACCAGCTATGTGATAGACACCATGCTGGGCGCTCTCTCTCTCTCTTTCTCTCTCTGTGTGTGTGTGTGTGTGTATGTGTGTAATCCCTAATCCTAAATACAACTATGCAAGGTTAGTCTTGTTATCCTAATTATACAGTTAAGGAAGTCCAGGGTTACAAGCTAAGTAACCTGGCTGGGGTCACTGTTAAATGCATAGCTAGAATTTGTACCCAGGTCTACCTAATGCCTTATGCCAGTGTATTTACTGAGCTATATTTATATAAGTTGCCCTTTTCTCTTCCACCCCACCTCCCAGATAGCCACACTGTATTCCCATCATTGTCAAGCCATCTGATCTGGTCACAGAGGCAAGCAGTATTTCCAACATGGCAGGAAATCAGCCTGGATTCCGTCCTCTATTTCCAGGCCTGAATAGTTTGATCCAACTGTCATAGCTCGCTCTTTGAATTACTTTGATGAAAATAGCTCATTTATGCCTGGTCTTTCCATGATACCACCTGCTACTGTTGCAGGGGTTATAAACAGGCTCAGGTTGGGACTGGAGGATGTAAACACTCAGATTTTTTGGTACCCTTTTCAAGGGAGAGGATACACAGCTTCCATTAGGTTCCCAAAGGAGTCTTCTGGACACATGAGCAAAAGAAGGCTCCTGGGGTGTGTTTCAGTTATTTTTTCCTTCTTTTTTGGACGGTTGTGCTAGGGTTGCTGAGGCTACCCTCAGGAGCCTAATATGGCAGTCCAGGTTCACAGGATACTTTCTTGGCCTCTGGAAAACCCATTTTAGAGTTTTTCCAAATGTCAGATCCCTCATATATGAAATAGACTCTGGCAGAATCAATACCTAGGCTCTCCCTTAAGCCAACGTTCTGGGCTCTATGATTCCTGTGTGTTGTAGAATCATTTAGATCAGCAGATGAAGGCTATAGTTATTATTGTTGATTTTAAACACACCCATGATTTTGCCTGCAGAAGCAGAGGATGGGGATCTGGAAGCAGTGCCCCGAGGCATGGGAGCCCTCTTTCTGGATGGATTTATAGTGCTTGGCTTCAGTCTTACATTGTTTTGCCTTCTGGTATCCTGAATGTTCCCCTGGCGATCTCCTGGAAAGGGTTTCTCAATTTATTTATGTCCAGAGTTGATGTTTTATGAACTAATCATTCTTTATTGACCACTTAGGAATGGTCTTTAAACAGAATTATTATTATTTTTCCTTTTTTCTAATGGACTAACAGGCCACTGACCCTAAATGTATGGTTCACTTACATGTGTCATCAATTTGTGAGTTACTTGATATTTCAAATTGCCTTGAATATTGCCGTGTTTATAGGTGTACAGTATTTTTAATGTTGCCATTAACTTTATTGCTACTTTTACAATTACTATCTCCCACTAATGTTTCTCCCATTTTGTTATTAAACGAATATGGAAATGAGAAATGAAGAATAAACAAAATTATGACTTGTTTCTGATGCAAGAGTGGCAGCATTATTTTAAAATAGCTACATAGTAATGGTTTGCTTTTTAAATGTATCCCCCTTTCCTTAGAAACTTGCCTAAGGATCAACTCGTCCTCTGTGTTTCATTAACAGAAGGGGAGCACCCACCAGTGTATTCTCAGCATGTGGCCCTGAAAGATTCAGTTTCTCAGATGTGGTGGGTTTGGGGAATGCACTTGTATGTGGTGCTAATGACGACAACGATGGTGAGACCTGACATTTATCAGATGCCTATTGTGGACAGACACGGGCTATTCTCTTCATACACAATAATTTGGTCACTCTGCCTAACCACCCTACGGGGTTGTTGCTATTATTGTTCCCATTTTAAAGGTGAAGAAAGTGAGTTTTAGGTTAAGTGGCCAACGCAGGGCCTCACAGCATGTAACTGGTGGTGCACAGGTTGGACCTCAGTTGGTTCTATTCCAGCGCTTGCATTTGTAGCCTCTATTCTTTTCTTTTTGTTGCAGGTGTTTAAGGAGTTCCCGGGCTATGTGTGCCTGTGACTAGTCCCAATATTTTGTGATTAAATATTTTAAAAACTGAAATCCGGGTCTTTAGTTTGGGAATTTTCCCAGCTCATTAGCAAAGTAATGTGATACACAAGTAAAGACAAGTTTCTAATATCCCAGAGGCAGGATAGAAGATTTAGGAATGTAATGTGTAAAGGTAACCAATAGATGATCAGATCATAGCACAAAAACACTCAAGAGAAACTCAGAACAGTGTCTATTTTTCTTTATATCTGTTTCATAGTGCCATTAGCCTGTGGAAAACTGTGGACCTGAGTTCTAGGTTAGAAGAAAACAAGAACAGAAATCATCAATCCATGTAAATGGCTTACAAACCAACCTTTGCCCAAGAAACCAACTTATTATCTCATAAAAGTGTGAAGTTAAAGGTTGTCAGATTCTAACTCCAATGGTGATAGAAGCCACAGGAAAGAAATTATGATTGAAAAATAACATAAAATTTAAAAGTTGTAGAGAATCTTAGAAATTTCTAAAATCCAGCCTGCAAGGACCTAGACCTCCCTGAGAGATGACCACATATCACATTTTTGGATGTTTTTAATCATAAGAAAAATCCTAGCTAATAAAGTCATATATCTTAGGGCTCAAGAAAATATCTTGGCTCAAACTACAAACTTAGGGGACTTATTTTGGAATGCTGGTTTCTATCTAATTGATAAAAGCGTTGCTCAGATTAAAATAATTAACACTAGGATTAGGTGAAGATATCTCCTCAAGCAGAATGAAGCAGACAGTTCTCGGAGTGGCAAATCAAATGGAGGCCTGGGCCTGGGGCTTGCTGCTTTCCCTGTGGCAAGGGAGCAATTGCAGTTAAATGGGGAGTGATGTGGACAGGAGGAAGAATGGACAGTATCTCCTAAGAGTCTTGGGAATCAGCTGCTTCCTGAACTTGGCGGCTGAGCTGGTGCCCTATAATCCCCCCACCTTTTTTCAGAGGAGGCTGGTCATAGTTTTTCTGGTCACAGAGCCCTGTTGTTCCATAAGGAAGTTCTCTGCCTACCTTGTTAAACTCCTCGCTTGCAGATCAGGACAATGTCCTGATTAGAAAATCTGTTTTTCTCTTTCAGGGAATGAGTTTGTATGGAATCTTTAAAAAAAAATGTTATCCAAGGCAGAGAACATTTTTATTCCTTTTTTTTTTTTTTAAGAGATGAGGGTTTCACTCTGTCATCCAGGCCAGTCTTGAATTCCTAGCCTCAAGCAATCCTTCTGCCCTAGCTTCCTGAATAGCTGGGGTAACACATACGAGCTACCACACACAGCACAAAGTGCATTTTTTAACAAAAGAAAACCTTTCAGAGCCAGGATGTCCTTGGGACTTTGAAAGCCTCCTGAATTCCTCCTGACTGGTCTGAGCAGACCCCAACTAAGTGCAGCTGCAGAGCCTGCTGCCAGCTTACCCTGAGGGTCCTGGCAGGCTTCACTCCCATGATTTCCCTTTCTGGTAGCAGCAAAGAAACACATCAAGTGAGGGAAATCAGGCCGATGCATTCTTTACAACAAGGTTTTATTTATTCTTTTCTTTTATCCCCCCCAAAACATTAAAGTTTTTCATCTTTCTTTTATTTTTAATGGTTTTCCTTTTGGATCCAAACGAGCATCTATATTATAGGATATCCGCCTGGTCAACATGCAGTGCTGAACTGTGGCTTTAGGAGAGATGCACCGATACTCTGGGTGGGCCAGCATCAGCTGCCATTCAAACACCGTGACTGCAGGGGTGTCAGGCTGGCACACCACAGTGGATGCTGCCCTAAGGAGGTGTCTTGTGGGGCATGACTTGCACGTTTTAGAATGCAGGTAGCAGCATTTTAACAGCCTGAGGCAGAGCACCCAATTTCCCTCCTGATCTCATCTTACATGCTCATCCTCTAGGAGCAAAACAAAGAGGGAATGGCCTGACCATGGGCCCCGAAGGACAGAGGGTGTGGACCCTGTAGTCCACCTCCTTGCAATGTTGTTATTTGAGGCTAGAACCGGTGCACCCTGCAGAGTCTGAAATCTGTTCCTGATGAAGCTCATTCCCATCCCACTCACTGGCCCTTCTCCCATCCCATGGTATTCTCACCACTAGGAAGTTAACATAATCTCTCCTTTATTGGTGCTACTATGTTGAAGAGTTGCTGAAGTCATAAAGATTGTCTTCGAGCCGCTTTAAAGCAAGAACCTCTTTCTCTCCATCTCCCAGGTCTGGAAGAAAATTTTGGGAATCTATTAATCCTCTGAGGCCTTCAAAGCCACTACCCTAGGTGAGTTTAACAGAAAGAACTTCTCTTAATCCAGTCTTGTGCTAAGAAGTTTACCCATATTCTAAGTGAAAAAGAGGATCCAAGGTTACACATCTCTAAGTCTGTCCTCGTCTGGGACCTGTTACTTTCTACCTCACTTTGCTTTTGTTCTACAGCTTGTCTTCCTACCCTCTACTCCATTGTCCCAGCCATGAAATGCCAAACACATGTGGTGCATTAGGCTTTTCTCCTCCATTTGTTTTTCTGGATGAATTCAAATCTTGGACTCAGTTTGAGCGGAGTTGGACTGCCCTCTAATATCACGAAGAGGCAAGTTCCTCTGCAATTGCAGCACTTAGGGTAGCTTTGTATAAATTTTGACTTGTTCACAAAACAACATGATAGAAAAACACTGACTAAAGTTCAGCCTGCAGGCTAAGTATATATCCCAATTGGTAGCCATTAAAACTCAATACCTATGTTTTTACTAACTCCACTGGGATCTGCTTAATATTACACAACTCCATATCAAATGTAACTAAGACCACAACTACTGTCTACCTTAACTGGCAGTTATATTACATTGTTTAGCCCTCATTTCATATTACCTTTATTCTTAAAAATTGATTAATGGCACTTTAAAATTTTGGAGTGTGTTTTTCTTGCTCATCCCTTATAAAAATGTTCAACAGATTTGCTTTAAGTGGTGGTTCTTGTGCCATATAGGCCATTGCCATAAAAAAAAATTAGAGTACTGGAAGGAAAATATTGAGTCATCAAATAAAGTCAAATTCGGATTTGGTATATTTGATTATTTCATTTCCTTTTCAGTTTTGGGGCCATCCTCTGAGTGAAGTGAAGAGGAAGTGGCACAGCCTGGTATAAAGTCTAGGGTCTGGTTGTAGAATGTAGACAGCAATCCATTCTCATCTCTGACAAACTTGTAGGACAAAAAGAGAAAAGATTCGTTCAGATTTCCAATGCTGGGTTGGAGAATATGTCTGGGTGACAATCTATGACTGGTTTAAGTTTGCACAAAGAGAAGGAGACATAAGGAAGCTCAGATCATGAAAACCCAACTTTCTGGATAGAAAAAAAAAAGCCTAGGTTTTTTTTTTTTTTAATTAGAGAGACAACAAGAAGAATAAGGGAAAATGGGAAGAATAGAGTGAAATTAAAGCAAATCTTGGATTCAGATTCCATTAAACAGGAAGTTTCCTTAAAAAAAATCAAATGCTTATAGCAATGCTGAGAATTTCATAGGTACTTCATGGGATCTAACAAGTGAAGATTTTTCTAAATTGCTTTGTGGAGACTAAGTGCTTTAAATTATGTATTATTAACTTAACAGACACTTTACATCATGAGTTAGCCAAACATTCATGTTTCAATTGACAAGGGAAAGAAAGTGAAGAGATGCTTGCTGAAGGCACAAGTTTGAATACAGAAAGCTGGAATATAAAAAACTATTGACTTCCAATAGTTTTCATTTATCAGATTACTACACTATTGTAAAAATTATCTTCTTAAGACATAAATTTTGTATTGGTTAAAGATGTCCTGAAAAAATTCTGTACCTCCTTGGCTTTCACTGAAGTTTTGGGGCAGTTCTTCATTAATTTGGGTTATATTTTAAGTCCTTAGGAAAAGACAGAGGCCAATTTAGACAGAAAGAGAAAGACGACAAAAAGGAGACCAGAGAGAAAAGACAGCTGGTACTATAACCTCAGATTTTTGACTCAAATATCATATCACTAAATTTGATGGCAATCACTTCCTAAAGAGAAACAGATTCAGAAACATTGCAGATCACCAAGGTATCCTTCTTTGCTATTCCAGAATAGGTCTGTTACAAGAAACCCAGCCACCAACCAAACAACCCCAAACAAATAAAAATAAACATAAATCCCCACACCTCTTTTGACTTGGTCTACTCAACTCTTTCATACCTCCAAAAATAAAAATGCAAACCTCAATAATGTATTTACAGGTAGCATGGCTTATTATAAAATCTCCTTTTGCATTTAGAAGTTCAAGATACTAACTCCCCTAACTTACAGCATGCGGAGAGAGGGTGGGTGGAAGAAAGCAAAACTACAAAAACAGAAGGGCAGTTTGGGGGTGTCCCAGCCTCAAAAGCCATCAATTGGACTTTGCTGTGAACCCCATTCATACTTCTCAGCTATCTTGAGTTTTGTTTAGAGAGGCTTTTCAGGCCCTTTGGGTAGGCTGGGACAATCTATGAATTTTTTCTCTTTGGCTTGGTGTGACCTCTCTGGGATGCATAAACCTCAGAAGTTTAAAGCAGAAAGGATTCAAGGAAAGAAAAAGATGGCCTCCGGAAAGCAAAGATAGTTCTGTTTGTCCTTTGTCCCTTAAAGCGCTATGTCTATGTACTCTGACTGGGTGGGCTGTAGCACCTAACAGCTGACAAAACACCATAGGTCTGCAGCCGAGCCCTCCCTCCACAGACAGCAGAGAAGCCATCAGCTGCTGCTCTATTTGGGGTAGACCTGGCTATGATGTACAGGGTGGTTCAGGAAAGAAACAACAAAAGACAAAAAGACAAAGCTGGTGCTACAGGCAGTGCTTATTAATGTAGGATCTCTTTGATCACCTTCTTACAAAGGTTAGGTCACAAGCCCTGAGTTAATTTTGTTTGGATTTTGTTAAAATAAGAGTCTCAATGTGGAGATATTTTAAAGAGAAGTTATCCAAACCTGAACCTGATTCCTGATTTCTGGAGTCAAACCATCATTCCCTGTCTGGCCACTTGCAAGGGACCCACTTCTTCCTTCTTTCCTGCATCATAAAGTCCTCTCCTGTACCTCCTGGACGGTGCCCATTGCTCTGGGATCTATGAGAGAAGGACTTGTAGGCTGGGTGAGAGAGCTAGTGGGGAAGAATTCACCCCAAGGCATGGCAACGCCTCTCACCAGGATTCTTGGTATACGCTAACCCTAGGCCTCTGAGGATCTCAAAACATAACAGACATGAAACTGATGAACAAAAATAGCAGTAAAAATTCCTTAACCTTCAAATCTCAAAATCCTTGAAAGGTAGCTATTTGCTCCCCTTCTGCTGTACGTTTGCCCTTTCTTTACATACAACCTCATAATATTTATATCTTATAAATGAGCCGAGAAATATCCCTCAACCTGTCCCTGGCCCCAACCACTAAAGAAACACTTTGTCCAAAAAAATGAAACATCCAGAGGGCTGAGAAGTAGGATGTAATGAAAAATTGAGAACAACTTTTTAAAAATCAAAATTATATGAGATTTTTGTTGCATTATGCCAGGAGACCTCATTTTCCTGCAGTGAGCTTTTATCCAGTAGGTGGGCATTTTGTCCACCCCCACACCCTACACCTTGTGTCAGTTGTCTTGCGAGGAGCACCAGGTGAGTTCCAAACCCTATTTCATTAGAATGCAATATTCCCCCATAGCTGAGAGAGTGGTGGAGTCAGTCAGGCAAGCAAATAAGCTTGGATTGGGTGGAATTAACCATCTCAGGAGCTGGATCAGCGCTAACATGCAGCAAAACAGAGGCTGGGATGGGAGAACAGAGGGAAGACGACCCTCATGCTCACCACATAGGCTCTATGGGGTTGGGAGGAATCTGTGCAAAGAAGGGAGATACTGGCTGAGAGGTGGATTATGGGGCCTTCTCTTTGTGGCCCCAGAGTCAAGAGAGGTCAAAATCTAGAACATTTGGACTTCAGCTTCTGGGTAATGTTCTTGGTGATCTCAGTGCCCTATGGAGACATTGAATAGGAACTACAAGTGAAGCCCAGAAGAAAAACAGATTCTTCAGCCAGAAGAGCAGCAGAGACCCCCACTGACAATTGTGTTCATGACTCATGTGGAGCCAAGGGGATGCTAGCTGGTGCCAGCCCTTCACGGGGCAGGAAATTCTATGTTGACCCTGGCTCAGGGGCACCTTGGCTGGAGCCCTGCCCCTGTCCAGAGGTCGCTGGCACTCTGTCCTCTAGGAGATGGGGAGACAGACACAGAGAAAGAGACAGCATGCATTCCCTACCTGGAGTCTGTCTGGAGCCTTAAGTGAAATGAGGGGTAACTAAATGCAAACCTACTTAGAACATCTCCCTGCCTTGGTTTCCTTTCCTCCTCCTTTTACCTTCCTCTATCTTGGCTTTGCTCTTGTTTTGAGGAGATGGTGAAGACGAGTCATATATTAGCAAGAGAAACTGAATATATGACTCAAGAGTCTTCTGAGGTGGACCACCAGTGCCCAAATTTGATCTTGTGGTATATCTGAAACACTGGTTGTAGTCTTCTTTTGCATGGAATTTCTCAGATGCTGCTGTAATTAACCAGAGAAAAGAATAGGTGTTGGGGTCTACAGGGGCCTCTTTTCAAGGGAGGCAGACTCTGACACCCAGCAAGGGAAGGCTGGCATTCACTTTTGTTCAGAGGCAGCAGAACACCAAACAAGATGATGAGTTTGTGACTCAACGGAAAATTATTTTATTTTCTGGTCTTAATAGAAGAGTAAGTGCAGGCTGAGGGAAAAGAAACCCAATTTCTTGGTCAAGGGAAGGTGAATAAAAGAAATTCACTGGTAATAGAAAACCCAGGTGGTCAGTCAGGTGACCGCATCTGCAGTGCTTTCCAACACTTTATTCAGGACTCAAATACCTGTGTGTATGAGTTCAAGGAGTTCAGGAAGATTTCCTGGCACAGTAAATTTAGTGTTGTTTATACTATTTGCAGGCAAATTCCATTTCTGGAAATTGCTCTGCCAGCCTGCATTTCTCCTCTTGAAATGGCATAAGGTGTCACTAAAATTCCCTTTCTCAAAACACCATGCAATAGACTCACTGGCTCAGAATGGTCGTCCTGTTGTAGGCCTCCCCCTAGGGAAAGCTGCATTTCCGAGGTGGAAAAAGCAATTTTGTGCACACAAAGCAGCCCATAGCAGCACTTTGGCATGAAATGATGCTGAGCAGAGGAAACTTTAAAAGCAATACAAGGCCCAGTATCAGCGTCTTACGTAACAATCACACCTGTTAGGATCAGGGTGCTGTATATCACATTCCCAGCCACCCTCAAGCACACATGTGCTAAGTGGGAGAGGAAAATGAAGACAAAAGAGGGTCTGAGAGTGGGAGAGCTCTGTCTCTGCCTCACTGGCCTCCTCTGTTGGGACAACTTTGGTTTGGGGGCTGACCGTGGGTCATGAAGCTCCATTAGTATCAGAAGAGAAGGCGGGGCCATGACAAATGATTCTCCAGCCATGTGGTTGAATTTGGCTTTTCAGGGCTGATGCAGCTATTATATTTCAATTTAAAAAATAGAGGGAAAAGAGGCTCCTTCTAAGAAAAATAACAACTCTGGATTGCTCCTGCCCAAGAGGAGGAGTGTGTCTGGGCTGGAGGAGTGTTTATCCACTGAGTGCTCAGTGCAGGGCAGATCAGGATCCTGGGTGGCAGGTTCCATCTGTTCCTGGTGGGGGAAGGAGGGCCCCGTAGGGCACCCATTCACCTGCTGTGATGGCACTAAGGAGGAACTTAAGGGAAAGGTACATTTCCACCAGATAAAGCCAGTGATGTGTCCCCTCCAATGGAGCTGTATGCCATATACCAAAAGAGCACTGGCTTGGCAAGAAAGGGCTCTCTTGCTCAGTGCTTCTGCGTTTGGGCTATTAGGAATGACAGGGTGGGACTGTCAGCCCCAGCTCTTACTCTGGGGAGGGGTGAAGCCCCATCTTGGCCCAGGGGCATGTTCAAGGTGAACAGGGCCCCAGTCTTGTCATCCTGTATGATGAGGCCCCACTGGAGCCTGCTTTGCTAGAAGGAGCAGCCCAAGTCTAAGCTGAGGTATATTTACTAATCACCTTAAAGCATCCTGACAAACTGACCTGAACCCCACACCAGCTGCAGAATCTGCGGTCCCAACGGTCCCTCCTCAGGGGAGGTCCTCAGTAAATCCAGACTTTCACAGAAGCTTATTTCAATCTATCAGCCTTTCCCATCTTTACAGAAATCCCTACCCAGTGGTGGGTAGCCTACTTGGATATGTGTGTTCTGCCCTCTCAGAGGAGTGGCAGGGAAGGCTGGGCCTCGGCACTTGGCCTTACCGGGCTTGGCACAGCACTGGCCTTGCTGCCTCATGGACCAGAGTGTGGGCTGACCTTCAGCCAGGAGGTGCTGGTGTGGCCGTAGCACTGTTACGCATATTTAATTGCTTCCACACTGGTTGGAAAACAGACTGTTTTTAATCTCTTAGGTGGCCCCTGCTACTCTACCCACACCCTCAGGGTTCCCCCATGACTGGCATCTAAAGAGCCAATGCCTGGAATAGCATGGGCTCCGGCACTAGGACCAAACTCCACTTACATTGATGCCATAGCGGTTGTTAAATACTTTTATCTTCACCCTTACCAGAGCCTCAGGCACCTTTGTGGACCCTGGGGGACTTCCTGACCTGTCCTAACTCTCAGCACCTACTGTGTGGGTGACAGGCCTCAAGGATGGGGGGCTATACCCCCCAGCACCACCAGTTCTGTTTCTCTGTCTCCCTCATGGTAGGGGCTGCCGGGCTATGGCTTTTCTTGTCCAGACCAGCCCTTGCTGCTGTTGCCTCAGCACCCTGACCCCTTTCGCTTCGGCTTTCTCCTCCCTCCCTGGCATCCGATGTTCCTGACTTAGCCTGTGCTGCCCTGGGGGAAGCAAGCCACAGGGTTATGCATGAGATGCTGCTGCAGTTGCCCTGGTGGCAGTGGTGCTGGCTGAGGCGTAAGAGCTGGTGAGGGAGGAGAGTCCTCTCCTATGGTCTCCACTACTCCCCAGTTAAGAGCCAGAAAGTCTTCCAGGCTTCTCAGGGCACTGAGTGTAGACATAGGCCAGCTAGATCCCTCCACAGCTTTTAGAAAAGTGGGAAGGGGCAAGGGGAAGCAAAGCCATCCTCGTGTCCCTTCTCCCGCAGTAATAACCCTCCACGTTCCTGGTTTCTTTCCCCAGCAAAGAGGCAGAACTATGGCAGTGCCCATCTTGCAAAGGGGAATAAAGCAATTTGGTGGGTTTGACTGGTGTTCTGATTGTCCTTTACTTCCTCTTCTCTGATAATGCATGGTGTCCTTCCATCTTCCTTTTCCCTCTTCCTCCCCCCCGGGCCGCACTGGCTTCCCAATTCTGTCTTGGTTTTCTCCATGTGAGAGAAGAGCATGCATCGGAGGGGGGAGCAGCCTCTAGCATTTGTCATCTTCTTCCGTGTCACTTAGCAGGTTGTTGACAGCCCCACACATCATGCCTGGCCCAGGCCCCCCGCGCCTCCGCCGCCGATAGTGCCCGTTGGGCATCTGCCAGCTATGCCGCAGGGGTGGGGCTGAGCCGATGGTGTTGGAACGGCCCAGGCTAGTAGCCACGGCTGCTTCGAAAGTGAGCGTCTCCTCCTCACCACAGTCTGAGGCGTGGGAGTCTTCGTGCAGGGCCAAGTAGGGCTCGGAGATGTAGCGCTGTGGGGAGGCATGTTGGCTCTGCTGGGGGTGCGGAGAGTTGGAAGACTCGGTCAGGCAAGCATTGTTGCTCTCCAGAGCTTGGGAGGTCAGCGGGGAGCCCTCCTCGCTTCCATCAGCAGGTGGAGAGATGCTGCCCGCGTGTCGAATCAGGGAGCTGTAGGAAAGGAGGGGCCGGGGCTTTGGCGGGACGGGTGGGAGCTGCCGACGACTTCTTCTTGGGGTGCTGGTGTCAGAGACAGAGGGGATGGAGCTCTCACTTAGGGAACCTGTGCCCTGTATAGCAGGAGAGACATGGCATGTTAGATTGGGCTTGGCATGATCCCTACTTGCAACTCTGTTAAGAGAGTCCTTGGAATCTGAATTCTGTCAGGGAGAGGCCTGAGCTGGAGCTCCCTGTAGTATTCACATCCACTCAGGGAAAAAGGGATTGAAGAGATTAAGGAGTCAAGAACATTTAGACCAGGACATCTCAGACTTTGTGCATACAAACCTCTGGGGATCTGGTTAAACTGCAGATGCAGGCTCAGAAGATCTGGGGCAAGGACTGAGATTTTGCATTTCTAACAAGCTTCCAGGTGATGCTAGGGGTGGCAGGTCTGTGGAACAAGCACTTGGACTACTAAGGAAGCTCTACATATGTAACAAGGGGCACACTAAAAGAGAGACTTTAAACTTGAGAAAGACAACTCTGTGGAAGGTGAACAAATGCTGGAGTTGCTCTGGCTGGGAAACCCTTATTCCTGCCCATGTCTTCTGTGGTTTGCTGAACTCAGCTTCTGTACCTGATACACTCAGTTGTTGGCTCAGGCCATACTTGCCCTCACCTATTCCCAAGGGAAACTGAGCCCAGGTTTTGGGAAGTAAACCTCCAGGAGAGCATTTCTTAAGGTATGTGTGACCTACGAACCTCCTGCTGAGAATCCTACAGAGGGGTCTTTTCAAAGGCAGACTCCTGGGTCCTTCAGGCACCAGGAATGTGCAGTGCTAGTAAACCTCATGGGTTAATGCTGTTCTGCACTAAAATTTGAAAACTGTTGTTCTAGAAGGGAAACCTCTCGACTGCTGTGTCTCTAAAGGTTTGCATTAGCAGCCCTGCCTTTTCTCCGCTGATCGTTTCTGTTGAGGGGGTCTCCTATTATGGGTCAAAATGCCATGACTAGAGATAGGGCTGTAGTAAGGAGTAAAACAGAGTCTATGAATGTTTTCATACAGATCTGATAGTTATTCCTTAGGCACCAAGCTGGTGGTTCAGCAAAAGGCATGATCTTGCTGGGACGGCTGCAAGCTAGGTAAATGAGGGTGAACTGCTCTGACTTGTGAATCCTGGGCTGAGAGATGAATCACAATTCTCACAAATACTGAGGATCACAAGATGGCCAAAGGAAACTTTCTGGCTAAAGGACCATCCTCTCCTCCAAAATCTGGCTGTCAACCTATTTATATCTCTGGTTTCTGAAGGCTGGAATGGAATGACCTCTAGACACCATCTTTTTGGGGGAAATCTGGTTTTCTGTGAATTCAGATCATCTCTGAGTACACAAGCATTGAGCAGCTAACCTCTATGCACTATAGGTATAGCTTCCTGTGAAATTCCAGTCTTTGTGGGTACTTGAATGCGTTTGCGAAATGCTCACGACTTGCATCTAATGATACAGCCCACCCTCCCCTGTCCTTCTGCTGTAGACTGGCTTCCTCTCTGCGCTCACCTGTCTGTTGGGCGTCTGTGACCTGCCCTCACTGGGTGACCTGGATTGACGGCGCTCTGGGGACTCCCAGTCAGCCTGGGTCCCTCGCTCTTCTGAATTGCAGCGGGAGACATCAGGAGAGAGAAGATGCTTTCGCTCTTTTGATCGTCCCCGCTCCCTGCCCCCTGAGCGGTGAGTGTCAGACTTGTGGCCTGTGAGAGGTGACAAAAGCACTTGGTTATAACTCTGTCCACTCTGACCAATGATGATGAAGGGACTTCTCTCCAAGTATCACATCACAGCCTGGGGTTGGGCCCTCAGAGGAACCACATGTTTGTGTCCCCCCCCAAATTCAAATGTTGAGGCCTAATTTGTTCCTGATGGTATGGTATTAGGAGGCAGGGCATGAGGGTGGGGCCTCCATGATGAGATTAGTGCCCTGATAAGAAGAGGCCTGAGAGTGCTTGCTTCCTGTCTCTCTGCTCTCCATCATGTGAGAATAGAAAGAAGACAGGGATCTGCTGGTACCTTGGTCTTGGATTTCCCAGCCTACAGAACCATGACAAATACATGTTATTGAATCTACCCAGTCTGTGGTAATTTGTTGTAGCAGCCTGAAAAAAGATAGGCCCCTAAAAGAATCCTGGCTTCTCCAGGTATGTCAAAAGATGATCTGAAAGGGAAGCAGGGGAGAAAGGCAGGCTAGCAAATTACCTATTTTGTAAGCAGGTAAGTTTGCAAGGTGCCACTAGAGACACATATGTCAAACAATGCAATCTATTCTGTTTCTATTTATGCTACACACAATATAGGATCTTGGTTAACAATATGGCTCAGGAACTCTATCATAAATATGGCTGCATAACTTTTTGGGGGGAAGGTGGCACCAGCAGAAGGGAATTAAGAAATTTCTATGAACTAAATAATAACACACCTAACATAATGCTATGGTGAGAAGTCCAGGATTGAAATGAAAGGATCCCAGTGCTAGTCCCAGTTCTGCCACTTAATGGCCCTATGACATGGGACAAGTCACTGCTTTTTCAACTTTGATTCCTTTATCCAATAAAACAAAATAGTTGAGCCAGACTAATATATATATATATATATATTTAAAGCAAAAAGCTTAAAAGAAATTCAGGCCAGGTGCAGCGGCTCACGCCTGTAATCCCAGCACTTTGGGAGGCCTACGCGGGCGGATCATGAGGTCAGGAGATTGAGACCATCCTGGCTAACATGGTGAAACCCCGTCTCTACTAAAAATACAAAAAATTAGCCGGGCACGGTGGCGGGCGCCTGTAGTCCCAGCTATTCAGGAGGCTGAGGCAGGAGAATGGTGTGAACCCGGGAGGCAGAGCTTGCAGTGAGCCGAGATCACACCACTGCACTCTAGCCTGTGCTGCAGAGTGAAACTCTGTCTCAAAAAAAAAAAAAATTCAAACACAGGAAATAACTCCAGGTAGCACTGTTTAGGTTGAAGTGGAACTGGTGGTTAAAGTTCAGTCCTTACAGTGGGTCTCTAATACAATCCTAAAAAGCCCCAGTGGTTTTGTAGAAGGCTATTTGAAAAGCTCCCTCAATTCTAATGATTTGTATAGCCCTGCTCCAGAAGGAAGGGATTGCAACAGCTTTTCCGGTGAACACAGAGGAGGGCTTTGGCCTGTTTCAGGATGTAAGTCAGATACAGGAATTCCCTTTGGTAAGGAGCATCCTTCACTTTCTTCAGCCCTTGTCTCTGAATTCTTTTCTGGTTATCTACAGTCCTTGGAGAGTAAGTGCATCAGGGCAGGAGCCCACTGCCTGATGAAAGAGCTGGACACTGAAGACCTCCTCACCTGAATCAGAGTTCAGGCGGTGGGCTGACAGCCGCAAGGAGGAGTGGTAACTCCGGCGACGGGACTTGTAGGTATTTTCACTGCTTCGCTCCATGGAGAATTCCTCCAACCACGAGGAATTTGAACGCTTATCCCGAATAGTGGAAAATGAACGTCTCATGGAGCTAGGGTCTGTCACCACCTGGAAATACAAGCCCCCAGAGAAACACAAGGTATGGATTAACGATTGAAAAGATCTAAAAGGACAGAAGCAGCAAGACTGAGACGTTAAGGAAGGCAAATTGTAACCCCTGGAAATGGTAACTTCCCTTGAATCTCTCTTGCTCAAACCTTAGCTGGTGGAAACTGTTCAAGAAAGCATCCTTACATTATGTTAATATAGTCACTGGAAATGGTCCAGGATCTTTTCTTCTGTAGCTGAGTGTACCAAGGCAAAGCCATGCGGAATGCAGGCAGGAACTGTGCAAGCTCCCATAGAGCCCTCTACCATGGGGCGCAGCCAGGCTGCAGCAAATACTGTGCTGCTTTGAAACATGTGAGGGCAATTGTCTAAGAGGCCACCCCATTCATGAAAGAAGCATGGCTTTGCTTTTTTTTTTTTAAACGCCCTTGCCAGAGAAGGCCCTGCCCTGCAGCACTAGAGCCTAGGAGAGCTTGCAATTTAACAAGTGCTAAGAATGTATCACTCTCCCTCTGCTGCCATCAATCCCACCTAGCCCCGTTTTAAATTCTGGCATTTTGATTTGCCACAGATATTAAAACAAATCTACAAAAACTTCTTGTCTCTGTCAAAACCTGATGTAAGACCGACAGACAGGAAAAAGAAGCCAGGAAAACAGACAAAGAAATGAGATGTGGCCTGCACTGGTTAGGACAGACAGTCCTGACACAGACCTGTGTGTGTAAGTAACTGCATATGTGCTGGAGGAGTCAGGAAACAAAAAAAGGATGGAGAAGTACACAGAGAAAATCCTGGAAAATATTTCTTGCATGGCTGGTTGAATCTTGAGAATGTTTAACCCGTCCGGAGTGAAGTATGCAATTTTGTTCGCTGGGCTGTTGTGGTTAGGGGGGGTCATTGAAAACACCGGAGAAGCAGGCTCTATTAGAGACGACCCATGAGCCAGGTTTTATTTATAGGGAAGGGGTGCGGGCAAGTCAACGGCTCACCTGCAAATATCAGATATTATTCCATAACCCAGCTAATACAGCCCGGATGCCACTGCATTAATGTAGGTGGTTGCTTTTTACCTGGGGATCCACAGTCAGACGTGGCATAGAAGATGCCCTCCCAGATCCCGCATGCTCCTGGGTGTCCGAAGGAAGGTAGATGCCATGGTTAGAGGGCTGCACGCTTTTTAATTCACTAACCTCTGGCTCCTGGAAATAAACACACAGCCAAGCTTGTGGGACTTGGTTCCATCTCATTGCTTCTCACGTCCAGTGGACAATTCAGCCTCCTCAAGAATGGCTTTCAAAAGAGAGACTTGCAGCTTTAAGGTCTCAGTTGTATGTATATGTGTGTGTGTGTTTATGTGCACCTATGTGCTATATGTTCCGGACAGGAAGCTCTAGCTGGGATTGAGTGCTGAAGGTCACCTATTTTTCTGGTGTAGATTCCTCTTTTTCATCACTAAGCAATGATTCAGATTTTATTGTTTTCTGCAACAAACACTGTTTGGTATAATACTTTTCAGATATGTGAAGTTCGCTTTCT
The DNA here is from genome assembly GCF_000001405.40 of Homo sapiens. Taxonomy (NCBI): domain Eukaryota; kingdom Metazoa; phylum Chordata; class Mammalia; order Primates; family Hominidae; genus Homo; species Homo sapiens. The sequence continues at coordinate 181,793,327 of NC_000001.11, read as the reverse complement.
AAGAAGTGATAGCATTGGATTTATTCTTTTAATCTGAAGAAGCCTTTTATCAATTAAATAGAAACCAGTTTTCTAAGGGAAGTCAACAATTTCTGATGTCAAATACGTCTTCTCAAGCCTTAAGACACGTGACGTTAAGAGTTTTCTTCTGATTGAAACCATCCAAAGATGTGGTGGGTGGCTGTCAGGGATGCCCTGAGTGACACAGTCCCATGGAAGGATGATGCAAGCCACTTGCAGAATTTTAAATGTCCAAGTAACCATGTTGTTAACCATGTTGTAAAAGGTGAAATTTAATAACATTTAATTTAGCTGAATATATCCAAATAGTAGCATGTCAACATGTAATCAATATAAAAATTAGATAGTTTATATTTTATTTGGACTAGCCACATGTGGCTAAGAGCTATTGTTTTGGACTGTGCCAGCCTACAGTGTTATCAGGTTGGACTGGAAATCTCTAAGGTTCTGTCATTCTTGTTTGGCAGCTGTGCATGCGCTATACAGATAGCTAGTATCATTGCATAAAGAGCTGTATGAGAGATGTTTACGTGGGCTACCTAACAAAAAGACCTAAGAACATCTTGGGCAGATGGAGATCGTACCAGAAAAAGCTATTTTATATTTAGGAAATGACACCCTAAAAACAGGGCATTGCCCAAAGGAAAGAGTGTCTGGGACCCCCACCTTAGCCTATGTGACCATTTGGCTGAGCGGTTTCTGGTGTGTATGGCAGGGGTACTTTCCCAAGACATGTGCTATGGTGCACTTGAGGGAGTTATAGTGTTTGTTTGTAGTACATGCTTTGTATAGCACACAGTTCTGACTCCAGACAGACGTGGTAACAACACTGCAGTCTACAGGTATCAGAGGTGGTGTGAGACACACACTCCATATGCACACACACAATCATGGCCACGCCTGGGGACATGGAGCAGCAGCCCCGAGGGATGGGCAGAAGTACACAGTGTTGAGTGTGTAGCACAGGCTGACACCTAAATTGAATTACAGACACTGGTACTGACAATGAGATGAACACATATCCAAAAAGTCCTGGCACTACGGCTCAGCCCTGGGGAACCCGCAGAAATGATGTCATAAAGTCTCCCTGTGAAAGAAAGGACACATTATTGAGATTTTTTTCCCACTAGACACATCGCCAGGCAGGCAAAATGCTGCGAGGTCTTTTTAAGAATCAAACTATCTATAGTTTATTATTCCACAGGTCTTGGTGCTAAGTTCCTCAGAGGGGAGGGCAGAGAATGACTCTACTAGTTCCTACCTGCCTCATCAAGAACACCCTCAGGCAGTCAATTGCTCAGCCCTGGGGGCGTCTGGACTAACTGTCTCCCCCACACAACCATGCACGATTCTCTGTCTCAGCACTCGCAGGAGATAGAAGCACGCATTTGTTTGAGCTACTGAGTGTTTTTCGCCCTCTGTGGGGGTGCCCATTCCATCACACATCATTCAGGGTGGCTCTGAGGTACACAGTAGCAGCGGGGAGGGATCAGGAGAGAAATGAAGGGGAGAGAAGAGCCACAGATGAATCAGAATTTAAATGATATGGAACTCACTTAGTACAAGCTGTCTGTACAGACTTTTGCAATGGTTGGGTTTTGTCTTTTTTTCTCTTCAGTCCAGTGACTGCTTGGGCTTCAATTCTAAGCTAAGGTCGGGGTGGGGGACCTTGAGCTCATGGCTCCTGAACTAGGAATAATGGTAAAGTCAATGATGTTTAGGAACCATATTTTAGCTTTGTATTAGCTAAGCCAAAACTTGAATCTCTCCTCTCTTCTTCAGGCTTTCACTTGACTCAATAGGTCTCTCAGGAATTGCTTTTTTGTTTGTTTTTGAGACGGAGTCTTGCTCTGTCACCCAGGCTGGAGTGCAGCAGCGCCATCTCGGCTCATTGCAAGCTCCGCCTCCCAGGTTCATGCCATTCTCCTGCCTCAGCCTCCTGAGTAGCTGGAACCACAGGTGCCTGCCACCAAGCCTGGATAATTTTTTTTGTATTTTTAGTAGAGACGGGGTTTCACCGTGTTACCCAGGATGGTCTCGATCTCCTGACCTCATGATCTGCCCGCCTTGGCCTCCCAAAGTACTGGGATTACAGGCGTGAGCCACCGCACCCAGCCAGGAATTTCACCATTTATGCTAATAAACTCATTTTGGGGTCAGGGAAGTGACTTTAGTGGCCTGTTAGAATGTCTTTGAATTGTGACCAAAAGGGACAATGTGCCTGAACCCACACAGAGCAGAGGTAAGACAGTCTTCTGTGCCTCCTGGCAGGCAGCTCATCACTGTGGCACATGCTGCTGCTAGGTTCTAGAGGAGGTGGGCATCACTAAGGAATGGCATGGGGCATTTGTGTGTCCCACAAGCAGTACCTAACTACACTAAGAGGCAGGGTTGGTGTCACTCATTCTCTGGTGATGCATCTTCAAGCTCCCCATCAAAGGCAAGATTTTATAAGTGACTTCCGGTCTTACACTTGATATTCGGGCATAAACTAAGAGGGCTTGGCCTAAAGCAATTTAAGTTCCTGCTGCAGGGAAGGGACCTCTGGGACTGTAAAACCTGAAGAGGGAACATTGTCAGAGCACATGAGAAACTGGGCTAGAAAAGGGCTAAGGCAGGACACCTCCAGGGCAACTGGCTAAACTACTAGAATGGATTTTCCTGACGGACCATGACTATGTAATAAAATTAGTGAGAGGGATCAGGAAACCAAGGAAGTAGTTTTGAGGTCATATAACTCATGCATTCACCAGAGACTGCCGTTCTTGGAACTGTCCGTCATCGGCGGGGTCCATACAAGCCAACTGGAATATATCCTGGGGAGAGAGTGGACTCATCGAAGGGTATCCACTCCGGCCACTCCTGAAAAGCAATGTCAAATCCAGAGGTAATGAGGGACAGTCATGCCACTAGCAATTCCCACCCCAGCAGGGCAACACCCTTTAGCCTTGGCTGGCTTTTGTAAACCTAGTAACTTACATGTGGCTAGTCCTGAAATTAAAAAAAAAAAAAAAAAGCACTAGAAGAGACAGAAACTGATGTTTTCAACCTGCATCCTGCCTTTGAAACCATTCATTATTCTGCCGGGGGCTAGCATGTCTATGACAAATGACATCATTTGTCACATTCAGCCATATGGAAGAGCAACACTAGATTGTAAACCTATTTCTGCTCAGTTTCCCCATTTGGCGGAAAAACACCCTAGTTTACACAGTGAACAGTTTGTTTAAATATTAAGCAGCCATGGACTTTTTAAAAATTTTCCCTACTCGCAGTAAGAATATGGTCTTATTTCGCCAACATCCCTGGCCAAACTAAACAATTAAGTCCAATTCCATTGCCATTTATTGAAGGACTACTTTGTACCATACATTAAGTCTGTTGGTTCATGAACTGAGAAGGATTTCAGAGGTGGTGGTGAGGAGTTGAAAACCTCTTGGTTGATGGCAATGTAGGAAGAGGTTTAAATGGTGGTGAGAAAAGAGGATGGAGACAAAGTCTGCCCAGTTGTTTAGAGGCCTCCAAGGGAAAAGAATGCAGAACTGGCACAGTAGGCTTGTTATTAAACCACTGTCTAGTACTTCCAGATACTCTTAACCTGACGGGATCCACTGGGCTTGTTAGGAGAGAAAGAAGCAGCCAAGCTTTCTGGAGAATGAGGTGCCTGTTGCCAAATTATTGGCTGACTGCCACCAGTATGGTAATAGCTACCATCTGACCTGCTCAAGAATGCAGAGTGAGCTTCCAGATTATGGGAGGAAGGACTGGGGTCAGTGGCTGGGCAGCAGCTCTCTTGGTGGCGGAGTTAGGAGGGAGAGATGGGACACCATCTCTTTTAAGTCTACTGCTGATGACTCTGCATCCAATGGAAAACTCAAGGCATGAGCAAGGATTGCCAATTACTTAAAAACAATCCATAGGAATGTTTTTTTAGATTACAGGAGAAGATATGAAGAGCAGAGAATCACCTAATCTGTCCCCTTGCTTCCAATGAGAGCTTTTGCTGAGTTTTCACAGCTGCTACAGAGTTTTTACAGTATTTAAATGACCTGCCTAAATGTCAGTCATCTTCCCCACTTGTGGCATCTCCTGAGAACCACTGGGAACAAGATTGAGCACAGCTAGTATAAGAATGAGTGAGTTCTCGGCTTTGCACTGTGTTTCACACCTGTACTCTCGGCACTTTGGAAGGCCGAACCGGGAAGATAGCTTGAGCTCAGGAATCTGAGACCAACCTGGGCAACAAAGCAAGACCTGTCTCTACAAAAAAAATTAGCCAGCAGTGATAGCACGTGCCTGGGGTGGTCCCAGCTGCACAGGAGGCTGAGGCAGGAGGTTCACTTGAGCCTAGAAAGTCGAGGCTAAAGTGAGCCAGTTGTGCCACTGTACTCCAGCCTGGGCAACAGAATGAGATCATGTCTCAGAAAGAAAGAAATGGGTTCCTTTTTGTCCTACAGAGAGTAAATAATTATAGAATCCTCACTAGAGGGAGAGGACCCTTGGAATCACTTAATAATCTCACAGAGTTAAATAACTGGAACCCAGAGTGATCTCCTACTTTGAAAACCTTGTCAAGCCGGGGCATAAAGTCCAGAATTCTGAACACAGCCTCCCTCATGATCTGGTCCCTACGTCACTAGCCTCCTCTTGTACCACTTTCCCCTTTGCTCCCTGAACTCCAGACATGGCGGCCTTTTTTAGTTCATTGGATAGGCTAGGCTTGTTTCTGCCTCGAGATTTTAGTAGAGGCCACTCTAAGAGTGCAGAACACTTCTCTCCAACTCCCCTACCACTCTGTAAACTCTTTCTAGCACTTATCAGAACTGTAAGTAAATCACTGAAAATGCAACTTTTCTTCTTTCCAATAATCCTCTGTTTAATGTCTGGTTTTCCACCATATTTGAGGGAGCGACCCTATCTGTTATGTCTACCACTATACCCCTAGATCAACCTCTACTGAACAATGCATGGCTCTAGAAACACAGATGGTTCTGAGGAACCAGCCTGCTGTTCCACCAGTGTCCCAATGTCAGGAAATGTACCAACATGCACCCAAAGGCTTCACCCAGAATCCTTTGCTTCCTCCTTCCCCTTTAGTCCAAGTAGCAAATCAATCACCAAATCCTATCCAGTCTTATCTACCAAATTTCTCACATCTGACCATCTGTCTCCATCTCTATCCTGCTAGTCCAAGCTACTATCACTGATAATTTACACAACTGCAGTAACCTACGAAATGGTGTTCCTGCCTCTAGAAATGCTTCCCTCCAATCCATTTAGCCTACACTGAATTCAAGAAAGCACACATCTGATCACATGATTCTGATGCATAAAACCCCATTATCCAAAGACAAAATCCAATTTCTTTATCCTGCTTATAATGCCCCCAAAGTACTAGCCCCTGTGTATCTCTCCAAATCCATAACTTAACACATCCCCTGAGCTCTCCATGCTCCAACCATCATGACAGTTTTTAGGTTCCTTAAACTTACCATACTTTCTCTTACCACTCTTGAAGAGCTTGTCTTCAAGTCTCACTCAAATGTTACTTCCTCAGGAAGGACTCTCTAAACCCTCAAACTGAGTGAGCTGTTTCCATGACATCACAACAGCCCACCCTTCAGCATCGTTTGCCTGTATTGCTCTTGTAATTTCTTCTTCCAGATTTGTCTCCATGGGGACGTGTTCTTTGCCATAGCCCCAGTGCCTAAGTCAGCTCTGGGGACATATTGGCTCTTAATAAATATTGGTAAAAATCAATGAGTAAATGGATCAATAAATACATGGAGAAAAGACAGAGTGATCCTATGGTGGTGGGTTAATTTGTAAAGCAAATTGTAGATAAACAGAGATTGCAATTTAGGGGGTGGTATCCCCCATTTCTAAGCCAAGGACTGCCAAAACAAAAACAACTCAAGCCTGTAATCCCAGCACTTTGGGAGGCCAAGGCAGGCGGATCATGAGGGCAGGAGATCGAGACCATCCTGGCTAACACGGTGAAACCCCGTCTCTACTAAAAATTAGCTGGGCATAGTGGCGGGTGCCTGTAGTCCCAGCTACTCGGGAGGCTGAGGCAGGAGAATGGCATGAACCCGGGAGGCGGAGTTTGCAGTCAGCTGAGATCGTGCCACTGCACTCCAGCCTGGGCAACAGAGCGAGACTCCGTCTCAAAAAAACAAACAAACAAAAAACAGTGTAAACCCTTCCAGTGAAGAGGTCCCACTCTTCCAATCATACTTCTTTCCCTCCCTCCCTCCTACACAAGCAGAAGATAAACACTGACTTGTTTTCTGTGGACAGGAGAATTCACACACTGTACTTCATAACATCAAATTATTTAAAAAAAAAATGACCTTGGTCATGACTCTCATCCTTTTCTTCTCTTCCAAAGATGTTGGACTTTGATCTCTGAAAACAGTGCTTTTCAAAAACAGTCCAGCCCCACAGGCAGAAAGAAATCAATGATCTGAGCAATTCCAAATGACTCCGACAGAAGTCTCATTCCCAAGCCCTAAGTATCACTCTCTTAGTAATTAACATAAGCGATTTGGTGATTCCTGGTTTTGTAAGAACTGGGACTTTGTTAAACCCAATCACAAAAGCTCATTTACATTGAGTAGAAATACTTGTGTTCTTTAGGTATGCACTAAATGCTTGCTGATGATCGAAATATAATGTTATGAGATACATATGCTATAGTAGATTAATTGGGGCAAAGGCTTATCACTCAGAAGGATGGGAAAATTCCTTAATTTGTGTTTTATTTTTACTCCTATTATAGAAAAAGTAAGTTCCCTTTCTGAATAAGGTCCCTTTTGTTCATTAAAGAAAACATGGTATAGTGAAAACACTCTGGGGTCAGAAATAAGGAACTTAAATTCCAGTTCCACATTCTACTACCCAGGACTTTAGGCAACGTAGTTAACCTCAGTTAGTCTCCAGTTTCTTCATGTGTAAAGTGGTGATATTAATATATACCTCCAGGGTATAGTAGGCTGCTAGAGTGGGAATCAAGTGAGATTCTGCAAATAGTGTCTCTATAAGTGTCAACCTCAGGGAAAGCAGTAACTGCTGGTTTTATTCCCCTCTTACACTCAGCCAGCATGGCACCTGTGAGGGAGGCTCTATCTTCCAGCAGGACACTAGATCCACGGGGAAGCGATAATCAAGAATTAGTTGTAGTTCTGTTGTGAAGAAAAATAATCTCCTCTATAAGACCCAAGTATATTAAAAGAAGTCAAACTCCCTTCTTCTATTGTTCATTCAAAGTGATCACCGACGTTGACCACAGTGCTAAGTATGCTTAGTCTGCTTTTCTCTTACTCCTGCTGAAAATCACTTTAAGATATTCAACTTCAGAAAAAGGATCACTCAAGCTCAGAGTATTTGTTCTTGGGCCCTTCTGAGCAGTGAGTTTTGGGGTCTGCACAACAGCATGGGTGACAGATTGCAAACAGCCATGCCAGGGATGTTTTGGTGCTACTCACAGGCCTGAAACGGGGTCCTGCTGGAGGTAAGGCAGGGCTTTGGCATTAGCAATGATCTCCTGAGGCAGAGATGAAGGCTCCATGCGCTGGAACATGGGGGCATTTTTCTGGGTAAAAAGAGGGAAGAAGAAGGAAAGAATTCCAATGACTACGGAGTTTGCTGTGGGGAAAATAAAATTAACATGGATAATACAGGCACATAACTTATCCCTTGTTTGACCATTTTAACCTTCGATCCACTGGGTTTCTAATTCCACGTCACTAGAAAGTTCTTGGGCCCCGCACCCATTACTGCTGCTTCTAAGTCCTTGCCGGGCACTATGCCCCAGGGAGGCACAGGCCTATTCCCTCCTGCAACTCCTCATGGCCCACCCACTTAGCATGCTGGCATTGACTTTCACCTGTTCCTCCAGCTGCTGCCTCTGCTTCTTCACCTTACTCTGCTTATAGTAGTCCATGATCATCATTGCTGCATAGATTTTGCCCACAGTCAGGTCAGAGGCTAGAAACACAAATGTGGCATGATGGTGAACAGGGAGTAGATAATGGGAGAGAGTGAGGAACCTCTAAGCTTTGTTACCCACTCTCTGGAACAGGTCTGTGCTATCAGTCACCCATTCATCCAATGTATATTGAGGGCCCCCATGGTGCCAGGATCTGAGGATGCAGAGTGCATAGATCCCCTGATCTGTCCTCAGGGGGCTTGCATGCCCACCTAGTGATGGTGACGATACTGAGGATAAGCAGTACATGAGTAAGCATCACGCCTACCATTCTAAATCTCTATAGCTAAGTGACAACATCCTTTCTCCCATGAAGGTTTGCTGAGCAGTATTATATGGAGGGAGAGAGCTATACACCCAGGAAGTCTCATCCACAACCACAGTGACCTATCTTAAAGAACATGTTTTATCCTTAAGTCCCTTTTGTCCTTATTAATTGAAAAGGGCAAACTTTCCTTATCTCTTTGATCACTCTGGGTTCCCCCCAAAGACGTAGTCTTCACATGCTGGGCCCACAGTGACAAGGATACCCAGGAGAAGACCCAAACCTTTGGGCATGGGCACAAGCAGATCCAGCATCTTCTGGGATAGGTGAGGCCAGATGGCTAGGGTCTCCTTTTGTAGCTCTGAGTCTAGCTGCTGCCTGTCTGCACCACCTAGAATAAGATAAATTACTAATAAATAGAATAGACCCAGAAATAACCAGGACTGAGGGAGGAGGTGAAGGTAGGAGCTGAATCAGCAGGGCACCTCATATTTTAAGAGGAAATCTTGGCACTGAGTGACAGTGGATCTTGCAATACCAGGTCTTTCTGCTGAAGAAGCAGAACACATTTTGGCTCCCTTTTTCAGTGACTCAGGGATATCCTGCCAAGAGATCTGAGGCCCTCAGACTAAGAGCAACTTCCTCATTCGTTCTAAAAGCCTCCCAGGTGCTCAATACATCAGAGGAGAAAATAACAATAGCCGCAAGTACGTTCCTCTGCCTTCTTATCCATACATCAATCCCTCCAGCAACCCTAACTCCATAGTCTGAGTGACCTGATTTTAAAAAGGATTTAGATTGCACAAAAGCAGAAAGGCTAAAGGTCCACCTGGAAGTAGTAGTAAGCCTGTTCTCTCCTAAATCAATCATTAGAAATCAAGAGGAATAAAACACTACCATGGCCTCTATGACAGCACCTTCTGCCACAGAAGCCTCTCAAGACTTCAGAGAAAATAAACCATATACAGAAAAAAAGGACAAAATTAACCTCTGGTCAATAAATATTTCTAGAATACCTATTGTGAGCCAGACACTGAAGATCATATACTTTTAAAGCTGAAAGAAGCCCTAGAGATTATCAAACCATTCACTGTACCAGAAGGAAAGGGCAATTATTAGTTATTGAGTCAGATACTTGATGTTCAGATGACTGCATTATTGTGTCCTTAACTGGATAGATGACAGTTCAAATATCTCCATCCTGTGCCACCTGCATGAGTTGTTCCAGAATTCCTCCTTCCCACCTCCCTTCCTAAGCTAAGCTTACCTTTGGCAATTTTAATGTCCAGAGCTGTCCGGATCAGAGCCATAAGTGTGGAGGTGAAGTGGACCGTCATGTCCTCAGCTACTGGCATGTTCATCAGGACCAACCTCTGTGTGAAAGAGAAAAAAGAAACAGCAGGCAAAAAAAAAAAAAATTGAAAGACATCTCAGTGAGAAAGGAAGAAAAGGGTAGAGGTCAAATGCACAGACGAAAAAGAAGGGCAAGGATCCCCATCCCCTGCCCCAGTCCTTCTCTCCCTGCTTCTCACTTAAGGCTCATTTGCTGCTGTTTTGTTGTTGTTGTTGTTGTAGTTTGTTTGTTTTTTCTCCACCAAGGGAATGATGCCAAATTCCAAAGGGAAGGGGCTTCCCTAATCATTCAGTAAGGCCCCCCCTTGGAGTCCTAAGAATGTCTTTGTTAGGGATGGGAAGTGATTTCTAAAAGAAGTGGCTCAAGGAAAGGAGTCAGCTCGGGGAGGTGGCTCCATTTCCTGTTCAAGGCTGCTCCATATTTCCACTTGTCCCATGAATACCCCCTGAAACTCATATGGAAATACAGTGAGAAATGAGATTTTGCTTTGCTTATCTAACTTGAAAGATGTATCCTGGTGCCCCCTTTTTGAGTCTTTAATAGATGAAATTTGCCCGCACATGATTGAACATGCATAAGTCCAACTTGTCTAAAGGATGAGGTGGAGCAGGATGGACAAGGGGGAGAGTGCAAACAGGCTCTGGGGTAGGAGGATGGGGAGAGCGGAGGAGACAGAACGAGGAAGGGTGGCCCAGGCAGGAGCAGAGTGGGCAGGCCTTGTTCCCCTTACCCAAAGAAAGGGATCACACTGAAATGGCCAAATCCACTTTCCAGAGAGTATTTTGCTTTTGGAGCTCTTTAACTTTTCCTCCAATCCCCGCTCCCCTTCTCCCACCAAGCTTCATCCCAGAGGTACAAATTCAAGGCCACATTCTACCACCTGGTACTTTTGGATGTGGCCATCGTGAGCAAAAAGGATGCCAGCCCCTAAGCTGTGCACGAGGAGCCATGTACTGGGGGGAATGAGGGTCCCTAATGGCCATGTTCCAGTGAGATGCTATCTGGGGCCATACAATGTGAGGTAGCAGCAGGAGAACGTCCTCTGGCAGAACCACCAGCCTGGCAGAGAGGGAAGTACCTCTTCCCAAAGAAGGGTCTCTAATGTTCCATTGCAGCATCCTGCCTAAAGCTGATGCCACATGGTGTCTTAGAGTGGAAAGCCAGTTTCTTGTTTGGATTTGAGTTCCATCTCTCTCCCACTTCTTTAAACATCTAGAGAAGTGGAAACATTACTATGATGTGTTCCTAGGTGAATGAAAGAGCTCCAGAGTTCTGGGTCAGTCTAAATAGCAAAGGGGAACTAACAGTAACTATTACTAATGGGTGGCAAAACAACTCATGTCCAAAAGCTATGAGCACCCCAAGGGCAAGTGACTCCCAGTGTACAATAATCTCTAAACAGCAAGCCATAGGGGAATCCACCCATAACTCTGGGGCCAGGCCCCATAACTATGTTATGCCAGTAAGTCAAATTTAATGCTGAATACAACTTGTGCCCATTATTTCCCTTCCTTTTGAGTATTTCCAAGAGAATTGGGTAGCTGGGCTAGTGGAATAGAGCTGCATTCCTCAGTCTATCACAGGATGGAAGACAGGTTCCTCTTTTCTTCTTACACCTAGAAGGAACCTATGCCATTCTTCCTATGTCATGGGTGAAAACATTTGTTATGAGTTTTCCTCTCTCCTAAAAATTTCTTGTTTAAAGGAATTTTCCTTTCTCCTAACAATTCCACGTTTAAAGGAATTTCTGCATGATTTCCTTATCTGATTGAAGATATTTCTTTGCATATGAGCACTGATAGCTGTTTTGCTGTAGGCTTCCTTCTTGCCCATATATGCCATCCCACAGGCCACCACTCTGCCTCCTCTAAAAGGAAACACACCACTTAACACTGCTTGTCAGGTAACTCACTCACAAGAAGCCACACAGTTGTAGAAACACAAAATATCACATAAAAAACCATGTTGAACAGTATTAAAAACCATTCCTTGTATTGTCTCATGAGTTCGTCCTCCTGGGAACCTTCCTGACTCTTCAGTCTCATCGTGCCTTTCCTCCTTAGTTCCCTCCTCCACCTCCCCAGCCTGGCTTCCTCCCCATGTTCTGGCCTCCCCACAACTAGATCCCATTTCCTGTTGGTCTGTAGCCCAGAGCAAAGGAAGGGGTGGTCTACCTTATATGCCACTTTGGAGGGACATCTCTTGCCGAGGCCTAGCGGAGGTGACATGAGAGTCAGCATTTCATACATCTCAGTGTAATGGATGCGGCCACTGCTCATGGAGGGTGGTGAGTTGGGATGGGGTGGGTTAGCGGGGCAGTGGGGTGGCAGGGAAAGGAGAAGGAAGTGGGGAGAAGGATGCAGACAGATAGGAGAGGAGAATAGGCATTCCCAGAGAGCAAAAACGAACAAAATACAGAAAACAGGAGAAGAAAAACAAAACAAAATGGACAAACGGGAAAAGAATAGGAAACCTGTTAATCAAGGCAAATCGTAGACATGACTCCATCCTGGTGCGGTTTATATCACGCCCCACACAGACCCGGGAAAACTGGTGGCAACCTTCAGTCCCTATGACTCTCCATGGGAACAGTCACGGGGTCTCATTTTCTCCTCGATTAGCATTCCCCTGACTTCCCTGTTCACTTCATCCCTCCCCAATACAACACAGCTTATTTTCAATTCCCAGGGCTGTGTGTGAGTGGTATAAACCGGATAGACGGTGCTCCAGCCATGGGTTGGAGTTTCTGACCCCGGCTGGGGCGCTGGCCTGGAAGTCAGGCTGTTCTCCACTGAACCCACAGGCAGAACGTCGTGTATCCCCCCTCTGGTGTGTGTGTGCAGCAGGAGGCGGCGTCTTGCACTGAAGGTGGTGGGCTGTGCTTGCTGCTCAAAGAGTTGGCCCCGTTGCTTCCACCTGGCTCTGTGGACAAGACTGCTCTTTATTCCCCAGCATGTGCCAGGTCAATGGCATGCTGGGGACAGAAGAAACAAAAACAGGAGGAGGAAGAGCATCTTGCATGCCATGCTACCCTCCCCAGCTCTCCCACATGCGGCTGCGGGTTTCACCAGGGTGGAGTTTAAAGAGTCTCAGCAGAGGCAGCTGTCCAGCCTCCTGAGTATGGAATCACCGTGTCACCATCCCAGGCCAGCTCTATCCCATTGTCCAGGCTGGCATCCTTCCTGAGCCTAGGTCATCTTCCAGCTGCCTGGGCAGTGCTATGCCCCAGGGAGCCCATGCTTCCCTCCACTTGCACCAGGAGAGGGTTCCTTACCTAGCAGGCTTGGCCTCACATAGGGGCTTAGTAGAGCCATTGGGATATAGAGAATTCCCTGGGTATGGCAGATTTGAGCAGGGAGGTCCTACTCACCCCTGAACAATATCCTTGGTGTAACTGACAAGAAGTGACTTGGAAATTATGACAGCTCCCTCAGATCCCTCACAGCAACCCATGGCAGGACCCTAAGGTAGGGACTCTCTCAGTAGTGCTTCATTCACTGTGATCTTCCCAGACTCTCTGAGCTATTACTACCTTCTTCCACACAGCACCAAATCCATGCCTCTTTTACCTACTCTCACCTCTTGCCCTAATTCCTTGTTTCTCACCCCTTCTGTCCTATAGCTTTCATAGTCATTCTGACCAGACCATCCAGGAGCTGGGAGGGTGGGATCACTAGGATCATACTCCATACATTACATATGGGACGATGAGGCTCTTTTGCTAAAATGAGGCTTCTCCATCTCCAGTGAAAAGAAGCCAGAATTCTTTTGCTGGGTTAAAAATATTTCTGCATTCTATAGAGAAAGGAGAGGTCCCTCTGATTAACTATACAGACTAAGGTGGACCTGTGTGTGTGTGTGTGTGTGTGTGTGTGTGTACATGTGCATATACACACATACATGAGTGTGTGCATGTGAAGAGAGCGATCACACTGGTCTTCACATGAAGTTCTTAACTCTTCTGCCTTTTCCCCAAAGTATGCCCTTATCTTTATGTAACAGCTGCTGGTTCTGGAAGGGTTTGGACCTCTTTAAACTCAAAGGAAAGCAACATGAAGGTTCCCTCATGTGGCGCAGTGGTGGTGGAGCAGAGGACAGAGAGGAGGGGTTAGATGTTGCATCCCACGGCAGATCATGGCTGGGGACTGGGAGGCAAACCTTGCAAGCCACCCTGTAGGGGCAGTTCTCTCCCAGGCCCAGAGGAGGCGAGATCACCCGCACTAATTTGTACATATCCTTATACGGGATCCTGCCGCTGTAAAGGAAGCACAGGTGGGTTAATAGGACACTCAGAGAAGGGTAGAAAAGAAATGACAGCTTAGCCATGAAGAGGATGGCTGAAAGAGGTCAGAGCAGCTTCTTTCCTTGGGCCTGGCAAAGCCAGACCAGGAGAGACTGAAAACAGTAAGCACCAGAGAACCATTACCTTGCCAAACTGCACTGCTGCAATTTTCTAAGGAAATCAGAGCCTGGTCAATGCCAAAGGGAACTGCCTAATGACCAAGAGCACCCCATTATACCTATCTGGACCATACCTGGCCAGATGCAGACACAGCCCTGGCTCTAGCTAGGCTTCTAGGAACAAAGCCTGCCAATTCACAAATGACTCAGACCGCTGTCCAGAGCAGATGTCAGGCTGCCTTGAAGTGGACTGCAGAACTGTTTGCTTTTCACAGACACTGATTACAGTCAGTTACTCAGACCCACTTTTCAGGGGCAGTGGGAAGTCAGCGGCTTTCTGCAGTCTGGAAGAGACAAATTTCCCATTAGGCTAATTAGCAAGGAGCACAGTTGGCATGAGGGAAATCACAAAGGGCTTTGTTTCTCTTTGTGACAGATTTTTCTGCGTTCAGCTTGGGCAAGTCTTCTTTACTCAGTAGGAGCCTGCTGAGGTCTGTGTTCAGAGAGCAGCCAGGGAGGAAGCCATGGACACTCTCCCCGCAGCCCTCTTTCTGCCACTCAGCCAACAGCAGCTTGGCTGGAGCCAGCCAGAATTCTAGCTATCTTACCAACCCTTTTCCCAGGAGCCCATTAGAGAGTACCAGCTTCCTATGGAAGGGATAGAATTAATGATTGATTAATTTTCAGTGGCTACAGCATCTTCTCTGTCAGCGTCCAGAAAAAGAAGCAACACCCAGGGATCTGCAGGTCTGTATACACCCTGGAACAGACCAGGGTTTCCGCTGGAAATTATAAGCACAACATCTCCACCTCTGTGCATTCAGTCCTTGCTTGCAACTGTCTGGAGACTATTGCTTCAGCCCAGCTTTACTCTTTCTAGGCTTTTTGAAATTTGAGGGTTGATTCCTCCTATTCTTCCAGATAGCAGCTCATCAGTACCTCCAAGTCTCTCAACTCTTGAGAGGAGGTAATTTAGCCAGTTGTCCTTTCATTTTGCCTTAGTGAGATTGGGAAGTAGGTGGGTTGGGAGTGGCTATAGACTGACATTTTTTGCAACTGGTTTCAGCCCCCCTTTTGAAGACACTGGCTCACATTACTTTTGTTAGTCTTCCTCACCCACCTTATAAAGAAAGCCAACCAAACTCTAACTAACTAGAATGAATTACACTGTGAATTACAAAGCACACAGAAGAAATTCTTCTTTGTCTTTATGCTCTTTCCCAGTCCACACGTCTGAGTCTCATGATTCATCCTCATGGAATCATTTCTTCCCAGCAACTGGAATAAGTAGGGAGGAGCATGTTTTATACACACAGCATTTGGATCCCAAGATAAGTGAAACCACAAGAAGCTGGGGTTTCTGGAAGCCAAGGATACCTGAGTGAGCCCAGATGAACAATGGACTTTTTTGCTCACAGTTGGTTTCTCCTCTTGGGTGAGTGAAGAGGTCCCTTCTTAGGCTCCCAATCCCATAGATATCCATGGTAACAGAGGCTGATTTTCTAGACATTCCAATTAGCATTCCCGTGTGGTTATTGTTGATTATAATAACAGTTACACATGATTTAATATCATCCTCACAAACACCTTGCAAGTTATGTAGGTATCACGATCACCATTTTACAGGTAAAGAAGCCCAGAGTGGTTACGTGACTTGTCCAAGGCCATGGAGCTGAAGACACGCAGGCCTGGCTGCCTTCTCCTCTAACACACTGCCCATTGCTTTCTAAGATCTATTTATTAGAAAGTAAGACCAGAAAGAAAAAGCTGTTGCTCAGCCATTGTAATAGGAATGGATTTAGATAACTCTGTACCCTAAGTCATTAATAATTAATGAAGGAAAGAATTCTGATTCACCCTTCTAGTCTGTAAAACAGTGACCCAAGTTCAACAGCCTCACCAGAGGATAGATTTTTGGGAAAAGTCTCTGATTATGAAGGGGGTTCCAGGTGGAAGCAACTTGGTCCATGCCTGTAAAGGATAACATTTCTTGTAGTATTTTTCAGAGGGGGACCAGAATGGATAGAGGATTGGTGAGTTAAGACCCAAAAGCTAAAATGACCTGGAACAGAACAGTTCCTTTGGAGTAAGCATTCATAGAACTCTCACCTTGTCCTCAGCCATGAGGGCCAAAATGCTGCCTTTATACTCCAAAGCAGGGATTAGCAAATGTTTCTGGCAGTAAATTTTTTGACAGTAAAATATATAGGTTGTTGCAAAAATGGCCCACAATTACTTTTGCTCCAACCTAATATTTCTGTAGTAAATACTTTCAAATTTGAGGACCATACCATCTCTGTCACAATCACTCACCTCTTCCTTGTAGTATGTAAGCAGCCAGAGACAATACGTAAACGAATGGTTGAGCTGTCTTTCAATAAAACTTTATTTGCAAAAACAGACAATGGGCTGAATTTTGCCCATGGGATGTAGTTTGCCAATCCCTGCTCTAGAGCCTAGAAGGCACGCTATCACTTCAGAACTACTAAACAGCAAAAGAGACAGTAAAGAAGTTATCTTCACCAATTCCTACCATTTAATTTAGTTCCATGTAATAAAAATCCACAAATATTTAAGGGAACAGTTGGAAGAACAACTTGTTTGGTTTTTAAAAAATAATTTCAGAGTTATATCCAACTGTATCTGTTGAGAGGAACGAGAAAGAGAAAACACAGTCACTGATCATGGTGGCCAGATGTCCAGCTGGCCAAAAACCCTTGTCAAACCCCCTGATAACTCAAAGGAGTCCACTAACCATTGGCAGAAAAAGATTATTGGAAAGTTCTCTTGGGACTGAGCCCAAATAATCTGAGGTGAGGACTGGATGATGAGACCAGCCCACAAAGGGAAAACCCTGTCACAGAAGGAAAGAGAGGGGAAAGGAGGATACAGAAGTCCTTGGTGACTGGCTTGATACCAGAGCCTCTTCTATGGGCCACAATCAAGAGGAATCTCCTTTCCTTCTGTAACAGGCAGGCATTTGGGTGGCTCCAATTCCAGCCTCTTCCCTGGGAACTCCAGAGACCTTTGCTCTGGGCCCCGCTGGGGCGGCCGAGGGGCCTACGCACCATGCTGCTCGGTCATATTCTGCCCAGACGCGGACAAACTCGTCCAAGTGGTGAGGCCCCAGGATGGAGGAGTCCCGAGTCAGGTACTCAAAGTTGTCCATGATGACGGCCACAAACAGGTTGAGCATCTGAAGGGCAAGGGGAAGAAGAGGGGTTAGGGGAAACCTAAAGCAGAGCTCAGGAAGCAGAAGAACAGGCTTCAGGGCATGGAGGAGGGTGTTTTAGCAAACGAGCCAGAACAGAGGTATGCAGGGACAGGGAATAGTCAGGGATCTGCAAGGAGGGCGGAGCAGCTGGATCCAAGTGCCGGATCACAGAAGCATCTCATACACTGAGCTAAAGAGTGTAGACCAGGATCGGTGAACTGGTCAGATAGCAAATATTTTAGGCTCTGCAGGCTGTGTGGTCTCTGCTGTAACTATTCAGTTTTGCTGTTGTAGCACCAGACAGACCATTTGTATACAAATGAACACGATGGTTCTGGTTAAGCTTTGTTTATGGACGCTGAAATTTGAATTCCATGTAATTCCACGTCATGAAACATCATTCATCTTTTGTTTTCTTTCCTCAACCATTTAAGAACATAGAAGCCATTATTTCATGGGCTATACAAAAACAGGTGGTAAACCTGATTTGTCCCAAGGGCTATAGTTTGCCAACCACTGATCTAGATTGTTCTGTAAGCAACAGGAACTACTAAAGGGGTTTAGAGAGGAGAGAGATAAAGTGACATTTGCATTCAGAAAGAACTCTTGGTAGCAGCATGTAGGGTGGGTGGGAAACCAAGGGAGGATGTTGCAGTACTCCTGAATCTACCAGGGGCAGGACGACAGCACAGACCAGAGTAGAGAGTTAACAAAGGTGGAATCGACAGGACTTGATGTTCAACAGCACTGTTTCCTTGTTTCCTGGCTGCCCTGCTCACCCATTCACTGTATTTCTGGCCCAGGTTCTTGGCTGTTCCAAGTTAGTGAGATTCAGTGGGATGCCCTCCTGTGACCCAGGCCTCAACTAGTCATTAAACCCCATTTCCCTGGGCACAGTGGTTGGTGATCCCATCAAAACCAATAAAATGGTATTGAATCTTCTGGGCAAAATAGTTCTTCCTGTTGCTCTTAAATGTGTGAAAATGTGCGGTCTAGAGCTGCCACTACAGCCATCTTGAGATGTTGATATTTGCACTCACAAGGATGGAGCAAGGTGGAGGCAGAGATCTGTAAATAGAGAGAAACCTGGACCTGGTGATATCATCTGAGCCCCATATCAAGCCTGCTCTGCCCCAGGACTCCTCATTTACAGGAGCCTATAAAATCCCACTTTACTGAAGCAGATTTAGCTGGGCTTTCTGTCTCTTGTAAGTGAAAGGGTCCTGCCTGATAGATAACAACTGGTGGGAAAACTGGAGTCTCTATTGTGGACCCCCAGGCCAAGTGGCCAGGTGCACAGAGGTGCCAGATATGCAGACAGGGTGTACAGGATAAGGAGACAGTGTGGAGGAAGGACATGGTTGGAGTCTTTCTACAACACAGAGACTGCTGGTCATACCTAACAGCCAGACTCTTCTCTTCCTTCTTTTCTCCTGCTGCCTAGAGTAGAGATGGATGGCTGGAGGTCTAGGTGTCTTCTCTTCCATGAGGATGAGGGACACACCACAGAGGTGATGGAGCAGAAAGCAGGAGTAGGTCTGGGGCCCCAACACCCCTTTGGAGCCACCATAAACAGACTGCCTGCCTTCCTCCAGACTTCACTGATGTGGAAGGGAAATCAGCATCCCTCCTGGTTAAGCCACTGTTATCTGGAGATTTCTGTCTCATGCAGGCGAACCTAATCCCAACATGGGCCTGTCTTTCTGCCTCTGAGGTTGGAGCCACAGTGAACTTGTTCAACTACTACCTATCAGGCAGGACCCTTTCACTTACAAGAGACAGAAAGGGTTTTCCATGTATCCAGACATTTCTTTTGTATACTTTTCGGGGTACCTATTATTAATGTCAATGAAAACTGTTAGCACTGTTACTGCCTTTCATTTGAACAGTCATTAAGAGTGTAGCGTGTGCAGTCACACCTATTACTTGTTGTTACGCTTGCTCCAACTCTTTGTGAGGCAGGTTTAATTACCATCACCCTTCAAGGACAGAATTGCTTTGGATTCACATTTTTTGTTCTTAGCTTCCAGCACAAGGCCTCGGGCACATCGTAGAGGCATCAGTAAATCTCTGTAGAGTGGCTGGTTTGAGTTGAGAAGCTGTGTGACTTGTCCAAGGTCACAGTCAGTCTCATATAGATCTGAAAGCAGATCATCTCGTGCTGAATATAGCCTCATTAAAAATAACAGTAATGTGAATTATGCAGCACCCTCTGTCTCAAAATTCCAAAAGTACCTTTAAGGTCCCTAATTAATTTCCAGTTATATCTTTGGTTTCTTTTAAATATTTATTATGAAACACTTAAACCATATAAGATAAAAGTAAGATGTCCACATGCGCTTCTATCTGCTCCATTTCACCCTAGCAGTGAGCACCGATTCCTGGAAGCTGTGAGCTGGTTTCACCCCTTGACTACTGGTGACTGAGGGATGGGCCTTGCTGAGAGTGAACCTCACAATGGCCACTCAATAAAAATGTGCTGAAGATGTGAATAAATGGAAAACTCCCATCAATAGCATTATTCTAAATTTCAGGGGGTTTTTTCTTTATACATTATACTTCCATATTTGTAAATAAGATACTGTTGTATATTCTTTTCTTTTTACTGAAAAACCTTTCACATACATAAGAAGGAAGTGTATTAAAACACATGGATCAGTTCATTGTGTATAAAATGTTCCTATTATTAAGTCATTTTTTTCTCCCATTTTATAGATGCTATAAAAGGGAAAGTGTCTTGGCCCAGGCTAGCAGAGGAACAAAGCCAAGACTACTGCGTGGGCTGCCCACATCTCCCATTAGCTCCCTCCCTGCCACACTGACCTACAGGCAACACTTAATGGTCTTTCTGTAGCCCACCCCCCTCACTGGAGAGCTGGACATGTGGGAAGTTTCAGTCCCCTTGGGATCACTTGCAAGGTAGCAATGCCTGGACATAAGACAATTAATTCACTTTTTGATGCATGGCCATGAAATTGACCACTTTTCAGTGGCATCACTGTCTTAGTTTTAGGTTTTTGTACAGCCAGTGGCATTAGCAGTGTAGTTGAGCTGAGGAATTTCAGAGTGACCAGAAACACTAAACTGGCCCTTTTATTATTCTATTTATCACTGCTTGTCTGATATGCAGGGTAGAAGTTTCTGGAAGTGGGTGTGCTGAGTCATGCTTTCTCCAAAAGAGACTTCAGAGGCACGTAGGGCTTCCCACCACTTTATAGGTGGGTATGCTCCACATATACTACTCAATATTTACTAACACCCAAAGCAATCAAGCAATCTCATTCTTTCTCATCTATCAGCTGGTCAATTATCATCAAATGTAATAACATTACAAGTCAAGAGAGAACCACATTTATTCCATTATCATCATTCTACTCTTATCAATGCCATAACCTTGCATTTTCAAGGTACCTTTTCTCAAGCAGTTCAAAAATCTCCCAAAGCGAAGATATCCATAGACGTACTTATAAGATAAAATACCTGAGGTATGACAAAGGATTACTCTGAGTGTCCATAGATTCGATATGAAGCTCAATGCACTTAAATATGCTCACCTTCCCTTTTCACAACAATCTTTCCCTAGAACCAACAAAGACTTTTCTCAATCATTGAAAGTCACCCATCCAGGAGTCTGACAGGCACTCTAATCTCCAAGAGTTCTCCAGAGGATGATCTAGTTCTTAACCTGGGTGTGGACGTGAGTGTGAGTGTGTGCATGGTGGGGGTGTGGAGAGAGGAGGGGAGGGAGGCACAAACATACACTGAAGCAAACATCTCCGGTCTATGTATCAGAGGGTTAGGGGTAGGATGGGATGGGCCACATAGCAAGGCAAAAGCACAATGTTGCTCACCAAGAAGGAGCAGAAGAAGATGAAGGAGACAAAGTACACGTAGGCCAGATCGGTGCCGCAGCGTTCGTTCTCGTTCTGCCCTGATGGTGCGGTGGTGTCAGGCTCACAGCCCTTCTCCCCAAGGCATGACAGCATAATCTCCTGCCAGGCCTCACCTGTGGCACTCCTGAGCCCAAGAGACATTTTGGTTAGCAGGAGCAGCTCTGCAGATCCTATCATATTCTTGGTCCTCTTTCCCAATTTCCCCATCCTCGCTCTTGTCTGGGCCCAACAGGCTCTCTTTTTACCCAGTTGACCCCTTCTAGTGCTTTCCATGCAGAGATAAAGAGTCCCACTGAGGTCTGTTTTGGGTTCTGCTACCCCATCCACTGCGTCTCCATCTTTTATGGGGTCTCTGCTACTAGTCATGGGATTCTCTAAGACCCAGCATAAACCTGGCTATCTAAGGTTTCAGCCCTTAAGTGGAATTTGGTCTGCAAACACTGTCCTGACATTCCCCCCTCCCAAACCCTTGCAGGCCATGTTGAAGTTAAAATTTGCAAATTAACTGCTGAGCCAAAGACATTGATGAAATTTTCTCCCACCCAAGTATTTAGCAGACCCAACCCTGCTTAGCTTCCAAGATCAGACAAGATCAGGCACATTCATGGTGGTATGGCTGTAGACAAGACAAAACTGTCTAATGTTATAGGGGCAGTTTGGCAAAGACATTGCCTGTTCCCCTTTCTACTGACAGGAGCAAAGGAAGTGGAATAAAGATACAAAGGGAAATGGGAGGAAGAGGCAGACAAACTCTCTCTCCCTCCATCAGGAGAACCCCAGCTATGACAGTTACGCATCCAGGTACCTGAAGAGTAGCATTAGGGACCCAAAGAAACTCCGGAAGTTGTTGTGCCGGTTGATGTGACTCTCCTCGTCTAATTTTATGTTTCCAAATACCTTGAGGAGAGAAACAACAGAAAACAGTGAGCATTACCAAGCTGTGTGATGTGTCCAGCACATGAGGGTTGGCAAAGCCACTTGCATGGCTCTTCCCGATGACCTACCCCTGAAGCAGACAACTCAGACCCAGAGAGCTGCTGGATACTGTGCTTTTGGGCTGATATGCAAGAATAATTATCCTCCACTGCTCTAGTGCAGCAAAGGGGACCCATGCAGCAAGGTCCAAGCATAACGTAGAACGCAAGCTCTTTTGAAGTCATTCTGCCTGTACATAGTTCCTCCTACACCTAATCTGGTCTTTTAGTTCCATGGTACCTGTCACCATGGTACTCAAGCGTCTGTCAAAGACATTATCTCACAGCAGGAGTGCACAGAAGGAGCTACCCCTCTCTTCCTGTCTCAGGTAGTCATGATGGGAGCATTCAGATTTGCAAGAAGACATCATTTATGGCTTGGGCAGATGCCACCCTGCAATTTACAAGCAGATCAGGTTAGAGAGTGGCATCTCTATCTTCCTTAGATATGTTTCTATCCATTGAGTCACATCTTAGAAGGTCTGTATGTCATTAATGTAGAATCTATGAGATTGAACACACATATATCCACATGCATATATTTATATATGTCCACATGTATCATCCAACAGACCCAAATCCCATCCAAAAGGAAACATTTATGCAGGAGCTAAAATGAAGTCCAGGCCAATAGGATGGAGAAAGTCGGGCCAACTGGGCACTTTGAAAAGGAAAACAGAAAATGGCTTTGGGCAGATTCTGGGTGACAGAATGAGATTTGCTGATCTGCTGCTGGCTACTGAGCTTAGAATGTAATCACTGTGAACATTCAAAAGAGGGAACACTCAGAGATCTTTATCCACAGAGACTGAGTAATGATGAACTCCCAGACACAGCACTGCCTGGAGCCAAGGTCAACCCCTCCACTCTTCAGATGAAAAGGAGGCTTTCACATGCACCCTCCTTCCCCAACCACATTTTGGGTATCAGGACCTATTCTCACAAGTCAATGTTGAGACAATCGCGGACTTACTGGGTTACTTTTCCAGTCATTTGAGACAATTTTCAGCCTGCATTGAACATGCTTCAGTTTATCCAATGTATGCTAAATGGAACACATTTTCCCCCTCACAGTTTTTAGAATGTGCAATTGAGGAACAATCTCTGCCCCCAGCTATTTTGCTCAAGTAACTCCCACTGACACCTGCTCTGGGAATTTGTTCTCAATGCTGTTTTTCAAAACCCAAATACTACTTGTCTCTCAGGGAGAATGGAGGTGGCAAGTGAGGCAGCAGCAGAGAAGAATGGAAAGAGAAGAAGCAGCTAGAGGGCCCCAAAGAGACAAATAGTAGCATTTAAAAAATCCCACCCAAGCAGTCAAATCTAATTAACTCTGGATACCCCAGGAGGGCACTGACATTTATCCTTGCCCTGTTCACATTTCCTGCCCTCTTCTTCCCTCTTGGTTTGGAATTCATGATTTATCCCTGATTCACCACAGACATACAACTTACAGTGTCTTTTTTCCCTATGACACTTCTGGAGGTATCATGAGTTGAATTCATTATGATTTTCTCAAACACCTCATCCAATCACAAACTAACTGCAGAGCACACTGCGATTTTGCACAAAGTATGTGTGTAATAGTCCAAGAAACCAAAACTATTTATTTTGAATCTAAGATAATTTAAGTCAAGTCAAGCCGGGCATGGTGGCTCACACCTGTAATCCCAGCACTTTGTGGGGCTGAGGTGAGAGGACTGCTTGAGCCCAGGAGTTCAAGACAAGCCTGGGCAACACAGTGAGACCTCATCTTTACAAAAAAAAAAAACCAAAAAGCAGAACAAAACAAACATAATTTAAGTCAAAAACACATATTTATTGTGAAGATGTTCTTAAATTTTTTGTACTTTTTTTTTTTTTTCAACTTTTCACTTAGTCCTTGTCACTAACTTAAACCTCCATCAACAGGGTATGGAAGAGAAAGAAGGGATGCTGAGGCCTCATAGAAAAATCTCATGAGAGTATAGATTTAAATCCATTTCAGTTGGGATTACAGAACTTTAGAACTAGAAGAGACTTGTGAAGGTCTCTAACCAACACCTCCACTGTACTGGTGAGGGAGTTAAGGTGAAGAGAGATACAGTGACTTCACCAAGTTCACACAGTTGTTCAGTGAAGGAGCTGAGGCTGACAATCCCACTTCCTGACACCACGTAGCCACAGGGCTCTTTCTCATCCCCAGCAAGTTACTCCTCCTTTCGAACTTCCGATTCTTCTGCAAAGGTCCCTTTTTCCAAGGCGCCTTTGAAAGTTTGGAATAATAATGGTTTTTCTCATAGACATACCTTGTTGCTATTAATATTTTTCCAAAAGCTTGTCTCTGCCCTTGCGTTTATTATTTGTACAGATCCCTCAGTTTTGTTGTGACTATATTAGAAACAGTCTCTCTAGCAACAAGCTCAGGTGTCTGCTTTGTGCTTGGTGCTGTGTCTCTGTCATAGACCAGGATGGGGATGGCCAGCTCAAAGCAAGTCATAGCAGAAATGTCATTCATGTCTCTGTGGAATGGACATGGTGCTATTATCCTTTGGAAAGAAATCTGAGGGGAATAAGATGTTAGACCATACAGTTATTGTGAAGACTACAATTTCATAATTGAACAACTTCTACCTCCAACTAGAGGGTAAAAATAAATACTTGTGTCTGCTTGTCTGGTGGGATGAGACACAGTATAGAGTTATGAACATGGGCTAGGGAGCAGACAGAGCTGATCTTACAACTCACCTCTTTCACTTACTGTCTGAGAACTTGAGCATGTTATAAGTTACTTAACTATGCTAAGCATCAATGGAGACAATGAAACTCACCTATAAACGTTTTCACATTACTCAGAAACATTAGTCATATGTCTTGCCTGGACATGCTCACTCTCTCTTCCTTTCACTCCCTCCCTTTCTCCCCCCTCACTCTCTCTCTATGCATACATTTAGTACAGCGTCTTGTACACCAAGGAATTTAAATAATGATAAACAGCATTATCACCATTATCAGAATCAACAATATTCATACCAGATCAGTACTGGAGATGGTGTTATTCTAGTTTATTTTATTTGAAGATGAAAAGGGGTAAGAACTATTTTGAGCATAGGCAAAAGGAACTTCATGATAACCAGATGAGAAGAATTATAATGTTTCCAACATAAATAAGATATAAATGTTTGAGGTGATGGATAAACCAATTACCCTGATTTGATCATTACACATTGTATACGAGCATCAAATTATCACATGTACCCCAAAAATATCTACAATTATACATCAATAAAAAATCAATTTTGAAAAAATAATTTAAATCAAGCTTTCATTTGGCTCTTCAAGAATATTTTAATTCCAGAATCAAATATATTGGAGTTAGACAGGACTTCATGAACGTTACAAAGCCAATATGAAACTTCAGCAGGAATTCTATTTCCAACACTGCCAACATGATCATTAAATTCCTACTGAAATATCCTCAGTGAAGGAGAACCCACTACTTCTCAACCAAGTCTCACACATTTTGACACTTGACATTCTATTGTATTTTTAGAGAACAAAATTCTCCAGTAATAGAGTTAAAGAATGAAACCAAGAAGTACAGGCAAGAGAGAAGAGTGAAAGGAAGAGACATTTCAGAAAGGGTCTGGAAAAGGCTGCAGACACAGCAAGGCTGGGACACTCCAGCAGCAGCTCCAGGTGGCAACACAGTTGGGAAGGCAGCCAGCAGGCCCAAGGCAGCCAGACTGCCTGACTGCAGGAGGCTGTCACATAGCCGAAGTTCTATGCTGGGATCTAGTCACAATATCTCCAAGTCAGAAAGTTAGCCCTCTGGAGACAAGCAGAAAGCCTGTGTCTCCAACCAGATAGGTTCATGGGATGTGCTGCTGGTTATTTACAGTAGGAATTCACCCACCAAGAACCACCATCATCTTTGAAAGATCCTTTGGCTTCTTCTGCTTAGTAGGCCTCTGGCTACCTGCATAAATACCTGGGATGGGAAAACAAGGGAACTGTCCAGGAAGTTGCATGGCCTAATTAGCTGGAATGTGGCCCTTGAGTCTCCCTAGGAATGAACGGGCTGCCAGGAACTCCATGAGTTGTTCACAGTGATGTATCTTAGGGCATAAATCTCAGCCAGTCAAGACTGTGTAAGTATAAGACTCTATAAGACAGCCATGACTATATGTGGTGATTTGGTGTCACCATATACAGGAAGAACTAACATCTGACCTTCTTTTAGGCCAAGTCAAAATACCAGAGATCCTGAGAAATAGATCCTTAGTCTCCTGGGGGATCTTTCTGGCTAAGAACAATGGTGTCATCTTTGCTTTAGTTCTATGGCTGTCACCACAGAAGCCCAGCTGCTTATGAATTAGCACCATGATCTGACAACCTGAGATGAAGCCCCTGTACCAGACTACCCTGAATACTTAGGCAAGCTAAAATGGGGAGCCACTGCACATGTGAAATTCCCAAGGTCACACTGTGACAAGACCTCAGGGGAGCACCCTTAGGCAAGAAGGGGTTCAAAGCATCTTCAGGTCTTGCATGCTTAGGTTGCTAAGCCAGAGATTATCTGGGTAACAGCTGTCCCCCACCGGGCCCTTGATTTACCAGCTCACCTGCATCCCAATGATGGCATAAATGAAGAAAAGCATGGCAATTAAAAGGCAGACATAAGGGAGGGCCTGGAAGGAAAGCAGAGATAAGACGTTAATCAAAGAAAAGCAGCACCCAAGCTCAACAACCTGCAGTCACCGGCAGTACAGGATCTTGCCTGGAGGCTAATGCAAACACAGACTGGGACTCCCTATTCCCTGGGGTTGTTCTGTTTTGAGGTGTAGTACTTTCTCAGGCATCCTTGTCCTCTGACAGATAGGTAAACAGTTGGCCAAAGGGAGGCTTAAAATTTACCTCTATCAGGGAGATTCACTCACCCATAAATGTAGCCCATATCTAGAAGGAAAGCTGGGAAAACTTCCTGGGCTTGGGGTTCATCCCACTTGCCATGCAGAAAATTAATAACCTAGCAATTGTGATGCAAATTAAATATGAAGCACCTAGCTTTGGCTTCCAAATCCCTGTATTACCCCCTCCCACTCCCATACCCAAAGTGGCACCCATAATGAAGAATCTGGAATCAAAGTGAAATGATTGGGGTCTCACTTGTTTGTAAGTTCCTAGAAAGGTCATTCATTTTCTGATGAAATGTCATTTCCCAGTATTTAAGCCTCCTGGCGTTTTATTATGTTTCATGCAAAAGCCTGGTAAGTTAGCCACCAAAAAACTCTGCCATGAAGCCATGTGGCACAAAATTCCATACTGCGCATGCTTATTGCCACTTTGGGATAACATTTCAGTTTTAGAGGTGAGGGTCAAGGCAAGGAGATATGAGGCAGGGAACTGGCCTTGGTACTGGAGGAGGATGCAGACATAGGACAGTTTGGATTTGGGGCCAGAGTGGGACACTGTAATTTTGCGTTGATCTCAGCGCTGCCAGAGAAGTCCCTCTTCTTTACCATCCACTAAGCTCCCTGGCAGACAGTGCTACGAGGAGTCTCCACCCTGTCTTGATTGTGCACATCATGAATCCCAGGAGATCAATTGAGGCTTTCAGACTGCATGAGCAGGGCAGAGCTTTTCAACAGCACTAACAAAATGAAGAGCCCTATGAGACTATTTACAACTTGAAGAGAGGCTAAAATTAAAATGCAACTGAAAGTGGGTGGGAGAATTCCCTCTCCAATGAAGTGTTGATTCCTAGGCTCTGTGATGGGGGTTGACTACACTTTGATGGGCAATGTGGACCTCCTCTACAGAAAGCCAGAAGGAAGGACAGGGTTTCTTGTGCCTGCAGTGCTGCTACCTTTCATCTTTACCTTCTGCCCTTATTCTACTGTCTCCACTCTAGTCCCTAGTTTATCTCTCCCTACTCCCAATGTAGGGAGAAAAGCAAAGATTCATTCTGTTTTCCTTTCTTGTCATGTTTATACATTCTAACACAAAATAAGGGAAAAGAGGGAAGAACTCTAGAGTAGGGGTCAGAGGTAGAAAACTGGATGCTGTTTAGGGAGGGTGGGGGAGGTATAGGCAATGGCGATGCTCTTTATATCGTGTGGCTCTCTGCTTTCTATTTGCAGAGGTAGTCTTTGTTAATCTGACTTTTAAAAATCAAACTTCTATACTGTGTCACAGAACTGTTCTGAAAAGGGAACATCTATCTATAACACAGTGTCACCTGGAGGCAAATTCACCTGTCTTCCCTGTTCTCTGTAGTATTTGCTGGAATAAGCCAACCATTTGGCCATCAATTTTTGACAATATTTTCTTTGCCCTCAATAGTGTATGGTTTCTCAGAGACTTGGTGATTGTGATAATATGACAGGATGACACATATTTCTTAAAAGACTAACCACTGAAGTTTGTTGGGCAATCCTCTAAAAAAAAAAGGTTTTAAAAGCATGTTGTGTTTCCAATTCTAAATCCAAAATCACCTGAGACTCAGAAAATTCTCACTAAGGTTTTAGATTTATCCTCCATATCTAACTTTAGAAAAATAGTTTTCATTGAAGTGAGGCCTCGTGGGAGTCATTACGCCAAACACTTTCTCTGGATATGATAAAAAGTGTCAAGGTCGCTCCTAGGAGCCAGAACATCCTTAAAATTGATCTCACATCTCAAAATCCCAGGTCCTCGATGAAGAAGTAAATCAGTAATGATGGATGTGGGGAGAAATCCTTTTCCAAGTGATGAGAAACCATGAATTCACTGGCTTGCCTTCTTTAGCTTAATTTTTAATTAAACTATAAATAATTAAAATAAGAAAGTCAATTTGGTGAATTCATAATTTCTCATCTTTGAATCACTTAATTCCATCAAATTTATTTTTAAACACATTCACTGAAAAACTCATTTTGGTAAGAACAGGCATTTGAACAACATTTAGGCCCCCCAAAGCTTAAAAACAACTAATTTATGATATTTGCTAGAGTCCAAAGATATTTCAGTATGTTTAAGAAACTTTTACTCAAAGTCTGGGTCTCAGCTGTCAATTTTTTACTTATATTTATCATATGTACACCTCTGTACAGCTCCACGAGACTGTGCAGAGGAAACACATCATATTAACCTGCCCAGATGTCCCTATTTATTTGTAGGACACAGAGGTGGCCATTAGTATACCCTGTGTTCAGTGGCTCAGGAAATAAACACTGATGAAGACAAAGGTGGGGCTAAGTATGAATCATCTCTCTATGAAACACAACTCAATGAGTCCTTTGAAAAACTTTCATGTGAAATAAAAACAAACACCCAAAGTCCCTGAAAATGCAGAGGACATCTGACTACAGATGGCTGGCTCTTTACATGGATGGGGTTACTCAGGACTGTCTGGAATCTCTATGGATGAAGCACATCTTATAAAATGTGTCCCCTGCCTCAGCAGACAGAGAGGATGCCTGAGTCACAAAGTCAAGGTGTTTTTCTAAAATAAGATTCTATCCAGTAGACATAAGCTGATCCCAGTCAAGCCAAGCTGTGCTGTAACTAAGAATTGCAGTATTTACTGAATGCTTCTAACAAACACCCGTTCTACTAGCTTCAGCTTCCCAGAGGTGAAGGGACTTGGGTAATGATGCCAGTGTTGCCTGGCTGTACTGTCTGATATGACAACCCTCAGAGAGGATTTGCTGGTACCTCTTACCTTAAAGGACTGCACAAAGGTCCACAGCAAAATGCGTATGGTATAGCCCTGACGCAGGAGCTTTATGAGGCGGGCAGCTCGGAAGAGCTTCAGAAAGCTCATATTGAAGCCACTGGTGTTCACCAGCTGGTGGACCAAAAGGAAACATATAATTAGGAACATTATGGTGATTTAGAAAAATCTAAGCACTAGTATTTGTGTATTTATCCCTCATTCCGATAAATGGGACACAGTCTCTGTCTTTGTTAACCCCAATTCCAGCTGATGGGCTGGCCAGTGAGGCCCATCTCCTAAGCCTTCCCATGCCTGCTCTCTATCCCCAGGTAGAAGGGTAAAGGATGTACTGGAGAAGGGTACCCTGCACACAAAACCAGCCTCCCTAGTCTTCTACTGAGTGGCCTGAAGTCTGCACTTAAATGCCAAAAAGAGCAGATCTAGGAACCCCTCTAGCACACGCTGGCCCTCTAATATTCAAAGAGAGTTACCCTGAGCTCTCCAAGTCATCTTTAGAAGGAACAAGTTTATGGAAAAAATACAGGTCTGTGAACTTTGAGGGCAAAGATACTGTGCCTCCTTTGAGACTCTAGTGCAACGCTATGCATACTAGCTCTCTTCTGACACCGTCTATCCCACCTACCCCATTAGAGGTCTGCTGCCTGAGTCAGGCAAATCAACAAAGCCTTCCTGGAGATCCAGTGCCACTCCCAAGTTTGCATTCCCTGGCTGATGCCAAGCAGCAAGGGAGTAAATTCCCAACACTTAGAGGGGTACGCATTTGCTTTGGTGGGTTAAAAATGGACTGAATATACAGAGGAGTTTTAAAAATGCTACTCCAGGGCCAAGCTTACAGACATGGATCTTATAAGCCATTCACCTTGCTGTCTGTCAGGATAATTTCTGTGATACTGCCAATCACGGTGATGAAGTCAAAGATATTCCAGGTGTCTCGGAAATAGTTCTGCCAAATGAATTCAGTCATAGGAACATCAGAAAAGGAAAGAAAAAAAAAAGGAGAAAAGACATCTTTCATTATATAACTTTGTTTGTCCCTTGGAAATAAAACTTGTCAATTAATGCATAAGTTCACTCTTACTTTGGCTTCAGTTTCCCATTTCTAACCAGAGATGCCATTTCTCCTTTACTAATCTGGAAATTTCTCATTTGGAAAGCAGTTCTATCACTATTTGAAGACTTTATCTTTGAAAACTGTCACCAAAAGCTCATATGTAAAAAAAGTTTTTTTCAATTTTTATTTTTAACAAATATTTATGTATTTAAAAACCTCTATGGAGGCATGATTGACAAATAAAAAGCTATCCATATTTAATGGCTATATCTTGATGGGTTTGGGGAAACGTTTGTACCTGTGAAACCATTGCCATGGTCATACAGCTATAACTTTTAAATTATCTCTATTGCGTCAAGTGCCCTATAAAATACAGTCTGACTTTCAACTATCAACAAAAGTCACACAAGTCATAAGTGACTGAAGGTTACAGATGTGCCAAAAATCTCCTCCTAACTCCATTGAGCCTTTTCAAACCAACTACTGATTGGTAATAGGATAAATAGACTTCATCTTTCCACTCTTTCTCTGCTGTTACATCTTTTGAGGAGATGTAACTAAGTACAAGGAAGCAGTAATACAATGAGTGGGCTGAAGGAGATATAAAGAGCCTGGAAAATCCACCAACCAGATAACACTCCATTTAACAGGAGAGGGTGGACTATGCATCCATCTCCTAGGCTCAGATGAACACAGACCTTAGACTATGTTCCTTTAAAAACAAACAAAAAGGACACTTGAATCTCAAAAACAATTCACTTGCCTGCCCCTGGGACATTTAAAGGGCAGTCTGTAACACAGAAAACAGAGATTTAAATCAACAGAATAAAGAAATTCAGAGGAGACAGAGAAAGTACCAGGAGGAGAAAATTTCAAACACCTGTAATTGATATCCTCAGCAACATCACAGGACAATGGATTATTTTATTCTATCCTTGGAATAAAACACAAGAGACTCTCAGAGCACTGCAGAAGTATACTCCAACCCAGCCTCACAACTAGCATCATTGAATTCCTACATGAGCCAGACACTAGGCCAGGCCTTTGGCATTCTTTCAACTCATTTATTCTTCTCATGGATCCTAGAGGCAGGGATTGAAAAATATCCCATGTTCATAAAGTCCTGAATGGAAGAGTTGGCAAGAGGAGTTGGGGGAAAATACCCAATAAAGAAAGAAAAGGAATGTGGAGAGAGAGAAGTTACATTTAATGAACACCCACTCAGAAGGTTATGAACATCACTTAATTGGATACATACAACAAAGTAGCTAAGGCCATAAGGTAGCTACTATTATCCTCATTTTATGTATGAGAAAATGAGGCTGAAAGAGGCCTTATTACAAAGCCACATGTACCTATGGGGCATATGGACAGATTGAATCACACAGTTTCATAAATTCACTTTCCATTAGAATATTTAGTCTATCAGTGGTGGAGCTAAATTAAGTCTCCGAATTCCTCAATTCTCAGGGCTCTCCTATTGTCCAACCTGGGGTGAACTTCCTAATTCTTGGTTTTAATTCTTTCTAAACCTTGGTGCATGGATCTAGGTCTCAGAGGACCAGAAGCTCTGGATTCCAGTTAACAATGCTTTACAATACAGAATAGCATGCTGTGGTATAGACTAGAACACTGGTATATGGTATAGAATAGTACAGTGCAGTGTAGACTAGATTATTGTGAGCTTTGAAGTCAGATAGAACAGGGTCTGAATCCTGGCCCTACCTCTTACTAATCTTGGCCAAAGTATTCAACCTTTCTGAGCTCCAGCTCATCCATAAAAAGGAGAAAATAAGAATGCTTATTTAATATATTGTTATGGAGAGAAAAGCAATATGTAAAGCATTTGGTACTTAATAGCCAACCAATTGTTGTTACATCTTTCCCTCTTTTTCTTTTTCCCTTCCCTTTTTATTCCCATTTAGCCTTGCAATTCTATTGCCTTTCATTGTGTAATCTTTAAGAAGCTATACAATTTTTCTGAACTTCAATTTCCTCATTTAAAATAACAACAACAATAATGGCAATTATGATAGTGACATCTGCCATGCCTATTTCAGAGTCACTGAGAAGATCTAACGAAATAGTATATATTACAATATTCTGAAAGCTTAGAGTGCCTTAACAATGTAAAGACTTATCAGAATTAGTGGTACCTTTTACAGAGTGAAAATCCCTCTAGACCTTGAATGAAAACATGGGGGTAGGGTGGGAAGGAGGCAGGCTTCAAGGGCCGAATCTAGTTAAGGCTGTGAGTATATATTCAGCACTCACCATAATTAGACACATAATGGGACTTAAGTCACAGACAATGTCAATACCACATACAAGTAATCAACATGCATAGAAAAAATTTCCCTGTTGTGGTGCTTGCGTCTCCCTCTCTCTCAGCTCCCCCTGCTCAGGGCTAGACTGTATTATAAAGGCATCTTTGTTGGTAGTAGTTTCTTTTACTTTTTTATTTCCCCAAGTCTCAAAACACTCAAAAGGGAGCCAGGCAAACACAATGCAGCCAACTGCAATTGGTTCCCTTAAACTCTCCACCCAAAATGATCAAATTAATGGTTTTTCAAAGAACCGCTGGGAGACCAAAAGCAGCCCCCGTAATCAACACTCACAATTATCGAACCCAGCCCAGAGTCTCTGTTAAAGCTGCTACCAGACAAACACTTATTCAGATAATGAGCAAAGTTCTCCTCCTTGCAGGGAAAGCCATACACACATGTAATTTGAAATGGTAGCTCACGTCCTAAGTAAGTGTGAAACAGCTGTCACATGGGCTTGCATCCCACTGAACTTGCTGCACACAATGAAGCAGGTTGGGGGGAGGGTGGCCAAGGGGATTATCTTGTTTATAGGGCACTGAAGCCAAGGGCTGGATTTTCTTAACACTCTTGAGGACAGATGCAAGAATTTGCCCAACAATTATAATTATTAATAGTAGTTGAGGAGAAGAAAAAAGAGGGCTCATGGCAGAAAAATTCATCATCCCCAAACCTCCTCAAACTTAATTCCAGAATCCTTCCCCTTGCACTCCATACACACACACACACACACACACACACACACAGACACACCCCTTAAAGGTCATTAGCCTTTATAGGCATAAGTAATAAACACCTATTTTCTTTGGCAGAAATTACTCTTCATGTTACTAATGGCAGAAGGACTAATAGGTAAAAATCTATTATTTGCTATGTTTGAGGCTAAGAGAGATAGTTATTTTCCCATTTGTGTTATAAAACTGTTATACCTTTTACCAGTAAATAAGCACTCGAAGTTTATTAGTCCAATCTTTGGCTTCCTCCTTCATCTACACATAAATTGCAGTTCTAGTGAAACTCAATGATGGCCGCCTCTGGACTGCTGACAGAATTTCACAGGACCAGGCTGATGGCTGTGGCTTCCTTTGCCCTTTCTCCCAGCTTCCTCACACATCATCTTGTCTCTACGGCAGTTTACTGAGCAGTCAAAACGAGCCCACATCTAGGTGGGTGATTTCTGGAATAGCAGTAACCACCTCCCCTTCAACAAAGACTGGGAAGGCACCCAACAGAAAGAGACAAGCCCAGTGCTGGGAAGGATTCAGCAACATACCAAAAAGCCAAAAGCGATGACCTTCAGGACACATTCCAGGGAAAACACCATGGTGAAGGCGATATTCAGGTACTTCAGGGCCAGCTCATAGGTACAGGGAGCAGAATAATACTGCCAGGAAGAAAAAAGAAGAGAGAAAGAATCACAGCCTTAAGGTAAGAGGGGGAATACATGTCACTGAGGTTGGCCATCTCTCATTCCTGCCCTGTGGGACACTCTGGTGTGTGGTACAGGAGGAGAGATGGACTTCGAGTGCTGGAGAGGAGAACCACATATTCTACCCAACAAAACAAAGGAAAACACAGACCCACGCCCCACCAGACTTAATAGCAAAACAGCCAGTCTTCCTAGAGATGAGGGTGGGCAGGGAAGAAACATTTTCTAGAGTTAGTTACTGGAGTTAGTCATTTAATATTAAATAGGATGAGCCTCTCTGAATACTCCAAGGCTCCTTTAGACCCCGTGATGATGGATCTCTGTCTCCTGATTTTTCCACCCTTGTCTGAAGCTGCCTCCCATTGCCATCTCAGGTCTTGGGAGCCCCTGGATGGCTACTATAGTCTGCACTGCATTTTGCTCAGTGGACCCCCAAAGCCCCAGAGGTTGGGTTATTGAACAAAATAAGATCACAAAAGGATTCAATGATGGAAAAGTAGGTAAAGCAGTGATGGGCTGGGATGTTGGGGTGTCTTCCCACTTGCCCTGGGAGGGAACCATCGCTGGGGCTCAGTCGGCTCTTGTGCCTCTCTCCTCTCACCTTCATCATCAGCACAACAGTATTCAAGGCGATCATGGCCATAATGGTGTACTCAAAGGACGGAGACACCACAAAGTGCCACACGCGGTACTGGAAGGTGTGTCTGTTCTGCGGCATGTAGCGGGTGAGAGGTTTGGCGCTGATGGCGAAGTCGATGCACGCCCTCTGCAAGAAAGTCATGGTTATTAGCACAAATTCAAATCCCCTAGATCTACCATGGCAGGCTCTGTTCCATGCTCAGAAGAGGAGGACGGTGAATGGGAAAAAGGGCAGGGCTGGGCAAGTAAAGATGGCAACTGGGGTCACTTGGACAAAACTACAGACAAGGCGTCACCTTAAAGGAGTACACAAAACTGGAGGTGTTGCCACATGGAGTAGGGACTTCATGGTTATTAAAAAAGTCCTTTACACAGCATGTGGCTGAGCTGTTTAGGCAGGAATCCTTCCTTGATGTCCTTAGTCAGAAGTAAAGATCTACCTACCTATGTATTTCTACAGCACTTTATGTCGCATTTCTCTTACAGTCCCTAACAGTTTCTAGTTCAGTTCCATCGAAAAAATAAAATAAAATAAAGAAATTTCAAAAACAGCTTTTGAAACCTTACAATGTGCCAGAACTATGCTTGTTGCTGGAAAAGCTGCGATAAGACACATTCCCTGCCCTTACAGCAAGTACATGGCATGGAAGGTCACAGTCAGATAAGCAGATATCTGAAGTTATCATTGTTTTCTAGACTATGTGCACACAAAGGTAAAGACTGCATGTTAAACATCTTACATATCTTCCAGATCTCCGTGCCTCATACGTGGGCCTTAAACAGTGCTTGGAAAATGCTTATTTAATGGCTGAATAGTTACTTTTCCCATCTTCTCTCTATAATTCTTAATCAAGTTAAGAAAATGCAGTCCTCCTTTCTTACATTGCTGGCCCAAGAATCCTTTCTGGAGCCTCTGCTGCTCCCCACTTTAGACCAATTGTCATTACCTCATTCTTCTCCAGGCTGCACTCCTCCATCATCTTATCCCCTTGCTCCTGGAAGGTGATGATGATGAGAGCCACAAAGATATTGACAAAGAAGAAGGGGAAGACCACAAAGTAGACTACATAAAAGATAGACATCTCCATGCGGTTGCTGCGGCTTGGGCCTCGGTCTTCCTCTGTCACATCTACAGAGTGCTGCAGAACTCTATGGGGACAGAACAAGAGGGCACAGATGGTGGATGACAGTCTTGGCTTCGTTAGGAAATGTGCCACCTATTATAATTTTTTATCTGACTTCTTTGACTTTGCAGATCCTCCATTAATTTTTTTTGAGTCCAAACCCAAGTTGTCATATCCTGCTATCAACAATCCACTTCTCTTTCTAGCCTCTGTTCCATCACGCACTCAACTCCTAAGCAACAGAGGGACACCATTTCATAGTTTAGGTTGTCATGTTCAATACAAAGAGACTCCCAGATTCCCATTTAACATTTTGCTGCCAAGTAGAACCTGTTGCCACTAGAGAGTGGTGTCTTAGTCATTGCTAAGTCTCTGAGAAATTAGCTTTCAACTACGGGCAGCATAAGACCTGCATTCTGTGGTCTTCCTCATGATCACAGGAGGTGCCTTTGGGTTTTGCCAACTCATTCTTAACCCTCAATCCTCAGGCTTTCAGGTGCTGGGCCCCCCTGGAGG
The DNA here is from genome assembly GCF_000001405.40 of Homo sapiens. Lineage (NCBI taxonomy): Eukaryota > Metazoa > Chordata > Mammalia > Primates > Hominidae > Homo > Homo sapiens. The sequence continues at coordinate 181,756,433 of NC_000001.11, read as the reverse complement.
ATAAATCTGTCTATAACAGCTCTCAGGAATTCTCCTTATGGGTACAGGGCTGTTCAAAACTCATTTGTTCCATAGAAGTCAGATGGCTCCACTTGACTCCTCAATAATTGGCTAAAACATTAAGAGTTTCAAATATTTTCCTGATTTGCTCACCCACTTCTCTATTTTTGCCTGAAGAATTTTCATTCTTCCTCTTTTCTGCCTGTGTCACCTTCTCAAAACCCCTTACTTTCCCTGATACAATAACAAAGCGTGAGCCTTGTTCATCTTGAGTCAGCTTCTCAAGGCAACCAGGGGTCCTATCACAGCCACAGACAAGCATGACAACTCAATCACTCACTGAGGCCATCCTTCCCCTGTGGAGACGGTGAAGAGGGTCAGCAGGGCCCAGATAATGTTGTCGTAGTGGAATTCATGGCGCTTCCATTCCCGGCCCTTCACCTCCATCTTGTTTTTCTCATGATCTACATAGTTGCCTCTAAAACCAGAGCAGAAATGAAAGAGAGCCTCCTCACTATAGCTCATTCTACAGAAGAGTCAGCACATTCTACAGGCCGCAATAATGTGGGGGTAATAATGATCACCATACATGTGTAAGGCAAAAGGAATTCTATTAAAGGAAGGTATTTTTACCATGGAGCAAAAATGGGATTTGGTGCCCAACAGATACAGGAGTAAATCCTAACCCTTTCACTACTGGCTGTGTAACCTTGAGCAACTTGCTTAAACTTTCTGAGTCTTAGCTTCCACTTGTATAATAAGCAAATAAAACTTATTTCAATAGCTGGTTATAGGGGTTTGAAATGAAAACTCGAGTGTAAAATGTCATGGTACGAGATATTTTACACTCAAGTTTTCGTGTCTGACACAAAAGAGGCACTCAGTAAAAAGTTTATTGATTCCATTTTGTCTTTTTGCTGAAAGAAGAGCAGAGATGGGTAAGATAGAAAGGAGGGAGGGTGGACCTGTGGTGGTGGAGTGGGATCATCAGGACATGCTTCAGCAAAATCAAGTGGAATGCGCTGGTGGCACTTACATGCACTCCTTCTCTGTGTCCTTGGAACTGTCCGTGCAATAAAAGAACTTTCCCTTGAAGAGCTGAACTGCGATGACAGCAAAGATGAACATGAAGAGCTTGTACACAATGAGTATGTTGAAGACATTCTTCAAGGAGGTCACTACGCAGTCGAAGACGGCCTGTGGACAGAGCAAACAGCCCTGCTGTGTGAACCCTGTGATGGTCTGCATACTTGCCTAGAGCCGAGCTGGGCCATACCACCACTACCCAGCCCCACCAAGAAGTTGTCCCAGGAGAGAATTTCCTGCTAAGAGGTGAGGTGGTGCTCATGAGATTAAGGGCTGGCTTCTAAGCTGGTTATGACTGCAAGGACCTACCACCTGGGATGGGAACACATGTTCTGAAACTGAATGTAGACCCAACGCAGTAGAAATCAGATGATATCAAGCAAGGAATGCGGTCCTCTGTGTGATCCTGGTACGGGTACTCCACTTAGTGTGAAGCATAGAAGTGTATAGCTGGAAGGAATATTTGAGATCATTTAGCCAATTTTAGTCTTTAAATAGCTTGTGCTTTATTTGGTGACGTTCTTAGATTCGATTTATATACTGATTATGTATTGTTTTCTCCTTACCTTTCTAAAAGGATCAGGTAATAATACACTATCATCTTTGTTCATTTCACTAATATTTCATAGGCAAGTTCATACATTTATGATTATATTCAGCACTTCATGTAAATGTTCTCTAGTGAAGGTGGCTGCATTTGGGATGAAGACCAATAGAAGTAATGTGGGAAAGACCAATAGACACCTTCTCTTAGAGATGGCGAGGCTGGGTAGATAGAACTAGGGACTTACACTTCAGTTAAAAGGCAACAGACCTCCAGAGACCTCCACTCTAGGCCCTAAGCTGTGAGGAGTTACATGGGAATTCAATACATTGCAGGGCATTTTCAGGTTATTTTCTAGGTTTTTAGGTTTAGCTCACAGGACAATCTAGCCCCACGGTGGTGCTGCATTTGTGCAGTTGCTTCTTTGCAGCACTGGGTGAAGCACTGCTGGTTTAATTAGTTCAACACTGCAGGGAATGTAAGTGACAGGCACCCTTGTGGAATCATCAGAGCCACCTACGTCTCTCTCAGGTTATGGAGCTGCAGAGCGAGGAACTAGCCCTTTCTAATTTAACAGAATTAAGCCAGGTTGCAGGGTGCTTTCTCTGGCCTATTAACGAATCTCATCAAGCTTGTCTGCACTCTCCTTGAGGCCCACTGAATCCTGCCCTGCAGGATCACTGACAATACTGATAAGGGTCAGGGCCCAAGGCAGCCTGGCCACGCTCTGTGTGTGAGGCAGAACCCAATGAGCATTTATGGGCAGGAAGGTGGTAAGAAACAGCTGACATTGTGAGAAGTGCTTCCTCCAGGGGGGAAGGCGGGGTAGCCAGGGAGGACAGCAGTCGGCCAGGCCACTTCCTTGGGAGCATGGGTGTCTCTCTCTGGGAACCCACGCGGTGGGCCAGGGCCCTGGGCTCTGAAAGGTAGCCAGGTTTCAGTCACATCGGGGCCTCTCAGAAGTGACTTTTCTTCTGTTTCACAAACCTAGTTAGTTTTGCCTCCTCTCTGCAGAGCTAAATGGCTGAAAGGGAAGCAGTGCTATGAGGCCTGAAGGAGGTCTGGGGTAGGCGTGGGCAAAGAGTATCAGAGGTGATGAGAATTCAATAGGAAGTGGGAATTGAGAAGCAAGGGAGAGCCAAGTGCACAAGAGCCCTCCCCAAGCTGTGTCCTCCGTGGCAGGCTTGGGAGAGCAGGCCCAGGCATTCCAGAGGAACTGTTGAGTTTTCTAACAGGGACCACTCACGTCAGTTCATTTTCTCCACACCACAGATGTATGAGTTACAATGTGTCCTCATTTCCCATGTGAAAGAAAGTCAAAGAATAAGTAATTTGCCCTGGGTCATATAGCTTCTAAGTCCTAGAGCTGAGCCTCGCACTCAAGTGGGTTCTTTTTAATATTGACAGGGGTTCTCAAACTACACTATATTCTAAGAGTCACCTGGGAAGCCCGTTTAGGAGGCGCACTCCAAGCCCCTCCCACAGGGAGTCTGGCTCTGTTGTGTTGCGGTTGTCAGCAATCTGGATTTTAAGAAGTACCCAGGTGATCCTGATGCAGGTGGCCTATGACCCACACCTTGAGAAGCACTGCATGATTCCATGTGATGCTGAAGTTAGGGAATTGAGTCTGCTTGCTGGGAAGTATTCTGGTGTAGCCCCTGAAGATGGGGCTTGACTGGCTATGTGGCCTGAGCAGCAGAAAGACTTTGGGGCTGGAAACCAGGAGCTCTGGTCCTCTCCCTGGCAGTGCCTTGCTGTCATTCACAGGAATTCAGAGAGAAAGAACTTTCCTCCCATGGAGCCTCAGCTTCCACTAACAGCAAAGTATGCGGGGTGGGGCAGGTGGGTTCAACAGTCTAGCAGAATTGTGTGATAGAGTGCAGGAAGCTTTCCTGAGAGGCAGGGAGACTCGTGGAAGGTGGAACCCCAGGGGAGTTGAGGAGGGAGCATATTAGACAAGGAGAAATCTGGGTAAGATACCTAGTAAAGGTCCTGGCAATAGGAAGAACTTAATTCATGTCAGCTCACTTCCCATTTCTTCTCTGCCTCTGCCAAAAATGGACTGCATGTCCTTGGACAAGTTACTGACCTATCTGTGCCTCAAAATTATGAAGGGTAGGGCTAGAAGAGCCTCTTCTCCTCTTGAGTTATAAGAAAAAGAAAATGTCCCAGGATACTCGGCCTTAAAAAATATGCAGACCAGAACACACAGAGGGATCCCGTTGCTTCCATTCTGGTGTTCTGGGTCTGCACTGGGGACATAGACATAGGAGGCCCCAGGACAAAGCCACACAGGATTCCCTCTTGGATGACATATCACACCGGAGAGAAGACACCATCTGGGTCTGAACTTAAAAGAAAAAGCTTTCTTATAGATTTCTTGGGATGTTGGTTATTTTCCTTTGAAACTAAGACCTTTAGCTCAGGCAGATGAAAAGAACTTCGATATCCGTGTGAGAAAAAGGAATATTCCCAGAACAAATTCTCCAAAGGCAGGCCAGCCATGGCTAAAGAGAGAAGATGGGAGAAGGGGATTTGATGGGAACAAACTCTGTAAACACTACCTTGAGCTTGGGCAAGCGCTTGATGGTTTTCAGTGGCCTTAGAACTCGGAGCACCCGCAGAGACTTGATGGTCTTGATGTCCCGTCCTTTGTTGGTTCTGCAGGGGAGAGGCCCCCAGGGAATCATATGGAATGGGGGAGAAATAAAAATGACATTCAAACTATGGCATTAGTAACAACAGGCTAAAAGGGGAGAGATGTATGGGAGAGATGGAGGCAAGAAGCCAGAAACTGAGTCAGATTTGACTCCAGGGACATCCTGCGAAAAATGCTTCAGGAATATTCTCAAATCACTTCCCAGTGTGCACGCATGAACACACATCCACATGCACGTACACACTCATATATACACACACAGAGGAACATACAGGCACACAGAGGCATCCATGCACATATGTTAATAAACACTTCCTTCCCTAACTACCAGTCTAATGCTGCTGATTACCACACTGGCACAATGAAAACGGAAGACACATCAACTAGGGAACGTGAGCAGTAGCCCACTTCAGATCCCTACTGTGCCTAATCCAGTGCTTGTCAAATGATAGGTTCTCAAATGATATTCGCTGAATTGATGAACCCACAGTTGAGAGCAAGTCTCATCAGGGCACTAGACTTAATCTGGGTTTGTCACCGCTGCACAGTTCATTAGTTCAGGAGACAGCAAGGTGAGGCAGGGTGGCAGACATGACACTCTCACTGGGCCACGTGTTCCAGAGAAAGCATGTCATGCAGGCTTCTAGCTAGGACCTTGGCTCACACCCCAGTACCTCTGTGTGGCTGGCTGTTCCCGCAGTCCCTTCCATTGCAGATGGTGTGCACCTAGCACAGGCTGCAGAGAGCCACTCAACTGGAGGAGGCCCAAACTGCAGGCCCAGCCTACCTTTATCCTGGCCCTACAGCTATTGATCCTCCCTAGTCAGCCTCTTGGAAATGTTTACTCCTAATAGTGACAGTATGTTTCTCTTTTTATTTTTAGGAATAAAATGAACAAATACATTTGCATTTCTCTTTCTTCTCTGTTCATCCCCTGAGATATTTGCATTCAATTCAAATAGTTGTCATTTATAAAACACACAAATGGTGGAAAACAAGACTCTAAATAGTGGAGTCAGGCTCTGTCTCTTTCTTCATGTTGACCCAGATTACTCTTACACCAACAATCTGAGGAAATGGGGTCCAGAACATCAGGTGGGAACTGCAAGGCTTCCGGCTGCTTTCCCCCTGACCTTCCTGCGATACCTACCCCCCTACCCCACCCCCCTGACAGGGAGATAAAAGTCCATCCATTCTTTCACAGAAAACGAGGCCAAAAGATATTTAATCGAATTGAAGGAATGCTGACTTTGCCCAGAATGTTTATTTTAAGACTCTCTTAATGATTATAGGCCATGACCTACAAGTCACTTTTATTCAATCCCAGATCTGAATATAAATAATCCAAAAGCCTTGCACTGATGTGGTCTTTAGCATCCAGAGACTTTGGCATGTTTTACAAACGATTTCACTGCATTAGGCTCATCTGTCTACATACCTAAAAGAGGCAACATATGAGCCGAATACATATCCAAACCAATAAGAATGACCATTTCCCAAGAAGGCTTGGTGACTCCTAATTTTGATCCCTTGGATATAAATAAAAACTGACCACTCTTTTCTCAGTGCGTGAGCCCCTCCCCTCCCAACCATACTTTCTCGCTCCTCCAACTCATTCCTTGTATCGTTTACTTCAAAGATAATCGAACATATTTACCCCAAAGCGTTCCTATGGAGGATCCAATCAGAGAGCAGTAGAAAATCAAAATAAAACAAAACAAAAAAATGGGGTTGGGGTAGAGAGAAGAAAGACAGTCAGAACACTTCAGGGAGAAAAGAGAACCCTACAATGATAGGGAATCAGAGCAGCACAGGCCCAGGGGACCCCACCCACAGCCTTGGCACTTAGAGTGTCCACACCTTTGTGAAAGGAAGGGCCAGCACACCATTTGCTCCATTGCCACTGTCCCAGCCTGCAGGGGCGAAGGCCCTCTGCCAGCACAAGGGACAATTCTACATAGACTTCTGGGTATTGTGTGTTATTTCCATGGAGTCTGGTTTAACTGCAGTTTTCTAAGTGCAGGCGTTTACTTTCATTTCCTATGCAGTCTTCAGACAAACTCTGTTTCCAGTGAATTTATAAGAAACCAGGCTGCAGGAACTATGCCCACTCTGGGCCAGAAATTCTCTCACACACTGGCACAGTTATGCTTATAAAGGGTTTCATCTAAAGAGGGACACGCAACCACTCAGAGAGAGACTCACTGATGTCTCTTAGAAGCTCAGAGGAGCAACACCATTAAACCAACTTGAAATAAGGGAGGGAGGCATTTGTCTGTCAAGATCATGATGTCACACCAAAGTTTGCCTTTTGATAAATTAAATGACCGCCAGTCCATTGTGAGCATACTGTGCAGCTTGAAGGTGAAAAATCATCCCAGTTCTACTGGTGAGGCATTTAAAATAAGTCAGGGCATAAATATCTTCAAGATAGAAATAATGACAACTTCTAAATTTTTTGAATATTTATTTATTCTGGGCCAGACTCTGTGCTAAGCAATTTTAGTGCAAATCTTTATTTAAACCTCCTAACTTTAGCACATAGGAATCACTATCCCCATTTCACAGAAGAGATTCAGAGAGGTTGAGTGCCCGACATCAGCTGGCAGAGCTGGGACATGAACCCAAGCATGTATGATGATCAAAGCTCTTGCTCTTAACCACTAAGGCTCTGCATCAGCAGGTTTTAGTTCAAGGTTCTGTCAAACAGCACAGTGAATTTCTGAGCTGGAAGAGATCCCTGAAATCCACCCAACTGCACAGGAAACTGAGGCCCCAGGAGGAAGTGCCTTGCCTAAGATCATTCACTGAGTGAGTTTAGAAACATAGGTGAACCTGCATCTCATGATTCCCTATCCTGGCCTGCTGCTAAGAAGAAGTGCTCATAATTCAGGCTTTGGTTCTTAGTTGGACATTGTGATGAAGGTTACTTTTTTTCTTTCCTTTCTTATTTTTTGCCAACGTATGGCAAACCTATGTTCCACTACTGTATGTCACAAGCAAAGACTTCTAATGGTTATTTTACTCAACAAATGATCCCATATTCAAAATTAAATTAATTTTCACTATAAATGCCAAATGAATCATGACTTGGGAATTAGACCCAAGGCCTTATAAACCTTAAATCCTTAATGTGATAACCTCTAAATGTTCAGAGGACAGAAATATCTTCCCCAGCATCTTCTCACATATAAGACAGGGCATATGGTAGGTCAGCCAAACACATCTTTATTCATCCATATACCAAGCATCTGTGGAGTCCTTAATATATGTCAGGCACTGTTCTGCATACTGGATATACAGTTGTGAACAAATGAGGTTGCCAACCTTTTGAAACTTACCTAGTCTAGTAGGGAAGATAGACCTCAAGTAAACAAGCACATTAATAAAAGTATAACTGCAAGCTGCCATAGGAAAAATGAAATCAATTAAAAAATTTACCAAAATAACCACAAAGGTTTCCCTTTCCCCAGGCTACATTTGTCTTAAGGAAGAACTAAGGGATAATCTTTCATATCTCTAAGATGTAAGAATAGGGTGGGAGATCAATATATGGGCAGGTGATCTAGGATCACACACCCCAAGCTTCTGCCTTCTGCTTAGCTCAAGTCCTTATCTCGGAGACCTTTCTATCCTGTAGCATCTGAAAAGGTTCTCAGAGGTCATGCTCATAGACATGCGTCTTCTGCGGGAGGGCCCAATATTTCCTGCTCCTCCCACACACCTGGATAAAGGATATAATTTGCTCTCTTGAATTAATTTCCCCCCAGAATCCTAGTAAAGCATCATGGTATAATTCATTGTATTACCACATATACCATATAAGGCATGTTATAATGCAAACTCACCATTGTCTCTTGTTTTGGAAAACAGGGTTCCTTAATGGTACACTCTAATCTTAACAGCTGAACGTGGCTGCCAAACCACTGGGGGGGCTATTTGTCACATCCTAACTCCCACAGGTCTGAGCCAAGGATAGCAATCAGACACAGGCCAAAAGTAAAATAAAAAAAAATAAAATTAGTCATTGCTCTACGCATCTTTCATCAGGTCTCTTACTGCAGAGGAGCCATTGAAAAGCTATGAATTGGAATAGCTGCAGAAAAATATGCTTTCATCCTCAGTTTTGTTAACAGGGGCAAGATTTAACTGATTTTAAAATTGCCATTTGAAATGAAAAGAGTACTGAATAACAAAGCCCTGGAGTCAAGAAACGCCTCAACACTTTAGTCCCCATTAGTTAAAATATAATTTACACATGGACTAGGCCAAAGTACTGCTCCCAAATCCATACATACAAGAGTGATTTAAGCCATTATCAAAGCCAACAAGATTGCAAGGAAGACATTTCACCAAACTAAAAGGATGAGCTCTTCAAGTACCTTAATTGAGGCACATTGTTTAGGAAATAATTCACGTGCATTTTACAAATCATTTAAATGTAACTGTTTGATAACACTTTGCTAGTCTCTGATACTAAATTATAATCAGATATTTTTACACTGCCTCATTAATAAAATTTCTATCAGGTTCAAAAATTGACTCTAATGTTAAAATCTAAGGACAATTCCACACACTAGGATGCACTGGTCTCACTTTAATTGGGACTCAATTGGGCCACACATTTTACCATTTATTTTCTATTTATTTGGTAAGTTCCTGGCTGCTCTCCAGTAAAAAAAAAAAAAAAAAAATGACAGATTTTTCTTGTTTCATCAGTAAAAGACGAGAATTTTCCAGCTCAATTGTCAAGCTGCCCTCCAGATCTTTCATGTGTAATTACTCATCATTCAATGTAATCCCGCTCTTCACCTCCCAGCCCCCTCTTCTCAAAGGACATGCTCTCAAGTTGATTTCTGCCAGGAACTGATTCTCCTCCCATGAGGGCAGAGCAGGGACATCAGGTTCTAAAGAACCCTTCTGTCCTTTAAGTGCCATGGCCTTCTGCCCTACCCCATGAGCGGGGAATAGCTCAGGGATCTGAAGGAATCTCTTGCCTCAGGGAATGGCCAGGCTCGCAGGAGTGAAAGGTAGATGGAGGGGTCATGCTGTGAGGAGCCTCGAGTGTCTCACTAATGTGTCTGGACTATTATTTGGTAGGAAATAATAACTATCATTTATTATACAATTACTAAGTCCTTGGCACTATAGCAGACATTAAATACATTTTACCTTATTTAATGCTTATAGGACCAAAATATTATTTTGAATCCCCATTTACAGATGAAGAAGCAGAGGTTCAAAGTTAAGGCGGTTAATAATAGTGCTGGGATTCAGGCCTAAATGTGCCTGACTCTGAAATCTATGCTCTTATTTGTGATGTTAGAGTGCCTTTCAAATGGGAACCACTGGAGCGTTTTAACCAAAGAAGGAAACAGTAAAAGGACCAAGTACTTCCTGATCTCAAATACTAAGCTATCACACTCCCCTCCCTGTAATCAGTTTAGGGTCTATGAGGGTTCCTAGGAAAAAAAAAGTTACAGATGAAACAACAAGATGGACAAGTTCAGGGATGACCTTCTCCATCTACCCATAGGTCTTGTCTGTCACCAGGTAGAGACAGAAGGATCTGTAGGTTGAGGAGAGATCTATACCAAGCCACTGCTCTTAGCTTACAGGGGTTAATTGCTTGGAGCTAACTAGAACATGATGTGTAGAAGGGCGCTTAACATAATGGAGACAACACTGAACTTCAAATCAGAACACCAAGGTTGCTCAAGAACTGGCTTTGCTATTTACTAGTCAAATGAGTCAGACTAGTCAAACCTCAGGCAATCCACTTCTCAACTGTAAAACAGGACTGTTCGGTGATAAATAAAATAAAGAGTGTGAAAGCACTTTAAAAATTCTAAAGACCCCATGGGGAAGTTTCCCCTTTTGCACTGGCAGTGCCTGTCTCTCTAGGATCTGCAGATAAGGATATGTTCATCTGCTTCTGTGAAAATTTTAAATTTACCACTTTGACGTTGTCACTGCTTAGCGGCTACCATTTGGGGTTTATTTTTCCTCGTGGTCCATGCCTCAGCATTTCTTGGGGTCACCCTCGAACCCTCAATCCATTGTTATTCTGCCATCTTTCTTTGTCATGTGACCAGAGCACTAGCTCTATGCTAAGTGGTGCATAATCCTTTCCCTCTTGCACATGGACCTCAACGAGCTCCTCACACACACTCCCGAGAGCCTTTTGCAAGCTTTCTCCTTTGCTATACACAGCACCATACTCCAACTGGCAGGTGTTTTTGTCCAAACACTGAGAAGCAGCAGGAGAGAGCAGAGCATCTAACTGTCTCCTAGCAGTTTTATTATTCAATCTGGTGAACAGTGGATTTAGTTGTCTCTTTTGTCTTATTCTAAACATACCCAAAGACACCTCATCTGCTGATCTTTCTAAGAAGGCCTTGGAGCTGGTGGAAGTCCACCCAATACACTTGTCCCACTGAAGACTAATTTGAAATGCTAGGCTGTGCCCCTGTGCATGTGGATTAGGAAGGTGGCTGGCATGATCTGTGTTGATGGTCCCCAAGTCCCATTATGAAGTCTTCCGACTCAAGTTACTCTAAAATCTACTTTTAAATCTGGAGGGCACTATGAGGAGTTTCCACTAATCCAGCAGTACTGGGCTCTTCCCATGGTTGTGAAGGCTCACAGGGTGCATTTTATATCTGGGTCTAGTTGGTTGTTGGTTACCGTGTGGATGGGGCAGTGTTCCCTGATTGGATCATTTCATTTTGCTTGGGTCTGTGGCCACGGGCTGAGATCCCATTTACAACCAACCATCTCCCAATTTCATGCTGTTAATTAAAAAAAAAAAAAATACTTGGGTGTTCACACCCATTGCCTCCATAAGATAAAGGTCTCAAAGTGAATATTCTACAGGCAGTTCCTCAGCAGTACCAATGTCACATGCAGCAGACAACACATTTTCCAGCGTTCACTAAAAAATATGCATGCTGAGACTTAATGCCAAGAGTAGGTAGACTGAGGACTTATCTCCTTTCAGACACTCACTCCCTCCATGTGGCTGCCACTCTGTCCCTCCTTACTCCCTCCCAAACTCCATTTTCAAGGCAGCTATGATATAGTAGTAGGCACCTCAAAAGTCCATGGGCATTGATCATCCTTAGTGTCCTTGTCTGGGCACAAAAATCAGATGTAGTCATTCTTGAGGTGACTTTTAAACTGGAGTGTCAGGAAACAAAATCCTCCTATCTGCTTACAGTTGGAAATTTCCAATTCCTTTTCAGCTGGCCTCCTAAATCCACAGTTAATGGGCTACTTGACGGCTAAATTTAATTTTAATCCTTCGTTCTCTTCCACAGAACAGGGGCACTGGATGACCTGTCTGGCTCAGTGGTAAATGGGTCTTCTTTGCATGAAGCAGGACTTCGTCCACTTTTTTTGCCTCCAAGATTAATGTGCAGTCACTGCTTCCTTTGGAAGACTCCCCTTTCAGTTTGAAAAGAGGGAAGTTCTGTCAAGAAAGAAGACCCATAGGCAACGCTGGAGGTTTGAGGGGACTGCCTCAGACACAGGCAGGTAGTGAAGAATAGGAGAAAGAAACAGCCAGGTTTAGGGTGAAATGTTTGTCTGTTGTTTCTATGCTGTGCTGAGCGTGAGTGTGTACGAGCATTTTGGTGCTGAATAGCCACCTCTTTCTTACATGTGCACATTCTCACCTTCTAAAACACAAAATCCCACAAGCAAATCCGGAACCAGAGGACCATATTCTCAAACTCCCAGCCTTAAACAATCCTCCCACCTCAGCCTCCCGACTCGTTGGGGTTACAGGCATGAGCCACCACGCCCAGCTCCCAGAGGAACATATTATGTGGCTCCTTAGGATCCTTCCAAATCTAAAATTGTCCATGCCTGTGTATATAACTCTGCTGCTACAGCTACTGCTGAATGCATTCAATGGACCTTATCCATCTCAGTGACTAGGGCAGAGTGTCAAGTGTCAGGAAAGTGACATACTTCAATGAAAAGAATGTAATAAAAGCTAATGTGGGAACTCCAGTTCCTTCTGGCATCAAGAGGCAGATTGACTCATGTTTTTCGTTTCTGGCTAAGGACTGAATAATGAAAGGCCAAGTGCGGCTGTGAGCCAAATCTCCTGAGTGCCAGGGAGTCCTGACCTCACCCCATGCCCTGCTACAACAGCAAATGGCAATGGGAAGCTTTGGCGTCAGCCGCCAGAGAGCCTGTGTAACTGACTGATGCACGGGCCATGGTAAATTCCGAGGTGGGGGAGGAGATGGGAGCAGAATTGCTAGTTATTTTTCTATTAAACCATCTGTGCTGACGATCAATTATAAGCTGTGAGATGACTACTTAGAATCCAATCCAGGAGCGCTCACCTGCTCATGTGAATCGAGCTAGTCAAGTAACGTGCTGTAGAGCAGTGGAAATGGAGAGGGTGAGAGTCCTGGGTTGGAGTGCAGGTGTCACACACAGAAAGACACACACGCACAGGTGTCCTGGTCCTCTCCTACATTTCTCCAGAGATGCTGTCCCTGCCCACCTGTTTGCCCAAGTCACTTCACTAGACATGAAACACATGAAACATGAGGGTTCTGTGAGGTTCATGAATGTAATCTGTGTAGTGGTTATGTGACCTCCCTACAAGGCAGCTGACTTTGGTTGGGGAGCAGGGTCCCCCAAAGCAGGGGAATGTGCCTCATGTGCAGATCCCCAGAAATGCCAAGGCTGTAACCATCTTTGCCTTCCATGCAGGAGTCTGGGAAGCAGCAGCGATGGCAACAGGGTGTGTGGAAACTAGACAAAGCGGTTTCTGGTCCTTTCACATGAAATCACACAAAAGAATCCCTCTTCATTGGAAAGAAAAAGATAAAAGAGGAAGGTTTCATAGATCCAGCCACTCACCAGACTTTTCTTGAGACCTCAAAGTACAGAAGGCACAGCTCTGGACATTTATAGTCAGCAAACACTCTGTCTCCATGTGGCCCAGAAAGCGGGTGTTGTCAGGGCAGCGGAATAACGAAGCCCTGAACCCAACCTTTGCCAAAACTCTGCCCACCTCCCTGCAGGGACGGTGGGCTTAAGGAAGGAGACCTGAGTGTTCTTATAAATGCCTTATAACGTAAAAGTGAATTGGAAAGAACAGAAAAGTTGCAATGTGGGTATCTTTCCATTTATTTTTTTTATCCACTGCTCTGCCCACACTTAAAATAAATCCAAGAAGAAAAATAAACAAATGAAAAAATCCCCTTCCCTTCCTCCTCAAAAGTCAATAAAGTTCCCTAATGGAATTTTCCAGCTTTACATTATAAACGTTCCCTTAACTTGATGTATGCAGCTGTGGAGAACAGTCTTCTCTTCAGCCACTGCATAAACAACATATATGCTTGTAGAAAACATACATGGTGGCAGGCACACGCCTCGGCAGGAGGGCTCAGGGGACACCACAGCTTTGTTTGAGAATTCAGCTAGAGGTCACTCCCCCGACTCGGTGAGGGGCTTTGCTCCTGGGAGTTGGGCCAGGGTCTGAGAAGGCTCTGGCTGGGTGGTGGAAGGAATGCCATGTCAGCCCTGGTTTCTGAGGAGCCACAGAAAGATGCTACCATGGCAACCACCATAGCTCAAGTTTATTAAGCAATAGGCTTCACAGAAGCCTCCTCACTAAGTCATGGTTCAATTTCAAGAAGGGCAGAAAGAGACTGGGACAGGAATAAGGTTATTTGAATGGTGGACATTATGGGGCAAATATATGGGATATGATAACGAAAGTTGTAAACACAAGGAGAGAGATACTTGACAAGCCTGCAGACAACCCCACATTTGGCTTTCTGCTGGCCTGAGCCCCTGACCATGAGGAATATAGGCTCAGTGACTTCTTTCACTCTCTGCCCCAGGCCAGGCCCTCTCTCTGCTGGCAGGTGGGACTCTGGCTAACCCCATCAAAGTGATGGGAGAGCTGAATTCTCTGGTACGATTAATGAGGAAAGGAACAGGGCAGAGTTAGAAAGCATGGGTGCATGAGTGAGAGAAAGCATTACCTGGACCTCCCTCAGCAAATGTGACGAAGGCCAAAGGAGGGGGAGTGGGAACCTGCTCCATGAGCGGAGAAAGGGGAGAGGGAATGGGCATGGCAAGCTTGGGAAGTTGAAGGCAAAAGAGAAAATGGATGGAGAAGGGTGAGCAAGTATCATCTATGTTTCAGAGAAAATGAAGAGAGAGTTCAAGAAGTAACATGACTAAAAGCAAGTGATGGATCATAACTCTCAATACATCACATAAGTGTGGACCCCAGAACGAGGGGGTTCCTGGGGGCCCCTGCACTGTACCTGGTCTGAGGACCAACAGAGAGGCTTCAGCTCCGGGGCCGTTAAGGCTTCCCCTGCCACCAGCGCCAAAGCCACCACCGCCATGTTTCAAAGGGCACAAAGAAAGAACAAGACAGATGACAGCTCTACTGCACATCATCACTGCTCTGGGTCTCAGGAGAGATGTCTGGACTGTGGACAATGGGCAGGCATGCAGGAGCTCCCTCTAAAACACACCTCCTCCCACACTGGCACCAACACACCAGCCTGGTTACCAGGCACACGGGCATAGGCAAGGGGGGTGTGTCTGTATAAAACAACTAGGTCTTGGGCCAGCCTGCACACATCTATCTGTATACATTGTGCATCAATATGTACTTCCTCCTATATTTGGATTTCATGATGTGATAAGAGAATGGAAGGATGAGGAGGGGAATCAACATGTATTGACTGTTCACACTACATCAGGCCCCGTCCTAAGCACTTTACACACATTATTTTATCTGCATTTCAGAGATGAGAACTGAGGTTAGGAGGGTTAATATTTTGCTGTGTGGCTCAAGGACACAAAGCTGGAAAGTAGAGGGGCTGGGATTCAAACAAGAGCCCGTCTGGTTCCACAGCCCAACCTTTCTTGCCACTCTGTCCTGTTATGCCAGTGGGCTCTGTTCTTCCTAAAGATGGGGTGGGTTCTTTCCTATATGCTTCTATCTCTTTGTCCTTTATACTTCAAAGAGAGACACATGATTTTTAGAGATCAAAATAAGAAGAATGATACAGTGAATAATCTATGCAAATGAATTAGTAAAATGAAAGGGAACTTGACCTTTTAAAAACCTAAGGATAATATTTATCTCTAACAAAAAAGGTGGGTCTCCTTAGGGCAAAGGCAGACTTTAATCCTTCTTTCCAAGAAGACGGAAGAGGAGCTGGAAGTCCCTCTTTTGGAGCCAGAGCTGCCTTTCCTTTCATTGCACCATGAGAATCCAGACAGGGCCCAGATGCTTGAGAAAATACCCCATGCTTCTGTAAAATTTCCTCAAGAACAGTCCAGCCACATGTGACAGAAAGCTTTCTTTTTGTGGGGGACAAAGGTGACTGCACACAATGGAATTAACATGTGCACAAGGGGACAAGGGACACTGGAATTACCTTGATCACCAGCCCATTTTAGAGTCACAAACTATGCTCAATGTGGTTTTCTTTTGAAGGGTCTCTCATGGCTGAGGAAGCAGTGGACACAGTCCAGTTCCAGGGTCTGGGAGATCCTACACTCCTAGCACAGCTGGGAGTGTATCTTGTACCTCTCCTTAAGAGAGAGAGAGCCCTCCACTATCCCCACCCCCACCAGGCCACTTGAGAAACATCTGGTAATTTTTATCCCACCTGTTTTTCTGCCAGAAAGGATAAGAGACAGCAGCTGACAGTGCTTGAAGAGAAGCTTGGGGAGAAGCACTGTCAGCTTCCCTGTGTTTCTAAACATTTAGAAGGGCAAACCCTTCCAAGGGTGATCTCTTTCTAAACACTTGGAAGGGCAAACCCTTGGAGGGAAAACCACTCAGAAGGGTAAACGTATGAAGATACTGTGTTCCTTTTGCAGCTGCCATCAATGACAGAAGCTCCTGAAAGCTCTCCTGCCTCACTACACAGTGTAGCTAGCCTTGCTTAGCCTAAAGATGAGGCTTCCACTTGTACTCAGAGAGACTTGAGGGATGGCTCTGAGAATTCTGTTGTGCCTCCTGGAAGAGGCTGAAGCTGCTCAGGGTGAACAAGGTACAGACAGAGCCCTGAGGCTGTCATTCATCCTACTGGGACACTCTATACACCGGGTTAGGAAAAAGGCCCTGAAAGCATCCCATTTCCTAGTTAATCCCAGGAGGGCTAGAAGAGCCCTTTCCTTGGCTAGATTCCACAGGAAATGTCAGAATGTGATTGAAAACTGGCTAGAGCTGGATCCATGTGCAGGGGGGAAAAAAATCCCACAAATATTATGAACATGATTTTGTTGCCTGAATGGTTTAAGACTGTTTTCCTAGGTATGTTATCAAGGAAAGTTTGGAAAGCCTTTCCTTTTGGAGATTACACATATTATTAGGTTTGTGCAAAAGCATGGTTCTGGCATCCCTGGAAGAGCTCTCGTTTACACCTGCTATGAATAGAAAACCTCACCATGCCTAGGATTCCGTGATCCTCAACTTTGCTCTACCCTCTGCATCTTTCTTTCAAGCTGCTTCCTTGATTGACACACTCAAGAAAGAAAGGGCCCATAAGCTGTTCCTGGGTCCATTGCTGAATGCATGGAAACACTGTCCACACTGTGAGTGCCTGCCCATGCTTACTCATCTCTAGGAAAGGAATTCCTAGGGCCTCTGACTTCTCCCTCCTGACGCTCCCTACTCCTGCTTCCCCCGTTCTGCCACTCAGGTCACGTGAGCTGGAGCTGCAAGGCGCTCAGGAGCTCTGCTGGGGGCGACTGGGGAGCAGATTTCCAGCGGGGGCATTCTTTGGCATCACCCTGCATGTTGCATTTCTGGAAAGGGCTTCAAATCAACTGGAGTCTCCAGGAAGAGGGGAAGGAAGGGAATCAAATATGAAAAGAGTCACTTACGCCAGAGCAAAGGCCACCAATGCGCCAACGACCACCACAAAGTCCAGGATGTTCCACAAGTCTCGGAAGTAGGACCCATCCTGCAGGATCAAGCCTTGGTCTATCATCTGCAGAAGGATATGAACAGCCACAGTGAGCCAAGAAAGTGTGGGCAACACTTGACCTGAGCTCTGTTCATCATGGCAGTGCCCCCACTGCCACTGTCTCCACAACCAACCCTATGCTAGGACCTGGAGAATGAGAGGTTAGGTCCAGCAGGCTTTCTCCACATAACTGAGTCCTGAGGCCCCCATCTCATAGTCACCCAGGGTTCACTAGACTCCTTGGTTGTCACAGAACCCTGACACATTCCTCCTTTCATTTATGGCTCAGAGCACTGGGCATTGCCACATATGCACAGATGGGTAAAATCCTGGATGGATGAGGCTGGGAACAAGACAGACTATGGAGTGTTGTGGTGGCTGGGACTAGATGAAGCCCAGGAAGACTCATCTCTACCTAGCCCTTTGCCTTGGCACACACCCAGGCTCAGCCAAGACAAGCACTGGGGAGGGGAGTGCAGGCCCCAACCCTGTCTGCACATCTGTTGCCTGCCTCCTACTTGGGCCATGTCCACAGGCCTGCAGCAGTACAAACACATCCACGCAGCCGTGTCTTGCTGAGACAGATTTCTTCAGGATTCTGAGGCCAGAGAAGGGGCGGCAGAAGCTCTACTGAGGGCTGCCATTGGCTGGTAGGTGGTAACACTGAGGAAGGGCTCTAGCCTAAGGAGCAGACAGGTGACCCATCTAAACCCAAGAGCCCAGGTTTTCTCTAGAAGTTTTTACCTTTATAACCATCTCAAAGGTGAACACGCCCGTGAACACATAGTCAAAATACCTCAGGACCTGAAAGACACATATGGTGGAAGGAAATGACCATGTGTGGCCAACAGGCTACTACATGAGCTCCCACCTGCCAGGACACATGCACTCGTGCACGCCCACCCTGGCCCTCACCCACTGCACCCTCAGAACAAAGGCTTGGAATTAGAGCCACTAGCTGGACTGAGAGAGAAATGCCAGAAGGAGGGGCATGGGCCCTGCTGGAGCCATGTGACCCAGTGGCCACTCCTTGGCTGCTCCCTCTCGTTGGCCAGAACTTAGCATTTTGGGTCTGAATTGCCCACATACCTGTCCCTTAGTTCAGGCTCGGGACCTGAAATCCTTGTCAGCTCCTGTCCTCCTCGCGTCCCTCATGTCTCCTGACACATACCCGTGGGACCCCAGGAGAGGCCTTGGCCCCCTGTGGTGGAGCTGCAGCTGCCAGCTTCACACACACCATCCATGACCCTATATTAGACCCACATCCAAGCCCATGGGTGGCTGCAGAGCCCTGCAGAGCCCTGGCCGGTTTGGGGCAGAGCCTTGTAGTATGTTGGGCTAAGAAGGGGCTTGTCTGGGAATGGTTCATACTTCGCCCTGAGGAACAGGAGTGGACAATTTCCAACCCTTGCTCATTCCCCAGAAACCTTGCTACCATCTCGGTTCACCTCCAGTGCTGGGATGGGGTGAGCACCAGAGCACTACAGAGGCTGGCACATGGCCCCTGTGTACCCACTTTGTTGCGCTCCGAGTTGGTCAGGACGGGGTCCTCTGCCGCCAGGGCGATGCTGCTGGCTGCAATCACCAGGAGGATGCACATCTCAAAGTAGCGCAGGTTCACGATGTAGTGGCAGGCCCTCCGGATCCTGCGGGCAGTGGGCATGGCTGAGCTGGCCCACTCCCCACCACGCCCATGCCCTTACTCCTCACTCCCACATACACATATTGGCCCCTTCCAGACAGCCAGGCCCTTGCCAAAGGAAGCCGCCAGGGAGAGCAATTTAATTTCTCAGCCACCACCCTTGATTTAAAGCCCCAGTGGAGGAAGGTAATCAGATTGGTTAGAGGCTGCAGCACGCAAGCCAAGATACATTATCCACAGACACGTCTGAGCCATGGGGAGCAGCCAGCATCAGCCTACCAACTCAGGGCAGCTGCATAGCACCCTCTGCTGTATCTCGATGTCTACTCTCCCACTGAAAGGAAACTGGGACATCCCAAGGAAATTACAAAGAACCAAAAAACATAAAAAGAGATCTTGATTCTAAAATTCCTGACGAAAGCAGTAATGAGTTTTCATGAGCCCCAGGTTATTCTGGTTAAAGTAACTGTATTCTATATTCTGCATTCTAGCCATGGATGGCTCACATGCCTTAACTCAGGTTGCTCCCTTCCCAGAGCCCTGCTGGAACGCTCTTCCCAAATTCCATCTTTCCTGAATCTAACCTTCCAGACTCCGCTCTGTCACCCCCACTTCATGTCCCTGCCTCTGCTCTGAGTAGCATGCTCAGAGCAGACCATTTCAAAACTCCACATGTAGAGCAGTGTGACCAAAATTCTCAACTCCAACAGGTGATCTGGTCATTCTAGGCTCCACATTCTTGGCTCTATCCACTTCTGGAATATTTGGTGGCAAAATCTCAAGTAGATTTCCTTCCTCCCTCCACACTACCTACTGACCAAAGACTGGTAAAGAGTTCCTTTCCAATGACATTTCTCATGTTCTCCTGTCGATGTTACTCTTTCAGCTATGGGCACAGAGTTCAGAGGCTGACTAACTTACCAACCCACCTCACTTAGGGGGCACCCCAGATGCTCAATGTCTGGCCATGCTCCACCAGGAAGGCTTAAGAAGATGGCTGGGCCCCCATCCTTCCTCTCCCCTTCACCCTGCCCTGCCTCACACCTGGCCGTTTACCCTAGCACTAAAGAGGGAGCAACGCGAGGGTGGCTTACGGGTTGGTGGTGCTGAAGATGAACATTGAGCTGTGGGGCACCATGGCTTTGCCTGTCTCACGCTTCTCCTTCTTCTGCTTCTTCTTCTCCACCTCCTCCTCATCCTCTCTGATCTCTGCCTCCTTCAAGGGACTGGCTTCCCCATCCGTCTTGTTGCTAACTGCAAGAGGAACACGTTGAAATCTTCAGAAATCATGAGGCATGTGAAAATGGCACCATTTGTGTTTAGTTGGGGATGAAAGGAGAGGAGGAGAAAGGGCTCCAGGGATGTCCCTAACAAGGTGCCCTGCAGGCACTGGGGGTATTTACTACCTGACACTGAGTTAAACTCCTCTTCTCTTCTTATTTTTACCCTCCCCAAATGTTATGAGAAATAACCTTTTATGTCATATAAATGACCATGATCATGTTTCCACTTTTAAGGTTGAACTTTTACAGTCTGATAAACAACATGATGTTTCTGTTATAAAATTCACAAGGTTTAGATTTTATATCTAAACTCTGGATTCTTTGTACATGCTCACTTACTGAATTTTCCCACTGAGGGGTATACCCTCAGTGGCATGTATTATTACTCCCATGATACAGATGGGAAAACTAAAGTTCTAGCAATTTAAGTACCATTCCTAAGGTCATACAGCTAGTATGGGTTCCCAATTCAAAATCCTATAGCCTTTCATTGAATCACCCTGCAATGGAAGATTTCAAGAAATCATGATTCTGTTTGCAGCAGGCTTTCTGGCTGTGCTTTTCTCGGCCATGGTTAATGTAGAAATGAGAATGCAATATTCATGTGAGTATAGGTCCATGACTGCATCCAAGGATTGGGAGGACGAAGGAGCCAGAGGTCGAGGGGAGCTCTCAGCTGCTGCTCTGTTTCCATACTCAAGACACGGTGTAGGTTAAACTGGCAGGAGGCTGAAGCTGTCACAGTGGGGAAAGGGCCCCAGTCACCCTCGCCCACTGCTCCCTGCTCATTGAATGACTCCACCCTGGAACCCTGTGTCAGCAGTGGACCTCGGTGGTCCTGGCCCATGCCCAGGCCTCCTAAAGAGTAAGTCATAAGAAGTATCCAAAAGCCTTCCTATCACATGCTTTTACCTATGACCAAGACCAAAGACTAGCTCTGGAATTACAACAGAGGGAGAGTAAAGCTTTATGTTCTTTCTCATAAAAGAAGGCCCAAAACACTTCTTATGTATTAAAGCAAACAAACACCAAAAGAGCTGTGGGTCTGGGATCCTGAGACATGCCCAAGTCAACTGAAGCATGCACTGGACATGGGAGATTGCACTTTCTGAAGTAGCAGTGGCACGTTGACTATAGAGAAGATGCGGAAATGGAGAGGGAGCCATGGAAGAAAGAAAAACAGGGAGGGAAAAGATTTTCATGTGAAAGAGTAAATACAGAAAAAGTAGAGGAAAACAGCAAGGCTGGAATCCTGTGGTCACAATTCAGTGATCACGGGGCAGCAGGTGGGATTAATGCACAGAGATCATGAGGCCAGAGCAGGGATGGGGTATGGGGTCAGGGCAAGGATAGGGTGTGGAATTCATAATGCAGGGATGAGGTGTGGGGTCAGCGCAGGGATGGGGTGTGGGGTCAGGGCAAGGATAGGGTGTGGAATTCATAATGCAGGGATGAGGTGTGGGGTCAGGGCAGGGATGGGGTATGGGGTCAGGGCAAGGATAGGGTGTGGAATTCATAATGCAGGGATGAGGTGTGGGGTCAGGGCAGGGATCGGGTATGGGGTCAGGGCAAGGGTAGGGTGTGGAATTCATAATGCAGGGATGAGGTGTGGGGTCAGCGCAGGGATGGGGTGTGGGGTCAGGGCAAGGATAGGGTGTAGAATTCATAATGCAGGGATGAGGTGTGGGGTCAGGGCAGGGATGGGGTATGGGGTCAGGGCAAGGATAAGGTGTGGAATTCATAATGCAGGGATGAGCTGTGGGGTCAGGGCAGGGATGGGGTATGGGGTCAGGGCAAGGATAAGGGGTAGGATGAATACAGGGATGGGATGTAGGGTCAGGGCAGGGGTGGGGAAGTGCTTTTTTTTTTGGCTGTGTTTCCCTTTAGGACACCATTGATTAACATTTGTTGCCTAAGGGAACTGTGATGGGGAGAACTTGTGGCTAAAAGCTCCTAGGAGAAAAAGAGTTGATAAGAGCAATAGAATCATATAAAATGTTAGTACAGGGAAAGGCCTCAGAGATCATCTAGTACAATGCTCTCACTTTACAGATGACAAACTGAGGCCTCAAGAGATGCAGAGATTTTTCCAAGATCACTCAGTGAGCAGAGCCATGGTCCACTCCATCAGAGGCTCCCTAACTTGCCAGGGCAGCAGAGCACCTGGGAGACCCCAGACAACACCATCAAATATTCATGCACCAAAGCAAACAGCTGAATATCTAACTGGGCACAAAGTCACAAGTGATCACTCTGAAGACTTGAGGGTGGTCACAGGAACAAGCCTGGGGAAATTTTATGGGAAAAATTTAAGATGAAGAGAACGCTAGCTTATTTTTGTTCTGCACACTGGGAGAAAACCGCCACTCATTTTTACTTCTTGAAGGATGATTTACTCCTCCTGGTGGTGCTTTCCATGTGGCTTTATTGTCATGGCCCCAGCCCCAGATGGGATAGGAGTTGGGGGTGGAGGGGAACAGGGACTGTGCTCTCACTGTGCACCACGGTTGAGTCCACCAAGGGGTCCACGTCGGGGATGGCGACGGTGACGCTGGTGCTCTCGGTGGTGGCCTTGTCCGTGTTGGCCGTGATGCAGGAGAGGTCAGGCTCGCTCTGGCTGATGACCCGGCCCATGTCTAGCTGCACATTCCCCAGCAGGGCCTGCTCACTGCTGCCTTCTGGCTCCTGCTCCGTCAGCACCACGTGCTTCCCCACTTCCAGCTCAGGATGGGGCAGGACTAGGGGGGTGTCAGCCTCATCAAGGCCTCCTGCCAGCCCGGAGCCTCTGGACACCATCAGACTGTTGGTCCTGTGAAGAGAGAGGAAGAGAGAGCTGGTGCTCAGACGCTGTCCCCAAATGGCAGGTGTGCCTGGCACAAGGGGAAGGCGGGGAAGCTCAGGCAGCCTGGAAGGTACAAGGCCACCACTGCCTTCCACCCCAACCAGACAGGCAGAGAGGTGCTAAGACCCACAAGCCATGGCCACTGCCTTATTCCCATCCTTCTATCCACGACCCACTTCCAACAGGCCCTCGTTTTTGGGGGGACAGAGCCCACTGCCTGTTATATTTATTCATACCTCACAAAGTGTGTGTCAGCATCATTTCCATTTTATAATAGGAGAAGAAACTGGAGCTCAGAAAGGCTTATATTGAGGAACACCTAACAGCAGCCTGTGTGCCATCCATCTGGGAGCCCTGTGACTCACTCACCTCCTTAAATCCTGGGCTCTCTCTTCTTGGATCGTTGGCTCCTTGGCACCATGGTTGCCCCTGAGCTCATGGTCCTTCTCCCCTTCAGTGGGCATGGCTTCATCCAGACTGCGTTCCTGGCTGGCAGACCTGCTCCGGGAGGCTGAAGAGGACTCCTTGCCTTCTGTCCTGACGCGGCGATGCCGGCTGCGCCGTTGGCTCTGCCTGTGCCTGGCCCGGTCCTCAAAGGTCACCACAGCCTCTCCTCCCCCTGCCTCCTGCTGAGTCGGGTCACAGTTTCCATGACAGGGCCTGGCCAGCCATGGTGGCTCCCGCTGGCCCAGGGACAAAGGGGTCCTCTGGTTGTCCAGGGCACTGGATCGGTCCCCTCCATCCCCCTTGAGGGACCCCCCACGGCTGATGCGCTCCTCCTCGAACTTCTCCAGGGCCAGGCCCAGGGCCAGGCCCTCAATGGCCCTGGGTCGCCGATAAAGGCTGGGGTGGGCATTGAGCGGGTTGAGGGAGCTGAGCGGGTTGAGGGGGTTGAGCGGGTTCATGGTCGGCGCCTCCTCTCTGTTGAGGGCCTCCTGGCTGGACATCTGCATGTGCTTCCTCAGCTGGCTGGTACGCTGCTCCCACACGGACATGTGGTGCCGGCGCCTCCGCTCCCTCCTGCCAAGGGGAAAGGGCAGGGCCGCGGTCAGAGCCCAGAAGCTGCAGGCAGGGAGGGTGGCCACAGGGGCCATGTGAGAGGGCAGGACACATGGTGGGGGCAAATGGGAGTGCCCAGGACCTGCAGACAGGAAGCACAGAAAGATGCGAGGAGCAGGCGGGCCACACGTGAGGAGCTCATCAGGCAGGTGCCTCCCAGCCCAGGTACTTTCTGCTCCAATCCCTGCTTTGTAGTAGCTGAGGGCTGGGTAGGCATCAACCCTGGGAGGAGTTCCAAGTCCCCAGGGCCTGCTGGGGCAGCCATCCACAGGCTTACCACGTCTTCACTCCCCTGCTCTCCTTGCTTTCGGGGCATCTGCTTGTACACACTCAACGGCCCTTGATTCAAGGTCAAAGGTCTTTCCTCCTCCTCTCCCCCTCATCTCCCTTCCCTCTCAGGTTACAGCCCGGGATAATGAGGGCTGAAATGGTCAGATACCATTGAAGGGTAAGAAGAGTGCCAGGCAGACTTATTACAAAAAGTCTTGATATCACCCTCAAAAGTAAGAGTGCTAGGAGTCTCTTCCACAATAGCTAATAAAAGCCAGAGAAGGCTAAGTGCAGAGACCACCAGCAGCTCATACTCAAAACTGCGATCGAGCATTTCAGCCCAGGGGCCTAGAGGAGCATTCATGGGGCAGCGGGAAATCATGAACATGACAAGTGCAGGAGAGCACATGGGAGAGGGCTCGCTGGGCGGAGGGGAAGTTACCTCCTCCCTGAGCCTGTGCCTGTGGGCGCACACCTACAAACTGTGAAGGGGACACGCGCATGTACCCACACGCATCCTCGCTGAGGCCCACACATAGCTGTACACAACTACCTACGTGAGAGGTATACCCACCAACACTAACACAACATATACCCACTCACAGGCCAGACTGAAGAGCGAAAAACACACAGTTCACAAAGGTAGACACACGCTGATATAAGCAAATGTTGAGAGGTGCAGAGGGCATATCCACAGATCATGTGAACGGAACACACACACACACACCAAGCCACACACTGACATGCACACCCAGTGCCACTTTGTCTATGGCAAGGACAATGACACATTGTCCCACGCCCACACGTAACCACTCACAAACACGCAAACTGGTACACACATACAGGTGGCTGCTGCGTGGCTCCCACATCGACATGTGGTGTCTTCTCCTTCTGTCTCTTCTGGGGAAGAAAAATGGACAGGTTCAGTTCACCCCAACCTCTAGGAACCTCAAGCCCCACAGCCACCAGCAGATTTCCAGAGGGAGACAGGGAGTCCTCTGTGTGGCCATCAGGTCTCCATGTGCCTGCTTGCCTTCTGTAGACTCCCCACATTCGATTCTCCAATGGAGTGACTTTCGATTCCTTGCTATGTGCAAATACATGGATCTAGTTTTTGAAGCACACATGCAGAGGCACACAGGTTATGCCATTTCACATGATCCACAGCTCCAGATGCTCAAACACCATGCCTCACAGGCACGCAAACTTCCACCTACACATCCTTCAGATTCCTATTTTGGAAATCCTGTAGATGTTGCTGAGTAGTTTTCTTCCCCTCCCCCGAGTCATTTCTAGGGCTAGCATAGCACATTCATTGGGTGTGGCTCCCCAGCTCATGACTCCCATAGCAGAACCTGACCCAGCTTCACAAAACATGCAGCGGAGCAAGTGCTCTGCCATGCACGATGTCAAGGCTACGAAGTGGTCCATGGTCAGAGGCAGCACCATCTTTCCGTAGGCCACCATCCATGTACTCCAGGATGTGAGCAGTGACCTCTGCCTTTGAGCAACGCAGAGGCCCTGGCCATAGACCCTGTTCTATGTTCACCTGGGCAGAGCAGAGTATTGACCTTCTTAGCCTTGTACAGAGAAAACTCTCTTCCATATGCATGTTGTGTCCTTACAAACACAAGGTTAGAATGGCAACGTATGAACTGTTCCCGCAAAAACAGACAGGATGCCTGGTAAATAAGCTGTCAGCACAGGTTCAATGCTCAGCTAGAGGACAACACATCTGGGCTATCCTTGCAGTGAGCCTGCCCCAGTTACTGGCCTGATGAACTCAGTCCAGCCCAGTGGGCCCTGCTTGGACCTGGGATGTTGGCAAATGCTGATCCTTTCCTGATAAAGCTGATGCCCACCCACGGAGAACATGCTAGGCAAATTAATCCCCCTCAACTGCCATCTTTCACATGTCTGCAGAAGAGCCCCACACAAGGGTGGGACTGAGGGAGCAGAGGCAGTTGGTCTGAGGCCCACTCTGGGTGTCTGGAAGATGCACAGTGCACATGTGTGTGGCCACCCAGGAGCACCCACTGATGCAGACATCATTGTGGAGAAGCCTGTGAGCTCCTCAACTGAATACAACCCTCAGCATCAGTGACCTGCAATGCAACAAGGCACAGGTGGGGGCGGGAGAGCCAAGAAGCATGGGTAGATACAGAAGTAGAAGCGTACGCTTTAGACAGGCAGCATGCACATCTGCTAGGAAAAGCACATCACACCATCTATTTGCAAATTCTCAAATATTCAAATACCAGCTATCCAGAAGCATGTGTGTAAGAGTGTACGTACGTGGAAGGATTCTCTCACACACACAAGCATGAGCATTCTCTCTACTCACATATGCACAGATTCAAACTTACATTCATACCTAAAATCATACAGAGAAGCATCCACATGTCTCCAACTCATATGAATGAGACCTTGTGTACGCCTCACAATAGCCCTTGTGGGATAGGAAGGGCAGGTGGCATTCTTCTCATTTCAAAGATGAGGAAATAGAGGTTCTGAGATCGGAGTGGTTTTCTCTCTGAGGTCACAGGGTATATTAGTGAGACAAATATAACTAGCACTCAGGCACTTTGCTTTTTAACAGTGCTTCTTCTGTGTTTCTTCATGGATAGCCATGTTTGCACTTAAAGTGTAGTCGGAAATCAGCAGTTTCGCCTTAACACCCAAGCAGGGCATGAACACCTGAGCAAGGCATATACAACTGAGCAGAGCACACACACCTAAGCAATGTACGCACACTGGTGCAGGGCACACACACCTGTGCAGAGCACACACACCTTAGCAGGGCACATACACCTGAGCAGTGTACACACATCTGTGCAGGGCACACACAGCTGAGCAGGGCACACACACCCGAGCAAAATGCACACACACCTGAGCAGTGCACACACACCTGAGCAATGTTCACACATCTGTGCAGGGCACACACAGCTGAGCAGGGCACACACACCCGAGCAAAATGCACACACACCTGAGCAGTGTACACACACCTGAGCAGGGCACACACACCTGAGCAATGTTCACACATCTGTGCAGGGCACACACAGCTGAGCAGGGCACACACACCCGAGCAAAATGCACACACACCTGAGCAGTGTACACACACCTGAGCAGGGCACACACACCTGAGCAATGTTCACACATCTGTGCAGGGCACACACAGCTGAGCAGGGCACACACACCCGAGCAAAATGCACACACACCTGAGCAGTGTACACACACGTGAGCAGGGTACATACACCTGAGCGATGTTCACACATCTGTGCAGGGCACACATAGCTGAGCAGGGCACACACACCCGAGCAAAATGCACACACACCTGAGCATTGTACACATACCTGTGCAGAGCACACACACCTGTGTAGGGCACACACACCTGGGCAGAGGACACACACCTATGTAGGACACACACACCTAAGCAATGTAGACACACCTGTGCAGGGCACATACACCTGGGCAGAGTACGCACACGAGCAGGGTGCACACGTCTTTGCAGGGCACACACATCTGTGCAGGGTACATACCTGAGCAGAGTGTACACAGCTGAGCGGGGCACACACACCCGGAGGTGGCTCACACCAGCAACGCCAACCTCACAGCACATGTACAGCACCAAAGCCCGGGTCTCTGCTGGTCTTGGATGTTTGCAGCACGTCCTTCCACCTCACTGTGCCCTGATGCACACTCTGCTCAATTCCCACGGCCCTGCCTGTGCCTACCCACATTTCATTCATTCTTTCATTCCAGAAATAGTGAGTTTCTACTCTGGGCCAAGCGTTGTCCCAACTCACATCTCTCTAAACCCACTTCTCCCCCAGGCTTCCTCATCTCAGTAAATAGAACCACCCACTCCTAAGTGACAGCCAGTCCTACCCATCCACATTTTTGGATACCTGTGTGTATGTGTTTTTAACCCAAACTCATGAGTTCAGGGAAGGTGGAGTAGAAATTACTCAAGGCCCAGAGAATATTCCAGAGAGGAATATTCCCTATCAATCTTTGGCATTTCCCTATCAACCTTTAACGATTTGGAAGGGAATTTTTCTCTTTCACTCACAGAAGAGGGATCCAGGGGCCAGGCATTTGTTACGAAAGGCAAAGGCAACATGATGGCCGTGCAGGAGGGAGGTCCCCCGCTTCAACACACAACCCTGGCACACCCCACAAGGCAAGGAAGAGGCTGCCTGGGAGCCCTTCACTGGAACTCTAGCCAACCAAGGGCTCTTCCCTTACTAGCTTCAAGTAACAATGACAGGGTCATTGCCAGGATAGACTTCTACCCCCTTGGGGGTCTCGGACCCTCCCACAGATGCCCCAGCACCACTCACCACTCACACAGTCCTCATGCAGGCCCCGATGCAACAACAGGAGTTATGTGGTTCTATGGTCACTTCCCAGCCTCTTCTCCAACACCCCTCTGTGTCACCACGCAGAGACCAGGCCACGCAGGGCCCAGGCCGACTACCTGTAGCTCTACCACAGGTCCAGGCTAGATCCCTGAAGCAGTGGACTCACCACTCTCCTTTATCACATCCTGTTCTCTCCCTAGTCCACTTCAACTGGGTTCTGTTCCAACCTGGCCACGAAAATGGCTCTTGTAAGGTCACTAACAGCTTTCATTTTGCCATATGCAGTGGTCCCTTTTCTGTTCCTCATTGTATGTGATTTTTCTACAGTATGTAGCACCGGCACCCACTCCTCCTTCCTGCAGTTTTCCTTCACAGGTTTCCAGCACACTATACCTCCTGTTCTTTCTCTTGCCTCCCGGCTGCACTCCCTTGGTCTCCTTAGCTGATTTCTCCTCTTAAGCAGGAGGAGCGCTGTCAGCCTCTGTCCTCAGCAGCTGGGTCTCTGGGTCATCTGACCCATACTAATGACTTAAATGCCATCTAAATGCGAACAACCTTCCCCAATCATTGTTTTAATTCTGACTTTTCTGAGCTCCAGATGCAGGTAACCAATAGCCAGTTCAATACTTGGATGCCTTAGAAGTATCTCAAAATGAACTTTAGATTTCCAACAGTTTCCAGGGATACAGTAACTACCACCACTCCCCAACCCGTTGCTTAGTCCACAAAACCTTAAAACCTGGGATCGATTTTTGTTTCTTCCCTTTTATTCATCCTCACCCCTGCCACATTTAATCCATGAGCTCATCCTATTGGCTCTCTCTCCAAACTACCGACTGAATGGGATTACTCATCTCCTTGACTTCCCCCACCCTAGTCTAAACCCCCATTACCTCTCACCTACTTTACTCTGAGAGCAGACTCTTTCCCTGCCTCCACTCTGGCCCCTACAGTCCATTATGCTCCATAGAACAGAGTGACCTTTTTAAAAGTGTAAATCATATCCTATTCATCCTTCCACTTGAAGTCCTCTTGTGATTTCAGCTAGAATAAAAGCTAAACTCTTCCACCTGGACTTTAAGGACCTCCGAGTTGGCCCCTGCCCCCTCCCTGGCCCTTTCTCTATTTCCCCTCATTAATTACACACCAGTCACACTGAACCTTGCTGGGGAACACTCTTCCTTCAAAATGTCACATGACTGTCATCTACACACTTAGGTCTTGGCTTAAACAGCTCCCCTTCAGAGAATCCCTTCTGGCTTGACATAAGCTGCTCCCACCCAGCTCCTGTACTTCTCCACCATAGGACCCTGTTTCATTTACTTATAGCACCTGTCACTATCTGAAATGATGTGCATGTTTATTATCTATCTCACTCACTGAAATAACACTTCCATGAAAACAGACTCTGTCTGGCTCACTGCTGTATTCTCAGGAACAGTTCCCAGCATGTAGTAGGTACACTCCTATAACCAATAGTTCTGTGAGTTGATGAATTGGCTGTTAGCACAGGAGCTCAGGGATCAGTGAAGGGGGCAGCTGACTCACTCGATCGAAGGCATGTTGGGTGCAGACATCGGGCTGACCTCCTTGGCCTTCTGCAGTGCATGTTTCTGGTTGAAGGCCTCTTCTTCCTCCTGTTCATCCTAGACACAAAGCAGAGATGGCTTTGCCTGGGATCCCCAGGAAGGAGAGTAGCTTCCCTTGGCTGCTCTCCTAAGGAGGAGTTCTGAATACCAAGTGAAGTGAGGAAGACACAGGAAGAGGATAAACAAGACAGCGAGATGTTAGGTTGGCTCAGAGACTTCTGATGGCCAGAGGCCAGGCCCCTTGGGAGTCAGTAGTCTCACAGCTATAGCGTGGCCAGCAATCCCTGTCTCCATCCTGGAGCCATCCACAGGTTGCTCATGAGAACCAGGAGAAGTCTACCCCAACCCCTAGCCCTCAGTGGAGCTGGCTATGGCTGTGGAGGTCAGTGGCAGGAGCTGACACTTCCCAGATGTCCTACAGTGTCTGGAAGTGATGGAGCAGGGGCCTTCCAGGCAAGGACCCCGCCAAGTAAAGTGCTGAGGCTGAGTGCCCCATTGTAGTGTCTTCTTTGCACAGCTAAGTGGGTGCTTAGGCCAAGATCTCATCCCTTCAGCAGCATTCCTGCAAGTGTCCCCTCTATGTGATGAACCCAAGGAAAACCAGCTCAGGTAAAATGACTAGAGCTAATAAGAGCACATACATCTTCAGAGCATGCTATGGTTTTCACAGACGTTATTTTACTTGATCCTCACAGTAATCCTGTAAGGTACACAATGCAGATATGGCATTCCTGTCTCATGCATGAAGAAACCAATGCTAATAGAGATCAGGAGTCCAAGCAAAGCCAACACAGCCAATGGCAGGTGTGGGACTCAGACCCAGTTTCTCAGCTACTAAAGCTGATATTTTTCCTACCATATATGCAGATAAGAAGACCCTCAAGGATGTAGAAAGATCATCAGAGAATGCATGGAAGAAGCTCAGAAATGTCAGCAGGATGCTATGCACCTCTGCCCAAAACCAAATTGGCACCCTCTGTGAAGAGAAGGGTTTTTACTCATCTCTGTAGACCATCCCACTGCTGTTAATATTACCTCCCCACACTGGGGAAATTAATCAGAGAAAAGAAGGGAACAGTTCTGTGAGAAATTTAGTATCTGGCTTCATTGAAATTTCCCCAAAATGACCTTTGCCTACTGGAATATCCCAACAGCCATAGCCCAGGAACTGTGATGGCCCTGATCTCTCTCCCACCAAAACCCAAAAGGGTTAAGTCATGTGATTCAGGTCACACAGCCGCAGGTTGCAGTAGCAGAGGTGGAACTTAAAACCAGGGCTTTAGAATTTTCTTGACTCTCCATGATGATCCTGGAAAGGACTCCTTTGAGGGCTCATAGAAATTAAGATGTTATTTTCTGTGTTCCTTGAGGCCCCCTGGGCTAGGTTGAGGCTCACCAAACTCAATAAAAGTGAACCAGCCTTCCGTCATGGGTGTGTGGCTCTCCAACTGTCCAGAAGTTTCCAGAAAGGGCCTTCCTGGCAGGCCTGAGTCAGACAATGTAGACTTTGGGAGAGAGTTCCAAAGGCCAAAGGGTACCCAATGGCACTAGAGAAACATCAGATCCCCAGAAAACAATGCTTACCTTGGTCAGTTCCTGGGCGTTGGCGAGATTATCCACAGCGATAGCCAAGAACACATTCAGTAGCGTGTCTGGGGTGATGAATTAAGGATGGGCAAATAAGAAAAGCAAAAGTCTTCAGCAAGGCTGAGAGGCCACCTGATAATCTTTCCTGCCTGGGACATTAACAGGAACAGAAGCTACCCTGAAGAGTCACTTAAGCAGGGGCTGTGAGAACAGAGAGGGAGATGTTGTACAACTCTGTTGAAAGGAGAAAGAGGATATTTCTTCCCTCCTTCTGCATATCATCTCTTTACCCAGGATAAAGAAATACTTGAATCAAACCATCTGGGGGCCAGATGGGGTGAGGAAAATTACGATACTGTGAAAAATTATTATTTGGTCTTTAACTGTGTTTCCTGGCATACAACTCTTTAAATCCTTAGAAACTCCAAAGTGTTATCTGGTAGCCCCTAGGTAGCTTCTGGATGGGGGCTGGTCACCAAACCAAGGCATGATTAGAGAGTTGGAACTTTCAGCCCTACCCCCACAACCCCTGGGGAGGGGTGAGGGGCTGAAGGTTAAGTTGATCACCAATGACCAATGGCTTAATCAATCATGCCTATGTAATGAAGACTCCATAACAATCCAAAAGGACAGGGTTCGGAGAGCTTCTGGATAGCTGAACATGTGGAGGTTCCTGGAGACTGGCACTCCCGGAGAGGATATGAATGTTCTGTGCCCATCCCCATGCCTTTCCCTCTGCCCCTCTTCAACTGCATCCTTTGTAATATCCTTTATAATAAACCAGTAAATGTGTTTTCCTGAGTTCTGTGAGCCATTCTAGCAAATTAACCAAACCCAGGAAGGGGGTTGTGGGAACCCCGAATTATAGCCTTCAAAACACAGGTAAAGTAACCTGAGGCATGCAATCGTCATCGTAAGGCAGGGGCAGTCTTGGGGATTGAGCCATCGACCTGTGGGATCTGATGCTATCTCCAGGTAGATAGCGTCAGAATTGAATTAGAGGACACCAATTAGTATCCACTGCCGGATTGCTTGCTTGTTGGTGAGTAAAAAAACCCACGCATTTGGTTACAGAAGTCTTCTGCATTAATTGTTGATGAGTAAGGGAACAGAAAAAGCACTTTGAGTTTGTTCAGCCACATTCAAAAGGTCTTTAGACAGCTGTGGCCTCTACCCATAGCAATAACAACTAAGAGAATCACTGAACGAGATGTGTAGGGAGCTCAGTATGGGAGCTCATCTCCCCATTCTGGGAGGCTGGAATTGAATCCTACCTAGACCAATGGGCGTCACACCATTCTGTCCTTAACGACAAAAAGAATGAGATTCCAGAGCCCCTGTTACTGAGCATCTCCCAATAATGAGATGCTAACTTCTCCCATTCTTCTTGTGAGGGTCCTGAAGGGTTCCACATTTCATTTAACAAAATGTGACACAGCAGACATGATTCACTATGAAATCTATTCCTATGCCATACTCTAGTGCCTGAAGTCTCAATTTCCAACTCTCTTCAAAGCCTATGTGTTGTGGAACATAGAACTGTTCTAGCATCAAAGCCCAGCTCTGACTACCCCCAGAATATCAGGAAAATGATGGTGCCATTGGGACACATGGAGCTTCCATGTCTGTGACTTACTGCCTAGTGTTCTTTTCATGAGTTTCTCATATTGAGCTTCTAGTCTGTCCCAACCTCTAGATGTTTTCAGGGTAGAAAACGTAAAACAGCATGTCTTCTCTATGAAACTATGGAAAATGCAAAAATACACCTGCGTCCCATGGTTCTGCCTTTCTGTTCTACTAATCCCAATTCACGGCCAACCCAACTCCCCAAAAGCATCTAACAGTTGTATAGAAGTTTGTAATTATAAATCACATGCAAATAAATTATCTCATTTAGTATTCACCACGAACAAAGGAGATAAATATTATTATTCTCCTTTCAGTTGTAAAAAATAGAAGCTTGGAGTCATTAAGTAACTTTCCCAAGGCCACACAGCTGATACACAGAGTTGCTGGGATTAAAACCTAAATTTCCTGTTCTAGATCTTGTGATTGGATAGGGCACTGGAGTTAGATGGAACTGGACTTTAGTTTCCCTTTACAATTTAGTAGTTATTTTACTCGAGATATTTTTTTCTCTGTCTTGTAAGGATTAGATGAAATAGTGCCTATGAAGCACTTAGTTTAAGGTCTCACGTATAGCCCAAATACAATACATATTTGCTATAATTAGCAGTAATAGCATTAATCCTAACACTAATTTTTTGGGATCTTACTATGTGGCAGGCTCTGTTCTACATTAGCATGTAATTAATTCATTAGTGGTATAATGTGCCTCTTTCAGCCTACAGTGATCTCTGCTTTGTCTAATGTTCCCCAGCTCATAGTACCTCCAACCATTCAATGTAACAGCCTCCTATGTTATTCTTTGCATACACTACAGATTTGGATAATACTCTATCTTGTTTACGTTTGTATTCTTTACCCAACTAGTACATAAAGTCCTTCAGATCAGGATCCTTATTTACTTTAGTACACCAAACAATGTCCACGCCCCTGTCCCACCAACCCAAGCTCTAGCACCACCACCACCAATGCCTCCTCAAATGCTGGTCCAGGAAGGCAGGCAGCTTGAGGAGGTGCATCTTAAAAAGGATACAGTTGCCAAACAAGGTGAGCACAATGAAGTAGATGGCAGACCACATGCCTGAGCTGACCCCACCCTGGGAGCGGATCCCATTGTACATCACCTCATTCCAGTCCTCACCCGTCAGGATCTACAAAAAGCAAATGACAGGCGCATCAGAAACCTGGGCTGGAGGAGAAAATGGGGCCAATGCCAAGGGCAAATTCTGGGCCTGGGTCTTTTGCATCTACCCCCTTGCTTGACAATCTTGCCAGGGAGTTAAAAAAAAAAAAAGTCATTTCCATAAATAATCCTAAACTTTTTTTTCGTATGGAAAAGAATTTTAGGCATTGAAAATGGAAGGAGAGCATCAAAGGGAAAGATTCTGTTCCTCCAACTACAGAGTGTCTCCCACCTCCAGTTTTGCAAGGTCCTTGTGGAAATGACACAGATCAGGTGGTCTGGTCATTACCTAACTGTCCTCAGAGCTGCCCAGATACAGGGTCTGGAACAGCAGCATGATTGGAAAGAGCCTTGTGGGCTGCAGTTCAGGAAACGGGTTGTGGTCCAACCTCAGATTCTGGCCAAACAGTATTTTTCTTTAGGCCTAAGACACTATTGATTTTGAGTTTTCCCCATGATTTAAACGGTTGAGTTTTGGGGGGAGTAGGGATGGAAAAGAGACCTTGTTAAATAAACACCATTTAATGGATACCTCATTAAATGGGTTAGAAGATGCCCCTAGATTTCAGAAAACCATAGATGTGATTCTTGGCTGAATGCCTCAGACTCAGTGTCTCCTGCAAACTCACAGGTGTGAGAGAAGGACAGTGAGATGGTCCCAACAGAGCTCTCTTACTATTGGTAAGAACAAAGCCACAGAAGTTCTAGGGATTATTGTAGTAATGACCGCTCAACTAGAAAGAGTGCCTCAATCCCCTGGGAGGAGCCTGGAAAGGAAAAGCAGAATTATCCTGAAACTCATCCTTGTCTTGCAGTGTGCAGTCCAAGGGACCCCATGCAGCACTTGTGAACCGTCAGCTGGCCTCATACCTGGAACACAGTCATGATGGCTGCAGGGAAGGTATCAAAATTTGCCGAAGGAGTCCCATCATTAAAGTTAAACCTGAAAAACAAAATTAGAGAAAATAATGAAATGAAAATCTCACATACCAAGTTTTCCATTCCCCAAGATCACAGCTTTCATCACTTCTTTTCTCCTTTCTTCTACAACCCCCCTCTTCCCTACTTTTTCCCCATTCCACATAACTTACAAAGACTGTAACAGTGACTACTACTGATAAACTATGCACTTTGAAGAATGTGCCCACGCTGCACATTTCAGGGACAGCACCAAAGAGATGGGTCCCCGGAATGAGAACCCTGTACAGCATGAAAGGAATAAAAGCAGAGACGTTTACTCCACATATGAACTCACTCAGTGGTTAATTCAGGCCATGGGCAAAGGCAGACAGGATAGTAACATGGTGATTGAGTTAATGACCCTAGCCCAACACAGGCTACGACTGGGTTTTGAGCCTCCTTTGGATGGAAAGCTTCTGGGCACTTACCTGCCTCCAAATAACTGCATTCCTAGGAGAGCAAAGACAACGATGAAGAGGAAGAGGAGGAAAAGCAAACTGATGATAGACTTCATTGAGCTCATCAAGGAGACCACCAAATTCCGTAGGGAAGCCCAATACCTACAAAACCCAGACAATGTGACAGCTGTGAACACTGCATACCAAGTCACCCACCAAGCCCAGCTCAGCATATGCCTGGTAGTCTATGAAATAAGCTGCATTTGTATATTTGTAGGAAGTAAAGAGGGCAGAAACCTATTGCTCCCCTTGGGAATGTGGCACCATAGATATTTTTGGTTTAATCTTTGGAGAAAAAGGAAGAGCTAAAGAATAGAAAAGGGGTGGGGCAGGGAAGGGATACTTTCCCCCTAAGGGGGAAAGAGAAGATGGAAGAAAATATAAGGCAGAAAAAAGGTTCTACTCTCAAAGACATTGGGAAAAGTCCAAATTCTGATCACTTACTTGGTTATTTTAAATATTCTTAGAAGCCGGAGGGCTCGCAAGACACTGATTCCAAAAGACGTACCAGGTCTGAAGATTGCCCAGACCACTTCAAAGATACTGCCCACTGTGACCTAGAGAGGCAATGCCAGCCACAGTGAGAGGAGGAGGAAGAGGAGAAGAGGGGGCATTCTAGCGCCCAGCACACCATCAACAGCTCTCAGTGGGGGATGGGGAAATAAAAACTCTCCTCTCCCACCAGCCCTACCTTCAGTAGAACTACCTATGTGGGAAGCTGCCACCTCTCTCCCATTGCTCTCCAATCCCCTTCCTAACTTTAATCCTTCACACTGTAGATTGGCTTACTGACTCCTGTCCTTGGTGAAAACTACAACAGCCAGTTGCTGCTTCTGCTGCTCTGACAAAGGAGTGGTACTCAAACCAAGGAAACTGATTAGTACAAGTTGCTTCTCAATACAGAAATCTCAGAGAAGGTCTACATTCTCTCATCATCCTAAAATTTAGTGCTAACAAGAATGTTTTGGTCCTTGATATAATAAATATCTTTCAGTCATGGAGGTCTTGCATCCCGCAATGTGACAGTTCATGGTGATGTAGGATCTGATTGCTGCAAGATGCAGCAATTTCAGATGAACATTTCTATTTCTTTTATTTTAATTATATATTTATTGAATGTCCACTATGTTCTAGATATTGTGCTAGGAGAAACAACAACTATTAATCCTGACAGCAATGCCGAAAGGTACGGACACAAAGAAACTGAGGTTAAAGTGATCTCTCACTAGCTGTTATGCCTGAAAATTGCCCGTACTCAGAACCATATGTTCCAAGTTAAAATGTAGATTAGCAAGTGTTCAAAATCTTTAGCACCTAACTGAAGCTTTGGCAGAAAAAGTAGTGGGATTGACAGAAAGAGAAGTGGTTCAGGAGCCCAAAGTTCTGCGACCCAGTTCTGCTGCTAACTGGGTATATGAACTTGGGCACGGTAGCTTCTATTTATTCTTGTGTAAATGGGAAGGCTAACTCCTGAAATGTAATGTAGTTCATAGGACTCCTGTAAGCGGCAGGGGACAAAAATAAAAGATACGTGAAAGCACCTTGAAGTGTTAGCACAATGTATACATTTAGATATCCATGCTATGTAGAAAGTAAACAGCTGACTGAGATATTCTCTGTGAGGACTTGCTAATATAAGGGTGTGTGTGTGTGTGTGTGTGTGTGTGTGTGTGTGTGTGTGTGTGTGTGTGTGTGTTTGAATGAGGGTCTATCTAGATAATTATCCCAATTTTAAACTGAAGTAGAAAAACAAATATATAAGCTTCTCTTTCCTATGGAACCACCTCTAAAATCAAGTCCTTTGTCCTTTTCAGGCTTCCCCCAAGATAATAAGTGGTTCAAAACTCTGGCTATGGGTAGCTTTGTAAACTCTCACGGAGCTATACACTTAAGTGTACCCTCTATAATGTATGTGTTACATTTTAATAAAAATATTGAAAATCAAAGAGCTCAGAAAAACAAACAAACCCTGCATGGGAAGGATTCACTCGCTTCTGAATTCCCTTTAGCTAATCTTATCTATTCCGCTTTTACATATTCTGATTTCAGTGCCTCATGCTGAGTAAGGAGCAAGCTGCTTATCTAAAACCAGGGCATATCAACACGAAGCAGGAGCAGAGGCAGGCTTCCGAGGACTTACCCCAAAATCAAAGCAGTTGAATGAAGAGTGAAAATAAAGGCGAGGCCCCATGCCATACATCTTCAGGGACATCTCCAAGAGGAAGAGTCCCAGAAACAGAAATTCTGCATAGTCTGGAAGTATTAAAAGTAGAGCATTGGTTCCACATGTGGGGTGGGCTCATGCACTTCTCAGCTAACACACCCACCTACAGAGGATCTCACAACAACACACGTCAGGACATTCGGTGGCCACATCAGGCCAGGGCTGGACAGAGCCTAATGATGTCCGAGTACCCTCTGACCCAGGCCGAGTCCCAGGTGCACTCAAGAGATCAGCATTGCTCTCTTTCAATAGGTAGGCCTGTCACTGGTCTTTATATGGTAGAGGGCCCTCAGGGGGAAAGAGAGGACTTACTATGGCTTTGATCAAAGAGCTGGATTCCTCCCTACATGCCTGGCAGGGACAGGCCCCTGACCCTCACTCACACCCAGTGGCAGTCTAATCTGGAGCTGACCTATAAGCTCTTCTTCTGGTCTATTTGAGGTCTCCATTGCCCTGAGAACTTCCTGCCCAGGATTTCAATGATCAAAACTCCTGATCATTGAGCCTCCTTAAGAAAGGAAGTGAAGGCTTTATGGTACCCAAAGGTATAACGTTATGCTATCTTGTTGATTCATCAACAATGATCTGTTTACCTAAAGAATGAAAGCTGGAAACAGTCATGAGATACTCCAGCCCCCTTGAGGACGATGTGGCCTCCCTCACAGCGTGAAGAGGTAGAACCTTTCCTAGCAGGGTGCTTTGCTGTCTTGCGTTCACACACACATCAAGCTGCCCCACATGGGGACCAGCAGAGGAGGCTTTAGAGAGAGGCTTTACTTACAGAGGAGGTGGGTGAGCCACTGGGGCTGGTTGTGATGGACAATGGCCACACAGGCAGTGTTGAGTGCCACAAGGCTCAGCACAATCCAGTAAAACACCTGGGATTTAACCATGTGGCGAATGGAGATGCGCAGAAGCCTTTCCTTGTGCCGGAAATAAGAGACCCCGTCTACCTTTGCACTTTTGATACTGGCTCGGGCCAGAGGTGTGCCTAAGAGGGAGAAGTAAGGAAGAATGAGACTGCAAAATATCCTGTGGTCCGGGCCAGGGAGCATTCGAAGGGCAAGATGGGCTGCTCTAGTCCCAGGGCAAGGTGACTGCCACATTGCAGGTGTGGGGAATCCCCATCTTACGGGCTCAGTAGTTTCTATAGGCAGTGACCCTGTTTTTCCTCTCTGGGCACTCTCAGTCCTAAGAAATGGAAAGATTCCCCAGACAGGACACCAGTGTCTTGAATCTTAATAGGATCGTGTTTATGTTTTTAACAGATTGGGCTTCTTTCTGCCCTTTCCTTTTAAAATAGCTTCAAGCACTGGAATTCTTCTGCTACACTGGTGATATTTCTACCACTGGTGGCACAAAACAGCAATGAGCTTTGTAAGTCTCTTCTGCTTTTGAGGATGGAACAAGACCTTTCCCTTTTTCTGGGGAGGAAAAACCTGCCATCAGCCAGAATCTCTAGGAGCACCTGAGATGGAACACATAATGTTAAATAATTGCCAATCAGAATTAGTTTAAATTTCACATGATGGAAGTAGGTGGGGGCTACTGTTGTTAAGCAAATGGCTTCAAGATCTCACATCCGTGTCCCTGGAAGCAACAGGTCCTCAGGATCCTTTGAACAATGTCCCATAGTGGGTTCTCATCATCACTCCCAGGAGAGGGTGGATACTTCTGCAAATGGAATACATCTGCCACACCTGAAAAACTTGGGTTGGATTCTTAGCCCTAAATCCCATGTTTCGTGTGAATAAATAGCATCCCCAGGTCCTTTTTTTTTTTTTTTTAAATAAATCATTGTAATCTAGATTCGATTTCCACCCTTTTCCTTAATTACATTCCTAAATTCTGGACCCTTTGGATTCTTTCCCTCCTTGTGGTGCTTCTCAAAAGACAGGATCTTCCTTTTCGTGGGAGATTCAGAGCAGTAAAAGATCTAACTGGATCCACTCACCCACAGAGGAGATATCAACACAGTGCTCATCACTGGAGTCTCGAGTCATGGCCTCTGTCCGGCTCCTCTTGATGGTTGCCCTTCGAAGCACTGCATCAGGGAAAGGGAAGACCAGTGAGAGGCCACAAGTACACCCAGACCATTCTGGACAAAATTTTGAGGAATGCAGGCAAGATGCCTTGTGTGAGGCCCCTGTAACACAGGCATCTATCTGCCTTTAATACCTGAGCCAGGGTAACAGAAATCACGGATGTCTACCGGACCGCAAATGCTGTGCTCACCAGCACCTTCCTGCAACACAAGAGCTCTGGAAGCCATGCTAGAGCCTATCTAAATGCAGGAGGTAAACAGGCACTCCGTATCCATCTGTCCTGGCTCTTCATCTACAATGCCACTTCCTGGTAATGAAAGTGGTCTCAAGGTGATCCCCACACATTTTAAGAGAAGGTCCCTTTAGATAGCATTGGTTGTAGGATGGCCTTTTCCTTGCTCAGTATCAATCACATGCCCTGGAACAAAGCAACTCTTGGGTTTCATTTTCATCACTTTAAAAGGCATTTAAATCTGTGACTCAATTCCCTTCATTTTAAAGCATGAGGGATTTTATGACAGAAAGACTCTCATTTCCAATCCCAGAACACCATCTTTCATTTCTTTCTCTCCTTTTGAATAACAGAGATTGCCATCGCCTAAGAGGGGCAAATGCAACTGGAATAAGGCATCAGAACATTTCCTTACCTTCTAAGGCGGATGTTCCAGCATTTTTATTTTCTTCAGCGAGCATGACTTCCTCTATATGGAAACAAATGGTTTGGTAAATTATCTGTAAATGCCAAATTATTCTGCAAGATTAAAATCCCTCAGGGACAACTTCAGCTCAGGGCAACAGAGAGAGAGCAGAGTTCAGAGCCTGTCACAGGCACCAGCATCAGAAAGAAAGCAAGTGTCACAGAGGGTGCACAGAGAGCTCCTGAGAACAGAAAGGAAGCCTCGGGGAGGGGGTGTTTGGGGTAACAATCGGCTCTGTGTCTGATACTCCTGTTCAG
Source organism: Homo sapiens (assembly GCF_000001405.40). Lineage (NCBI taxonomy): Eukaryota > Metazoa > Chordata > Mammalia > Primates > Hominidae > Homo > Homo sapiens. Next base: position 181,715,083 of record NC_000001.11, on the reverse strand, counting down.
GAGGATACCTGTGAGAAGAGAGGAAGAAGCTAAAATCCTTGATAGGAATGAAAAATTTCCATTTCTGTTTTTAATTCCACCCAGCTTCCTGTCTTTCCTAACTCCTTGAACTTCTAGCAGCAACAGCTTCCTTAGCTTCTCTTGCCAGTGGCCATGGGTTATAACATCTACACCCTCATTCAGGAGCTGAGCCCATGTTTTGGGCTTTATTCTATGTCTCTGAGGAGGAGTCAGAGGAAGATGCCCAAAGGTCCTTGGAGACAGGAGGGGGGCTTGTGGGTTTCCTCCTGTCCCCATGGCTTCCATCCTTTGTTGGTTGACCAGAGCCTGAGCCAAAGAGGCTTGGGCCAATCATGAATTTGTCCCTAAGATAAAATTTAAAAAGTATTTGGTTTTTGTCTCTGGTTCCTGGCAGTCTTTCATATGCTAATGAAATGACTCATGGAGGAGAGAGGGGCCCTGGATAGGTTAGAGGAGGTAGCTTGTAGCCAGAACAAACAGCCACAGGACTGGAGGCTAGAACTTTCAGCCTCCCCCTACTCCCACTTCTAGGGAGGAGGGGCACTAGAGATTAGTTTAATTGCCAATGGCCGATGGTTTAATCGAGCATGCCTATGTAATGATGGGCATGCTAAATGTTGGGGTTCAGCATGTTGGGGTTCAGGAGGCATCTGGGTTGGTAAACACATCAGTGAGCTGGGAGGGTGGTGTTCCCAGAGAGGACATGAAGCTCTGTGCTCCCCACCACCATACCCTGCCCTATATACCTCTTCCATTGGGCTGTTCCTGAGTTGTATCCTTTATAATACAGTATGGTTTTGCCAAAGTTCTGTGAGTCATTCTAACAAATTACTGAACCAGTGGGGAGTGGGGTGATGGTTGTGGGAACCCCAGATTTGTAGTCAGCCAGGCAGATATGTTGGTTGCCTGGAGATCCCACTTTTGGCTGCCATCTAAAGTGGGGGCAGTCCTGTGGAACCGAGCCTTTAACCTGTGGGGTCTATGCTAATTTGAGGTAGTATTTCGTGTTAGAATTTAACTGATTGTTGAACACCTAGTTGGTGTTAGAGAACTGAAGGACTGGTTGATGATGAAATAATATATTTGCTTGTTGGAGTTCTAAAATGACACCAGACAGTCCCCTGTACTCTTCCCACTTGGTGTCCCCAGGAGCAGTCCCATACTCTACTGAGGTGTCATCATCTGAAGGGGAATATTTTCTACTAAGACTTTTAGACCAAACCTCACTAGCATCCCTCCAAGTGCATCAACAAAATAGCCCTTCTCTCCCAAGTCTGGTGGGATCCTGCATGCCCTATGAGGAGTAACGGGATGAGTTTGAGCTCAACCCATAGGCCAGGGAGCCAGAGGCCTCGTTAAACATTCCCTAAGATCCCAGCTGCTGGGGGAAAGCTAGCTTCAGACCCTACTAAACAATGGTTTAATTTAAACACTTTTAACAAGTAAAAGGACAGTAGGAGAGGTTAAAGTCATTACCGTAATTCCAGCTACAGATAAAACTGAGAGTACATAATGTATTTCCTAGGGAGGGGAACATTTTAAGGCTGGGATGGTACTCACCGGATGGCCATTATTACAAAGTCATAAATGTTTGCTTTCTTTTTTAAGTATAGCCTCTGGCAAAACGCTAAATTAACAGGTTAAGTGTTATTGGTGGGGCACTCCTTCCTGCAGACATAAAGGGTTTTTAAGTCATTTTATAGCACGTGTTTGGAGGGCATCATTTAAAAATTAGGAACTTGTTAAAATACCTCATAGCAACTTTAATTATCTTAGCCAGACAGTCAAGTCACTTTTGCTGTGCACAGTGTCTGGGCTTTGGGGTGAGCAGATCTGGGGACCCCCCAGGACAGATGGAAGGTGTGTGGTGCTGCCGAGATCTCTGGGAAGCACTCAAGGGCTCTGGATTTGCTGAAGCCATCCCCCTTCCTCCTCACCCCATGCCTTTTGCCAAGTTCGCTTTAGAACTTGAGTGTCTTTCCAGGGAAATGTAACCCATCTGTCTCTGATTCACTGGCGCTCCATTTGTAAAGGGAAGGGCCAGGAAGCACACTTTGACGTCGCAGTGCGTCTTTTTTCTTAGAAGGAGGAGAGAGCTGGCTTTGCCAACTGGAAGAAAGGGAAGCCTTGGAATTCTGCAAGTATTTGAAAAGCAGAGCCCCAGCGAGCAGCATACCCTGCCACCTGACCTGTGTGGGGTGGCCAAGGCTGGGCGGGCTCCTTCCTGGGTCTGCTGCCAGCTCTCTTAGTGGTCTGTCAGATGGCTCCTCCGCCGAGAAAGCCAAGGACAGCTGGGACCATCAAGCTGCCTTCCTGGCCTAGAGGCAAATCTGCTTGACCTCCCATGGTAAGCCTGAGTTACCATTCTGGGAAGCGGTAGGGGATATTTGTGTCCACTTCATCCCTACACAACAGCCTTGGAGGAGAAAGGGCGAAATGCAAGTATAGTCAACACACATTGCTCATGTTTCCAGAGGCTACAAGGGAGTGCAGATCGCAATCATACAGGTACCCTCTCAACCCTTGGAGGTCACCAAAAGTTGACTGCAGAGCTTAGAGAGGGTTTTTGTGTGTTGGCAGTCACAGTAAGTGTTATAGTGTCATTCCAAAGCTCCTACAGAAGAATAAGGCTCAAGCAACTAAGCACTAAATCATACTCCAAATTTTTCCTCTGTGACCTCACTTTTGTGCTATGTTTTCTATTAGGAATAGAGAAAAGATACTGTCATACGTGTAGTTTTTATTTAAGAAATCACTTGTTCCTCTGGAAGAAAATGAAGATATATAATACTAATGCAAACCAACCTTTAAAATAATAAAGAAAGCAAACCCGTCCCTTTTATTGACAAATATGGGGGTGATTGATGCCCTTCATAAGCATCTGAGCCACAGCCAAACTTGAATCTGGTGGCTCTGTGGGTTAATGAAATCATGATAGGTTTGGACCTATTCTCACAGGCAGCTGAGAACTATTCCTAATGTTGAGTCACAGGGTAAGAACTGATGACAGCTCAAGGCTTAGGAAAACACCTGTTCTCACCATTATCTCCTCCCTAGATGGCGGCACTACTAGTCCCTCTGCTTCCAGCCTTATCCTTCTATGGTCTATTCTCAATGCGGCCAGCACGTCAGTCCTCTGCTCAAAACCCTCCCATGGTTCTTGTGTCACTCAGAGTGAAGCCCATAGCCCTTACAAGGCCCCATAAGGTCAAACACGATTGCTGCCCACTTCCCCCATGACAGCTGTCACTCTGTCTCCTGTTCCTCCTCCCTATTCCTTCCCCCTTCTGCTCCTTGGGCACCCCAGCTCACTCCCATGTTAGGTACTTGGCGCTGAAATACTCCTCTCCCAGAACTTCTTCTGGCTCACTCCTTCATTTCTTCAAGTCTACACACCAATGGGCCCACCCTGACCTCCTATTTAAAACTGTGGCACATTCTATATCCCATACCCCTAACTTGATCAGTTTTCCCATCATATTTACCACCTTATCATTGTCTTATAAGTTACTCATTTATTATTTTGTTTATCGCTGCCTTAGCCAACTAGAGAGCTTTACAAGAGAAGAGCTTTGGTGAGCTGGTTGACTGTTTGGCTCACTGCCATATCCCAAGTGCTTAGAACAGGGTCTGGCACAAAGTAGGCACTCAATAAATATTTGCTGAATGAATGGACTGCTGTGAGCACCAGGAACGGTATTACAAAACGCCATCAGCCCAGTCTCAGCTCCAGGATTGGGTTATGTTACTTTTACTCAGTTCACCTTGCTAAGATGCCTGCCTTAAGGTGTTGGGACAGTTTGATAGACAGGACAGTTAGACCCCAGAGGAAGAAAGTCGGATGAGCAGGGAACCTTAAGAGCCAACCAAGCATCCAGAGTGTCTCTCTTGTCTTGTCTAGGCTGCCCCTTGAATGGGAGCATTGGGAGTGAGGGGCCGGCCCTGATGTCTCTGCAGCCCACTCACCAGCCTCCTGCAGCCCCCCAGGCCTACCTGCTTTGTCTATCCAGGCACGGTAGCCATTCAGCTCACGCTCAATCTGCTGCTGGCGCCGCAGCTTCATGAAAGCCCTTCGGTTCTCCACTCTCTCTCTCTCTTTGGCAAATTCCCTGTGGACAAGAAGGATAAGATTCACTGGGTTTGGACAGGGCCATGACTAAGGGAAAGAGTGAATCAAGCAACAGAGAGAGAGCATCTGAGCAAGTACCTCTATTAAGCCCATGTACCCTTTCCCCTGACCCAGGCTGCAAATATGACCTCCTTACAATGTTACACAGAAACACACCTCATTCAGCCTCACAAAGGAAGCCTTCCCAGACTAGCTGCATTCCAGTCAGGACCAACTGATTGCTTGCTCTGTTTTGAAAGGTATGTTCTTAGCCATGTGAGAAACTAGGTTTCAAAATGCCATGTTCCACCTCTTCAGCTACAACAAAAACCCTTAACCCTCTGAAGGGCACAGCTACTCTTTCTCCTTTTGATAACAATAGTGATTAACGTATATTGACCAATTATGATGTGTTGGCCCTGTATCAAGGTTTTTACACCCATTAACTCATTTCATCCTCACGACCATCCTATGAAGTATTAATACTATTAAAATTCCCATTTAACAGATGGGGAAGCCAAGGTTTCTTGAGGTGAAATGCCTTGCTGGGATTTGAACCCTAACCACAATGCTGTGTTGCCTCTGCTGTCCTGTACTCTAGTGCTCAATAAAAGCTGCCACTGAAGATCAATGAGCCTGATGACTTCAAAGGCTAAAATGCTATTCGAAGGTGACTGATGTCAGTTAAATAAGAAAGGAAGGGACGTGAGAAGGACACCTGACTCCCATAAAGCCAGTGGGAAGGTGGTGGGGGTGGGGTGGAGGGGAGATCATGAGGCAGAGGGAACACTCAGGTGAAGGTCAGGGTCAGGAAGAAGATAGAGCCCAAGATGGGCTCAGGGGGCCAATGCCACTCCGTGTGACAACAGGAATGAGAAGGCTACAGCTCCATGGGAGAAAGAGAAGAGAAGAGGACTAAGGGCTCCCTGATAGAGAAGAGGAGGATCAAATTTATTGGGTGAAAGAATGGGGATAAATAAATCACAGTTTGCTAACAGGTTCCTCCAGAAGCCACCTCTAGCAATGCCTCTCTCATCACCAAACACCCTTCCAGGCTAGGATGCCCTTACCAGTGCAGTGCCTCCCAGCCATGGCTCAGGTGTTCTCCTACTACCTGGGAAGCTGTTCTACTTATTAAATGTGATCCCCATAAAGAGCTGCAGGCCAGGCACAGTGGCTCATGCCTGTAATCCCAGCACTTTGGGAAGCTGAGGTGGAAGGACTGTTTGAGCCCAGGAATTCGAGGTTACAGTGAGCTGTGATCATGCCACTGCACTCCAGCCTGGGCAACAGAGCAAGACGTTTAAAAAAAAATAGAGCTGCAGACTGAATCTGAGGGAGTCCAGCACCCACTGTAAGTCCTGCCAGTTTCTCTGTCATGTCTAGGAAAGAAGAAATGAATGAGGGGCTGGGGGATGGGCCCCAGCTACAGTGCAGGGAAAGGGAAGACGCCAGTCTACCATAATGCCAACAGACACCTGTTCGTGTCACACCTGGCCCTCCTGCCAAAATAGAGCTGGTGTCCTTGGGTACAGCCACCTGCTTACAATCAGGCAGAAGGTGTAGGGAAAGGCACACCGGAAGGACAAATTCTCCTGTGCTTGGCTTCAGGTTCATTGGGTTCTACTAAAGGTGCTATGGGGGAAGGGAAGGAAAGAGTCAAAATGAAGAGTGACCAGGGCCAGTGAGGGCCAGGATAACTGAATTCAAGCCCTGGGATGCCTCCTTTCTACTTTCTGAATTTCAGAAATTTGAAAGTAACAAGGGGCTGGCTTGGTTCATGACATCACCATCCACCAAAATTCTTACCTTTGGATTTTTGCTTCTTTCAATCCCTCCTGTCCAGTTAGTACCATTGTCCTGTTGGTTCTACCTTCATAAAAGCACTTGAATTCACCCTGCCTCTCCATCCTCACTATCTTGATCCATGATCTCATCCTTCCCTGCCTGGACCACTGCAATAGCACCCGGCTGGTCTCTCAACCTCCTGTCTCTTTCTCCTCCTTTCACCCATCTCACACTATCAACGTTATCTTTTTAAAAGGTCATTCACTGGATCTTACCACTTCCAAACCTCCAGTACTAACCATGGCAAGTAACATGTGTAGAGCACATCTTAATTTACCAAGCACCTTCATATATTTTGCTCATTTAATCTTTACAACCATTCTGAGAAGAAGGTAGAATAGGTATTTTCATCCTTAACTTAAAAGTTATGCAACTTGATGGAGTTTAAGTAAGAAACAGAGCCAAGATTAGAACCCAGGCCTTTCTCTTGTAAGAGCCCAAGTCCTTCATGCACCACATATTTGCCTAGCCAAATGGCATTTTTATATGTTACTTTACCTTTTCATAGGTCTGTGTCTTGATTTCTCAACCCTGGGGGAATCCAGGGAGGTTTAATAAGAAGGTGATATTTTGAGCAAGACCTTGAAAGAGGAGAATTGAAGCAGGCTACGACCGGAGGAACATGATCATCCTTGAGCATCTAGGATAAGCATTATGACCAACATATCCATTTTCCAGCTCAGAAAACTGAATCTAAAGTGACTTAAGTGGCCCTTTGAGAGGGCAAGTGTCCAAGGACACATAGCCCCTCAGAGGAACCACAACTCTCAGATCTTCTAAATTTCATCTCTTTCTACTCTATTAGCCCCTCTTCTATGGCTTCCATCACCCTCTGCTCAATGAAGAGGATGAAGCCTTCAAGCGTGACGTTCAAAGTCTTACACAGTTGTAGCCAAACCTTTCTCTTCAAGCCTTATCTCCTCCTGCCATCCCTATCCACCCCCTGCCTGCCTACAGCCCACCACAGCCACACTTCAACTACAGCACATTTCCCACACTTACTGAAAAGGCAGGATGGGCGTTCAAGGCTAGTGCACAATGCTTATCTGCCTGAGTCAAAATCCTTCTTCAAGGCCAGGCTGAAATGTTGCCTCTTCTCTTTGGGTCCCACCATCACTGCACCCCAACCTTCTGGCCTCCAGTCTACCTCTTCCCCATCCCTTTAGAGCTCATCTTGCAGTCAGACCTTTACTATGGTCAGCTGTATGTCTCTCCTTCTATGTGAGCTTTTTGCAAAAACATTCTGTGCCTTACTCAACTTTCTATCTTCCTAGACTAGAATAGGCCTACCACATAGTATATGTTCAGTAGATTTTTTTTAATGACAAATATCCAGGCTAACTAGGAGAAGTCATAGTTCTTCCCTGACTCCCAGAGGCTTAAAAGGAGGAGTACTCCATCTCTGCACTGACTCAAAGGGAGCAGGTGAACTAGGAGCAACTCCTGCACACTGCCACCAGTTTCTCTTCATTTGACTCCACTATAATCAGTGTAAATTAGACTATGAAGAATGGGGTATGTCATCTTTATAAGGCCCCCAGAATGACGATGTAGCTTGATTTCTGGTAGGATAGGCCAACAAACCCCCGTCTAACCTCCCTTTATCTAACCTCTTCCGGTTCCAGGTTAAGCGCTGTTTCCACATGCCTCCTTGTGTTTGGAAGTTTCCTGGATCCAGGTCTCACTCGCTGGGTTCCCTGCTCTTCTTCGCCATTGTAGGCTCCCTTTCCTCCCACCCTCCCACCTGGCATCCTAGCTGGAACTCACAGTCCCAGAGCCCAACCAATTTGGCCAAGCCTCTTGGCTAAAAGAAGTAAAGCAACGAATGTGCACCACTGGGAGTACCTCCTAAGCAGCTCCAGCACCTTAATGGAGGATGTGGGGGACCTTCTTTATGATGCTTTATCAAGCAGCCTTTTCTGTTTTGTTCTTTCATTGGGAACCTGGGTAGCAAGTCCAGCACCTGTGTCTTTCCTAACTCTTACAGCCCCTCTGCCCTCGCTGCTGTAATTGTTAGTACCCATGGCCTGTCTCCCTGACTAGTCTGCAGGCTTCATGAGGTCAAGTAAAGCCTTCATGAGGTCAAGTATCACATTCCAACAAGGGTCAGCGAAGCTTAACCCAGTGTCTGGTATGATAGATTCCATAGATTATAGAAATAAAATATCAAGAACAGCTAATGTTCATGTAACACATTTAAACTTGTTAAATTTACAAATCATTTTCATGTAAATTATTTCATTTATAGTTTCAAAAGCCCTGCGAGATTCAAAAAGATTACTTGCCCAAGATAATCCAATTAGCAAGAGGCAGAGACAAAATTCAAACTAATGTCTTCTTCCAGGTTATGTGCTGTTTCCACAATGCCTTAGCTGTCTTCCCTGCTATCTAGAAGTCAACATTTAAAATCTACAAGAGGGATTTCATTTCAGCCCAAGGTTGAGGAAAATAAGGATATTAAAACAGATGGGTTTTGTTTTTCTTTAAGGGACTATCCTTTTCATTGAGACAGTAGCATAAAAATCCATTGCTCTGTGTTGGGTTATTAAAGACCTAGAATAAAATTCATAGCGTTAGTCAAGCTAGTGATATACTGCTTGATTTTGTGTCCATTTATTCATACACATATTGCATTCTGGAGAGAACAGGAGCAAATAAGATTCAGCTTCATAAACCTTAGATTTAACATGCCCATCAGGCTCATGGGTATATATGTGGCCAGACCTGCGAAACAAAGCATACTCCTTTAACTGGTCCCTCTCTCCTCTGAGGATCTGAGTACCCTGTCCTCTTCACAGAGGATCCTGGGGTGATTCGGATGATGATGCATATTACGGTTATTTAGTTTACCAGATGACTGCTGAATTCCCCCACTGAAAGGCAGCTCATAGCAGGGCACTATGAATATCTTAATTTATCCAGTTCCCTTGGAGCAAGGCATAGAAAATGTAAAAGGGGGAATCTGGCCTATAGAAGAAGAGTGTTCATATTCCCTAAGGCCCCTTGGCAACAGCCTGTGGCCTAAGGTAAGAGGATAGGTAATTGGCTCCTTTTCATTTGTTCTATCCAGGGTTTCTACACCGAGAGATGCAACAGAAATCAAGAAGGGATGCATCTAGATTTCAGAATTCCAAACAAGGGGAACAAAAACAAATCCCCATGTGATGCAGCAGAAACACCACCATTCTATTTTCAGAGCTGGGGATCTAGGTATCCTCTGCTGCTTACAAACTGGACAGTCACCTTGCTGTCTCAATTTCTTCATCAGTAAGAGTTGACATTAGGACCCACATAAACCCTAGGCTCATAACCAGAGGCAGGGATAGATCTGGTTGACTCTGAGAGTCCTGACTAGATTCCCATAAGAGATTGTACAGTGACACAAATCCAAGTCGTGTTTCATTCCCGATACTTCTCCTTACCCAATTCTGTCATCCTTAATTTTAGGTTGCTCCTCCAGCCCCAAACCTGGCTCCTCTGAGGGAGGATAACCTGTAGGTCCCCTCACATACGGCTCTTGCATACAGGGAAGTAAGGTGAATTGGAGTTAAGCATGGATGAGCCTCTACTCTAGATGCTACATATGTATGCAAGGTTTGGGTTTCTAAATTTCAGTCATGGAAACTAAGAACAAGGTGGATCTCTTTGCCCTGCATGGTTGAGCACAGTTTTCTTTTATCCTGGTTACTACATTTGTATTTGTGACTGCTTTTTTTCTGCAGCAGTTTACATGAGAAATATAAATTGTAAAACTCAACTATTCATACACAGCTAATTCTATATAATTAATCATTAAGATGAAGTGGAAGAATTACATAATCTCATACAAGGTAGAATGCCCAAAACATTTATCATGTGTGCCTGGAGGGATGAGGGGAGAGAAGACAGAGACTTCTTTGAAATCATTTTAGGTTATTATTAAAATTAGCATTTTATGAATGTATGAACCTATAAGGAGCCACTGCTACAGACAAATCACAAAGTGGCTAATTTCTGCCTTAATGAAGTAACTGGTTTTAGCCCATAGGCTGATACTAGGAGGGTCTTCGGTCATTCACATTTCTAGACTTGATTATGCTGTTGCTAACTCTTGGGGATTAGAAGTGAGGTTGATGAAAGCCTAGCTCCAGCCTGAAATGTCTGCCCATGTTATGTGACCCCAGAGTCAGTCACAGGGCACCTGGACTGGTATCTCGATGCTTGTCTAGCGATGAAGATGTTCTGGTAGGTCGGCTGGGGTAAGAAAGCCTCGGTTGGAGGACTGCTTGACTCATGTTTTAGCCTCTCGCTCCAGACCTCTCCTCCCGGCTCCATGCAGGGAGCTTTGTTTACTGATGCACAGCCCCTCGCTGCTGTCATGACAACCAAAAGGAAGACAAAGTGCCAGGATGGGCTGGCCTGTGTGACTCAAAGATCTGTTTATCCACACTACTGTACACACTTGCATGCTTCATCACACACATTGGCATGGAAACACACACTCATCCTGGCACAAGCAGCATACGTACACACACTCTGCCAAGCACACAAATGGCCACATGGTCATATTCCTATTAATCTTCAGAGTCCATGTTTCAGAGAGCTTTGCTACCCATAGGGAAACCTTGCCAAGGTTCCTGTAAAGTCTTTGCTTTAGGAAGGAGGAATTTGGGTTAGACATCAAGAAAAACCTCTTCAACCCTAAATGTTCTGAAACTAACAGAGAAATTGGAAGCAAGATTGGCAATTCTGTGTTGGCAGTGGTTTCATTTCAGTGCCATTGGAAAATGGGTTGGGGTTAGGGTGAGCCTCTTCAATGTTTCTATATTTTCAGTGTTCTTACGAGCCTGGGGAACCATTTCTCCCATTTTTCAGAGAAGCAAACACAGCCCCAGAGAAGGTAAACACCTTCCTGAAGGTCATAGAGTTCAGCAGTATTAAAGTTGTTTATGCTTTATCCCTTGACTTGTTCCAGAAAGGATTTAAGGAGACTTAGGTTGTCAATAAAGGCCAAAACAGAAGCTAGCCCTCTAAATCCTATCCATTATTGACTCTAATAAGCAGGATGGGTGATGCAAATGCTCGACGACATCATATGGGGTCATTCTTCCTTAGAATCTGGAGCTTTCAGAAGGCTCCTCCTATGAGCAGAAATCCTTCCCTAAAGTGGTTAAGGCAAATAAATGGCATTACATGAAGTGCTATATCCCACTCCTACTCCACCACCTTATGTCCACGGCAATGGAAGACAGACCAGGAGTCTCACAGACCAGGATATCAGGCGAGGGGAACCTGACAGATCACCTGTCCAAGACCGGCTTTCCATAAGCAGGGAAACTAAGGCATAGAGAGAGGTCAGATGACTTGCCATTTCCAAGGATTAGGGCGGTGGCGGCAGACCTAGAGCATCACGTTCCAAAGCCAGTGCTATTCCACAGCTTCATGACATTTCAGTTATGAGAACTCAAAGAAGATTATTCTTTTAGGAGCTCAGGGAATGACTGGTCTTTTTTCTTTCTCTTCTCAATATTGAGATCTCATTTATTTGTTTGAGTAGACACAGGGGAAGAAAAGCATGACAATTAATGTAAGGGAGATAATGAAGGAACTGGAATATGTTTCCTGTTTCGGTTTTTAACCTTGAAGTTGGTGGAATCCAGAATGTTAAAGTATAATGATTAAAAGCTCTGAAGTTGTACAGACCTGGGTTTGAATCCTAGCTCCATCGTGGTGTGATCTGGGGCAAGTTCTTAAACTAAATCTTAGTTTCCTCATTCATAAAATTAGGAATAATGATCATACCTATCTCAAAAGGTTGTTGTGAGGATTAAATGATAGAATGTGCAAGGTATAGTAGGTGCTCCAAGTAGCTGTTATATTACTGACTTTTCTGAGAATGTATCATAATACAGATAACCTATTATCAAGGCCTTTATTTTATATATTCATTCCACCTCCAAAATACAATTTATTGAGTGCCTACTACATGGTAGGTACTGTTTTAGAATATGAGGATATAGCAGCAAGTATAATTGGGCATGCTGGTATGCACCTGTAATCTCAGATACTTGAGAGGCAGAGGAAGGAGGATGGCTTGAGGTCAAGAGTTCAAGACCAGCCTGGGCCAGAGAATAAGACCCCCTTCTCAAAAAAAGAAGCAAATCTTTGTCCTCAACAGAGCTTACATTATACTGCAGGAGAAAAACAATAAACAAGATAAATAAGCATAATAAACAGAATGTTATAAACTGATAATTCCTCAGGGAAAAATAAAGCAGAGAAGTATAGTAAGTATTGGGTGTCGGGGAGCTGGAATATTTGGTTGAGTGGCCAGGGAGGGCCTCACTGAGGTGGCTTGAGGAATGACATGAGAGATGTGAGGAAGTGAGCCATGCAGACATCCGGGGAGGAGGATTCCAGGCAGAGGTGATGACCAGGGCAAAGCTGTGGGGCAGAAGCATCTTGCAGGAGCTTTTGAAGAACAGAAAAGAGCCAATGTGACTAGAGTGGACTGAATACATGGAAAAAAGGTCAGAGTGGTAGCAGGCAGTGGGGAAGTGGAGGGCCATCATGTAGGGCCATAGATACCCTATAAAGATTTGAGTTTTACTTGGTGTCATTGGGAAACGATTGGTCAGTTGCAGCAGAGGAGTCCCACAACTTAAGTTTGCAAAGAATGTCTCTGGTTGTCCTGTTGAAAAGAGACTGAAGGGGATTAAGGGTGGAAGCAGGGAGATCTTCCAGGTTGTATCCAGATGATGGTGGCCTTGGCGAGAGTGGTAAAGTATAGCTCATGAGAAACAGTGGGGCTCTGGATAGACTGTGAAGACACAGCTAGGAGGACTTGCTGGCTGGTGGACGAGGAGTGTAAGAGAGACATGCATCCAAGATGACCCCAAAGTTTTAAGCTACAGCAACCAGAAGAATGGAGTTAAACAAACCAGGATGGAAAAGATAATGGAGCAGGTTTGGGAAGAGGGAGGATCAGGAATTCAGCTGTGTATATAAGTCAGCTGGATATCCTGACATGTTTATATTAAAGATCATTAAGCTCAATAGCACCAAATTCTCTGTCATCCACACAATATGTGCCAGCTGCTTCAAGGATTGTCTGCTGTGAATGAAACAGAACCATCCTAGATGCTCTTTCTCTGCCACCCTCCTTCCCCTCTGCTGGCACATGCTAGAAAGATGTTAACTGATAATTCAGTAAAACATCATCAATAAATTGTTGTTGATATTGCTGCAAATAAAGTTTAAAACAAAACCAAAAAACCCACAAATATTCTTGGATGCTACACTATTTCATTATAACTGCTTCATGAATCCCTCCCATAAGTGGGATGATCACAGAATAGCATGTACTATGAATATTGAAAAGTTATGAGTTCTCACATGGTGGTCCTTAAAACCTTTTAAGAAAAGGGCTAGGGGACCACACTTTCATCTCTGTTTCGCAGTTTGGAAAAATAAAGGCTTTCAAGAGTGTTGAAAGACAAAGAGTTACACAGCAGAATTCAGACCTACTCTGTTTAATTCTCCGCCAGTCTGCGCCACCTCATTGTAGCACACAGATACTATCAAGGCATGAACTCAGAGGTGTACATGCTGCTTTCTCTCTGTCTCTGCATATAACAGTGTATGTTTCAGTCACAATATTTCAGTGGGTTCAAAGCCCCGTGGTGCAGGAAGAATGAGCCACAGGGAAGTAAGAGCATTTCATATTCTTCTTTCTCCTCCATCTACACCCCCCACAGCACTCTAATTACAGTCTGAAAGAAGCATCCTAACAGAACAAATGGCTGTGTTCTTCTCAGAGACACATTTCGCACTCCTCTGAGAAGGCACAGCAACCAGCTCCCTCCCCAAAAGCTTTGGAGGTGTCTGAGGAGAGGTGCAGCTGTGTTCAAGGAAGAAATTGAGAGTTTATTACCAGGTTGAAGCTTTGTACACTTCACCCTGTGTGGGCATCTTTCCCCTTTGTAAAAAGTTTTGCATTTCCCACATTCCTTTGTTAAACATCCCCAGATAATTTAAACATCAAAGATTCCTCTCAGGAAGGCAAAATGTCATGGTTCATCACCAAAAGGTTCTTCCTTATGAAAACAAGTCCTTTTATATGCTTTGGGACGGTCAAGTGGAACCAAGGAGAAGGCCCAAAGCTCACAGAAATGGGATGGTGGAGATGGGAAAGAAGAGCCAAAATATGAGGGAAAATGGAGCAGGGGGAGCTCCTGAGGAGAGACTCGAAGTGAGCGGAAGGAAGTTTAGAGGCTCGGCGTGGGCTAACGCACCAAACGTGACTCAATACACAGAAGGACTAGCCTGGCCTTTCCACTCGCTGTCCTTTCCAGGGATGCAATTAAAATGGGATGGGATGTATAGGAGTTTTGATTCACACAGTCATTAATTCACATCTTCAGGGTATCTTAGAAAGTCTCTCAGACTTAGTTCTATTTTTCAGGCAGGAAAATCCAGGCTTAGAACAGCAACTTGACTTACCCATATCACACAGTCTGTACTAGAAGCAGCTGTACCTCAACTATTTCCATTTCTTGGAATTGTCTCATTTCTCGTTGGTGACCCTATGATGCTGTAAGCTCTGCAAGGGCAGAAACTGTGTAGATTGCTCTTGTTCATGGTTATGCCTGAAGTCCCAGCACAGACAGGCTGTCTGGCAACTGTTTACATCATGAATAAGTGCACCACACACTACGGGCAGCCACCAGACAAGAAGCAGTTCAGATTTGGGAACAACAGGAGAGAATGGAGTGGAGGGGGCACACACCCTGTGCCTTGACCTAAAACAACTGAGGTTAGCTCAATTCCAGGTCAGTCCTGAAGCTGTGTGGGTCCAGGGTCTGTGGACTCAACAGGGGTTTGGGGCTCAGTGGATCTTTAGACTTCAGCTTATCCTTCCAGGAGAGGCCTCTTCTCTTGGGCTTCCATGACACCCACTCTTTTGTTTGATTCTTCTCAATCTCCTTCACTCCTCCTCTAGACATTGGAGTGCCCCAGGGCCCAGGCATAGGTCCTCTCTTCTAAAACATTCTCCCTCCAGGTGACGTTGCACAGGCCCATGGAGACT
Organism: Homo sapiens; assembly: GCF_000001405.40. Lineage (NCBI taxonomy): Eukaryota > Metazoa > Chordata > Mammalia > Primates > Hominidae > Homo > Homo sapiens. The sequence continues at coordinate 181,700,039 of NC_000001.11, read as the reverse complement.
TCCAACATCATCTCTATGCTGAAAGCTACCGAATTTTTGTCTCCAGCCCAAATTCACCACTGAGCTTGAAACCCAGTTATGTAACTGTCAACTTGACATCAGCTACTTGGATGTCAAATAGGCATCTCGGATGTAACATGGCCAAGTGATTTCTCCCCAAACTTCTCCTCCTCTAGTCTCTCCCACCTCAGTAAACAAAACCACCCAAGTTAGGGGTCATTTTCCCTTCTTCCTTTCTCATCCCAACCTCAGCCCAATCCATAAGCAATTCCTGGCAGTCTTACCCCTTTTCTCCAAACCCACTGCTGTCACCCTAGTCCAGGCTACTGCTGTCTCCTGCCTGGATGCTTCTTGCCTTCAGTTGGCTGCAAGAGCGCAGTAGCCTCCCTTACTGACTTCACATTTCCATCTTTGTCCCAATCCCCCTATTTCCTTCATAGCAGGAAAACAGGGTGACTTGTGAATTCAAAATACATCATGCTATCCTTCTGTTTAAGACTTTCTGCTGGCTTCTCATTGTTAAAATACAAACCCTTTATTGTGGCCTATGAGACCCTCCATAGATCTGCTCTGTCTCTCTTCCCGACCACTGGCGTGGGATGGGAGAACTTTCCTGATCACAAAATTAAAATTAATGGCCCCATTACCTGCTGCACTCTACCACATTAACCTGTTTATTTCATTAATAACATCTGTCCCTAAAAGCTACCTTGTTCAGCTATTTGGTTTTTTGTCTTTGCTCAAGAATATAAGCTACACAATAAAAGGATCTCTTCTGCCATGTTCACCATCATATCCTCAGAACAATGCCTGGTGCCTAGAAGGAATTCAAGCAATATTTGTTGCATGAATGGATAAAGGCATCAGAACGTTCAGAAGTACATATTCTTTCTTCTGGAGGTTACCTCTATGAGTCACAACCACTGCAGATCATATCTACTGGTAATGTAGTCAATCTAAGAATTCTCTACCAGGACCTTCTGAAAACAAGCTGTACACCTATTCTTTGACACTCTATATGAACTTTCAAGACTATTCCAAAGCTGTAAAGCAACATCATGGCAGGAAATTCTTCACTATATTCAGCTTAAATATTTTCTGCTGCAATTGAGACTTTGTCCCTCTGTAGTCTCAGTATCATTTAAGTTGACCGTTATCATCCCTTACTTAGAAGTCTTTCTTAAATTGAGGATATTTAATAAATCACCAACTTCTTTAAGCCTGTCTTACAGTTAACCTAAGTTCTTCATTAAAATGCAATTAATTGTTACCTTATTGAAAATATCCTTATCTATTAGAGATAAATGAAACAAAAGCTGGTGACATACAAGCAAAGACATTTTCTTACTAGATGGCTGGCCTGTCATGGACTCCAGTGCCTAGGGCTGTGGTAGGCTATGCACTTTTCCATGAGGATTCGTACAATACATATACAATGACAGTGACAAAATGCCATGAAAGACGATTAAACCTGTGGTATTGTAAAAATAAAAACTGTATTGGGACTCATTACACCTATCTTTGAATCAGACCACAGGCAAGTTATTGAAGCTTTCTGAAGTTCAATTTCCTAATAAATGGCATTGATAAAAACTGCAACTTCACTGAGCTGCTGCATCAGCAAGCCCATGTGAACCAAGGCACCAGTCATGGCGCCTAGTATGGTAGATCTTCAACAGATAAGAGTGGACTCTGAAATTCCTAAGGAGCTGCTCTCTTAAAGTACAAAGTACTGTCAGTTGACAACTCTTATTACTTTGTGACCTTGAAATATTAACTCAAATCAGACATTTGCATCAAGGATAATACAAATCAACACTGGAAGGGAAGGAATACTGGTGAGGTTTAGAGAGGAGGAGAGTGCATCTTTTGATAAAGTCTATGTTACTGAATACGTGTAGACTGTTAGACAACTTCTGAACTCTAGCTGTTCACCTCATAGATTCTAAATAACTCTACCACCTTCAGGAGAAGACATTTTTACATAGGACCTTTTATGTGAAGATTTCCTTCAAAGCAGACTCTCCAGAGTTTGGAGCCATCAGAGACATGCACGAGGGTGGAAGCTTCCAGCTTGGACCATAACCCCCACCCCAGCATAGACTTCTAAATACTCCTAAGTCCCTTGCCTTAGCAAAGTCCACCCTTATGTATTTATAGGCAACAGTAGATCTGCTCTTCACAGAGCAGTGTATGAAGTATCGGTCAAAGTGTGAACCATGGACCAATGCCTATCTGCAAACTATTTCCAGTCCATAAGATAAATTCAGAAATTAAAAGCACTAGTAACTTCTACAATAATTTTACAGATATTTGATGTCTACCAAATGTAAGAATAAAAATTGATGGCTGTATTTTATATCTGTTTATATTTTTCATTTCAGTTTTCAGGTAATTCTTTTTATAAACAAATGCATTTTACAAAAGTATAAACACACAGTAGACTGGTAATGTTTAGAAGCAATTCTTCGACACGGATAGTTTGAAAAGCACTGTCTGGAGCAAAACCATTTTTTGCAGCTGGAAGATGTGGTATTGATATCATCATACTAATGACCACTTATTTTGTGTTTATGATGTACCAGATGCTCTGCTGAAGTTTGTAAGCACTATCTGCTTTGATTTTCACAAAACTACAAAATACCTGATACTAGCTCACTTTTTAAATGAAGCCAAAGGATGTTTAAGAATCTGTTCAAGATCATACATCTAAGTACTGACAGAACAAGGTTCTTCTGACCACAGATAGGTCTAGAGAGGCAAATAGAAGCCAGGGGACCTGTGCCACCTGAGGCCCTTAGGATTACATCAGCAACATTTCACCACAGCTTTTCAGTGTATTTTCCTCTTCTTTCTTCCTGTGTGTTTCCTCCCCTGCTTTTGTTATTCTTTTTCATCCTATTTTTCCCCTTCTGTATTCTCTTCTGCCTCTTGTCTCTGAGGATGTACTCAGATGAAAGGATAGGACCCGAGGTCAGAAAAGCCCCTGAACTCCACTACAGAGTATCTCTTCCTCATCCTGCTCTATGGAGTGGAGAAATGAGGCTATAAAGAAGGCATTAAATTCACATTCTTATTATGTGCAGGAAGCAGGAAATTCACATTACCCTTATATTATCAAACAGTAATTACTAGAAATGGATTCCTATGAAAAACACTAGTTGTCACTAGCATAAATAAAATAGTCAAATTCTTTTGCAAGTAATCACGCTCTACCAATAAACACTGATCTTTTTTTAGATATCTTATATCCAAACATTACAATGAACCCAAGTTAAAATATTACTCCATTCTTATCTGAAAATACATCTTATCTGCAAACATTATCTGTGCATACACGTGTCTACATCTGCAGTCATGAAAATGTACATGCATACACATGTGCATACATACACCTGGTCACAGCTCCACTTACAGGAAGGCTGATGCCTAAAAAGATACACCAGGCCAACATTTTTTCCCCACAGGTTTAATCTACTCCTTTGCAATAACGACTCCTCCCTGGGAAACTAGTAAGTATAGGCTTTACTTCTGAAGGGGTAACTATAGAGAATTTGGTTATATAATTCTGTTTGTGTGAAATAAGGTAATCACATGATACTATAGTATATTTCTACCTAATGCTGCTCAGAAAAATGTTATATTTTGCAGAGAATCTGAAAAGTCAAAGAACTGACTTCTACTCTGGCAGAATAAAACACCAGTGTTCTGAAATAACTTTTACACAAAACACCCAAGTGCTAGATTGACAAGCATGATAATTAATGCATTCCTAAGCTTACAAAAAAGTGATGGAAATCTCCAAGGTCAAAAAAAAAAAAAGATATATGTTACGTAAATATTGTCTCCTAGTCTGTGTCTTGTTTATATTCATTTTCTTAATGGCATCTTTTGATAAACAGAAATTGTTTATTTTGACAAAGCCCAACTTATTAATTGTTTTGATTTCATTGTTTATGCTTTTTATATTGTATTCTGTCCAAGAAACATTTGTCTCGCCTGAATTCGCAAAGATATTCTCAAATTAATTTTAATCTACACAGAGAGAGGAAGGTCTAGATTCTTATTTATTAATTTATTTATTAGAGACAGGGTCTAGCTCTGATGCCCAAGCTGGAGTGCAGTGGCGCAATCTCAACTCACTGCAACCTCCGCCTCCTGGATTCAAGCAATTGTCATGTCTCAGCCTCCCGAGTAGCTGGGACTACAGGCAGACACCACCACACCTGGGTTATTTTTGTATTTTTTGTAGAGATGGGGTTTCGCCATGTTGGCTGGTCTCGAACTCCTGACCTCAAGTGATTCGCCCACCTCAGCCTCCCAAAGTGGGATTACAGGCATGAGCCACCACACCCAGCTGTAGATTCACTTTTTTTATATGAATATACAGTGGATATAGCAAAATTTATTAAAAGACTTTCCTTTCCCCCTCTAAATTGAACTTGCATCTTTGCCACAAATCAACCACCAATATACATGAGGGGCTCTCTAATCTGTTCCAGTGGTCTATTTGTCTGTTGACAGCAATACCATATTGTCTTGATTACAGTAGCTTTACAGTGGATCTTAAAATCAAGTAGTGTAATAAGTCCTACAATTTTGTTCTCTTTTTAGAATTGTTCTGGGTTCTCTAAAGCCTTTGCCTTTCCATATCAAGTTTTGAATCATCTGTCTAGTTCTTCAAATTAACCTGCTAGAATTTTGATGGGGATTTTATTTAATCTCCATATTGATTTAGAGATAATGGATATCTTAATAATATTAAGTTTTTCAATCCATAAAGATACCATGTCTCTCCATTTTTCAAAAGACTAATTTACTTCAGCAATGTTCTGTAGTTTTCAGTAGAAAGGTCTTGACATCTTTTGTCAGATTTATTTCTAGATATTTGATTTTTTTGTTATTCCTTAAATATTTAACATCCATTTTTAGTTAATTTAAATTTAAATTTAACTTGGTCATTGCAAGCATATATAACCCAATTAATTTTTGTATGTTGACCTTGTATCCTGTGACCTGGCTGAATTCACTTAATTAGCTCTTGTAGTTTAGAGTCTACTGTTAGATTTTCAAAATACATAATCATGTTATCTGTGAAAAAATTGGTTTTTATTTTTTCCTTTCCAATTTATGTACCCTTTATTTTCTTTCCTTTCCTTATTAATATGGCTCAGATTTACATAACAACATTAAAGACAAGTGGTAAAAGTGAAAGTCCTTGCCCATTTCCAGATTACAGGGAAGAGGGATTAATATTTCATTAAGTATGATGCTGGCTGTAGGTTTTTTATAGATGCCTGTCCCAAGCTATTTTGTGCCACTATAACAGAATACTTGAGACTGGGTAATTTACAATAAACCAAAATTAACATGGCTCATTGTTCTGGTGGCTGAGAAGTCCAAGATCAACGGGTTGTATCTTGCAAGGGCCTTCTTGCTGCATCATCTCATGGCAGAAGGGTGTAATGGCAAAGCCTATGCAACAGAGCATGGGAAAGTGGGATGAATTCATCCTTTTATCAAGAACCCACTCCCACAATAATGGCATTAATCCATTCACGAGGGCAGAGCTGTCATGACCTAATCACCTCTTAAGGGTCCCACCTCTCAACTCTGTTGCACTGGGGATTATAACACATAAACTTTGGAAAACACATTCAAACAATAGCAATGCCATTTCATCAGACTGAGAAAGTTCTTTTCTATTATTAATTTACTGCAAGTCTTTATTATAAAGGACTAGTAAGTTTTAAGTTATTTTTGCACATATTAAGGTGCTGTATGCTTTCTCCCTCTTTTACTGCTAATGTAGTACATTAACTTGACTGATTTTCAAATGCTAAATCAACATTGCATTCACGAATTAAACATCACGTGGTAATGACATATTATCCTTTATATTTTGCCAGATTTAATAATATTTTCAAGGAAATTTGCATTTACATTCACAATGGACATTGTTATTTTCTCATTACATATTTGTCAGGTTTAAGTAATGGGGTTATGCTGATCACATCAAATGAGTTGAGAAGTGTTTTTCCCCTTGCCTCATATCCTAAAGGGGTTTGTGAAGGATCAGCATTATTTCTTCCTTAACGTTTGGTAGAATTGACTGGTAAAACAATGTGGCCTACAGTTTTCTTTGTGGGAAGTTTTAGAATATGAATTAAATTCCTTTAACAGATCTGTGTTTATTTAGATTTTAAATTTCTTCTCTTAGTTTTGGTAATTTTCTTTATTTCAACTTTTATTTTAGATTCAGAGGGTACATGTGCAGATTTGTTACATGAGTATATTGTGTGATGCTGAAGTGTGGGATATGAATGATCCTCTTGCCCAGGTAGTGACTATAGTGCCCAACAGTTTTTCAACCCTCTACCACCTCCAGTAGTACCCAGTGTCTATTGTTGCCATCTTTATGTCCATGAGTGCCCAATTATTTAGCTCCCACTTATAAGTGAGAACATTTGATATTTGGTTTTCTGTTCCTGCATTAATTCACTTAAGTTAATGGCCTCCAGCTGCATTCATGTTGCTCCAAAGGAGATGATGTCATTCCTTTTTATGGATATATAGTATTCCATGGTGTATATGTACCACATTTTCTTTATCCAATCCACCATTGATGGGCATCTAGATTGACTCCATGTCTTTGCTGTTGTAAATAGTGCTGCAATGAACATATAAGTGCATGTGTCATTTGGGTAGAACAATTTATTTTCTTTGGAATTATATACCCAGTAATGGGATTGCTGGGTCGAATGCTAGTTTTGTTTTAAATTCTTTGAGAAATCTCCAAACTGCTTTCCACAGGGGCTGAACTAATTTACATTACCACCAACAGAGTATAAGCATTCCCTTCTCTCTGCAGCCTTGCTAGCATCTGTTGTTTTTTTTTTTTTTTTTTTTTTGCTTTAGATAGCCATTCTGACTGGTGTGAGATGGTATCTCATTGCGGTTTTGATTCGTATTTCTCCAATAATTAGCAATGTTGAGCATTTTTTTCACATTTGTTGGTTGCTTGTGTATCTTTTAAAAAGTGCTTTTCATGTCCTTTGCCCATTTTTTAATGGGGTTGTTTGTTTTTTGCTTGTTGAATTGTTTATGTTCCTAGAGATTCTGGATATTAGACCTTTGTTGGATGCATAGTTTGCAAATATTTTGCATTCTCATTCTGTAGGTTGTCTGTTTACTCTGTTGATAACTTCTTTTGCCATACAGAGCTCTTTAGTTTAATTAGGTCCCACTTGTCAATTGTTTTTTATTGCAATTGCTTTTGAGGACTTAGTCATAAATCCTTCTCAAGGCTGATGTCCAAAATGGTGTTTCCTAGGTGTATTTCTTGGATTCTCATAGTTTGAGGTCTTATATTCAAATTTTTAATTCATCTTAATGTTTGCATATATTGAGAGGTAAGGGTCCAGTTTCATTTTTCTGCATCTAGCTAACCAGCTATCCCAGCATTGTTTATTGAGCAGGGATTCCTTTCCCCATTGCTTAATTCTGTCAACTTTGTTGAAGATCAGATGGCTGTAGGTTTGCAGCCTTATGCCTGGGTTCCCTATTCTGTTTCATTGGTCTATGTTTCTGTTTCTGTACCAAGACCATGCTGTTTGGGTTACTGTAGTCTTATAATATAGTTTGAAATCAGGTAGTGTGATGTCACTGGCTTTGTTCCTGCTACTTAGGATTGCTTTGGCTATTTGGGCCCTTTTTTAGCTCCATGTAAATTTTAGAATAGTTTTTTCTAATTCTGTGAAAAGTGACATTTGTAGTTTGATTGAAATAGTGTTGCTTTGGGCAGTATGGCCATTTTAACAATACTGACTCTTCCAATTCATGAGCATAAAATATTTTTCCAGTTTTTTGTGTCATCTATGATTTCTTTCAGCAGTGTTTTATAGTTTTTCTTGTTGGTAGAGATCTTTCATCTCCTTGGCAGATGTATTGCTAGGTATTTATTTTTTGTGGCCATTGTAAAGGGGATTGTGTTCTTGATTTGGCTCTCAGTTTGAACACTACTGATGTATAGAAATGCTACTGAATTTTATATGGATTTTGTATCCTGAAACTTCACTGAAGTTGTTCATCAGTTCCAGGAAACTTTTCGTGAAGTCTTTAGAGTTTTCTAGATGTAGAATTGTTATTGTTAGCAAAGAGAGATAGTTTGACTTCTTTTCCTATTTGAATACCTTTCATTTCTTTCTCTTACCTGATTATTCCAGGTAGGACTTCCAGTAGTATGTTCAGTAGAAGTGGTGAGAGTGGGCATCCTTGTCTTGTATCAGTTCTCAAGAGGAATGCTTCCAGCTTTTGCCCATTCAGTATGATGTTGGCTGTGAGTTTGTCACAGCTGGCTCTTATTATTTTGAGGTATGTTTCTTTGATGTCTAGTTTGTTGAGGGTTTTTATTATAAAGCAATGTTGGATTTTATCAAAGGCTTTTTCTGTATCTATTAAGATGATCATATGGTTTTTTGGCAATGTTTTGGTATTTTGGTTTTCAAGAAACTTGCCATTTTATCCAAGTTATTGAATTTACTGGCACAACATTATTCATAATATAACCTTAATTATCTGATTTCTGTAGGATCTATAGTGATGCCACCCTTTTCATTCCAGATTTTGATCATTTGTGTTGTTTTTTCTTTAAAATTTAAATTTCAAAGATAGGTTACAGGACAGAGCAGATAGCAGAACAGAAAATGTATGTAAAATGTAGTACCTAAAAAAATTAAATAAGTAAAAATCTGACCAAATATGTACAATATCTACATAAGGAAAACTACAAAACTCTGATAAATAAAATCAAAGAACTAAATAAATATATATATACACATATATATTTTTAATGCAGTGCATAGAAATAAAGAGATGAGAAAACTGAAAGTGAGGCTAATAGAAATGTTAGGTTGAAGATCTTAAATAAGTCAAGTCAGAGTTTCATAAAATGAGAAGAGACAAATGATGAGAGAAAATATTTGAAAAGATAATATTTGATTTTTCAAGAATGAAATATTCAGATACATAGATGCAGTGAGCACAATGCATATAAAAGCAGGATAGCTAAAAGGAAACCCATAACTAGCACCATTAGAGTAAACTCCATAACACCAAGATAAAGTCTTTAAAGAAGCCTAAGAAATTTAAAGAAGTCGTCTATGTAGAAAATCCAAAATACTTGATTAAAAAAAACTAGAACAAAGTCTCAGGATACAAAATCAATGTGCAAAAATCACAAGCATTCCTATACACCAATAATAGACAGAGAGCCAAATCATGAGTGACCTCCCATTCACAATTACTACAAAAATAATAAAATACCTAGGAATACAACTTACAAGGGATGTGAAGGACCTCTTCAAGGAGAACTACAAACCACTGCTCAAGGAAATAAGAGAGGACACAAACAAATGGAAAAATATTCCATGCTCTTGGATGGGAAGAATCAGTATCATGAAAATGGCCATACTGCCCAAAATAATTTACAGATTCAATGCTATCCCCATCAAGCTACCATTGACTTTCTTCACAGAATTGGAAAAAACTACTTTAAATTACATATGGAACCAAAAAAGAGCCCTTATAGCCAAGACAATTCTAAACAAAAAGAACAAAGCTAGAGGCATCATGCTACCTGACTTCAAACTATACTATAAGGCTACAGTAACCAAAACAGCATGGTACTGGTACCAAAACAGATATATAGACCAATGGAACAGAACAGAGGCCTCAGAAATAATGCCACACATCTACAACCATCTGATCTTTGACAAATCTGACAAAAACAAGCAATGGGGAAAGGATTCCCTATTTAATAAATGATGTTGGGAAAACTGGCTAGTCATATGCAGAAAACTGAAACTGGACCCCTTCCTTACACCTTATACAAAAATTAACTCAAGATGGATGAAAGACTTAAACGTAAGACCCCAAACCATAAAAACCCCATAAGAAAACCTGGGCAATACCATTCAGGACACAGGCATGAGCAAAGACTTCACGACTAAAACACCAAAAGCAATGGCAACAAAAGCCAAAATTGACCAACGTGATCTAATCAAACTAAAGAGTTCCTGCACAGCAAAAGAAACTATCATCAGAGTGAACAGGCAACTTACAGAATAGGAGAAAACTTTGGCAATCTATCCATTTGACAAAGGGCTAATATCCAGAATCTACAAAGAACTTAAACAAATTTACAAGAAAAAAAACAACCCCATAAAAAAATGACCAAAGGATATGAACAGACACTTCTCAAAAGAAGACATTTATATGACCAAGAAACATATGAAAAAAAGCTCATCATCACTAGTCATTAGATAAATACAAATCAAAACCACAATTAGATACCATCTCATGCCAGTTAGAATGGCAATTATTAAAGTCAGGAAACAACAGGTGCTGGAGAGGATGTGGAGGAACAGGAATGCTTTTACAGTGTTGGTGGAACTGTCAATTAGTTCAATTCTTGTGGAAGACAGTGTGGCAATTCCTCAAGGATCTAGAACCAGAAATACCATTTGACCCAGCAATCTCATTACTGGGTATATACCCAAAGGATTATAAATCATTCTACTATAAAGATATATGCACACATGTTTACTGCAGCACTATTCACAATAGCAAAGACTTGGAACCAACTCAAATGCCCATCAATGATAGACTGGATAAAGAAAATGTGGCACATATACATCGTGGAATACTATGTGGCCACAAAAAAGGATGAGTTCATGTCCTTTGCAGGGACATGGATGAAGCTGGAAACCATCATTCTCAGCAAACTAACACAAGAACAGAAAACCAAACACTGCATGTTCTCACTCCTAAGTGGGAGTTGAACAATGAGAACACATGGATACAGGGAGGGGAACATCACACACCGGGGCCTGTCAAGGAATCAGGGGGCGGGTAGGGGAGGGATAGCATTAGGAGAAATACCTAATGTAGATGATGGGTTGATGGGCGCAGCAAACCACCATGTCATGTGTATACCTATGTAACAAACCTACACATTCTGCACATGTATCTCAGAACTTAAAGTTAAAAAAATCAAAATTCTGTCATTCATGACAACATAAGTGAACCTCAAAGACATTATGCTAAATAGAATAAGCTAAGCACAAGAAGACAAATATTGCATTATCTCATTTATATGTGGAATCTAAAAAAGTAGAACTCATAGAAGCAAGGAGTAGACCAGCAGCACCTGCTGGTTACCAGGTGCTGGAGTGGGAAGGGGAAATGGAGAGATGTTAGCCAAATGGTAAAAATTGCAGTTAAACAGGATAAATTCTGGAGGTCTATTATATAGCATGGTGACTAATTAATATCAATGTATTGTATATTTGACAATTACTGAGAGTAGATAGCAAATGTTCTTACCACAAATAAATGATAAGTATTTGAGGTGATAGACTAATTAGCTTGATTTAAACATTTCACAATATATACATATATCAAAACATCACTTTGTACCTTGTAAATATGTAAAAATTTTGTCAATTATAACTTAAAAAGGATAGGGGAAAAGAGCAATTGGGCATTATCTTGCAGAGTTAAGCATGCAAATGTCCTATAGCCCCAGAAAATTTCCAGAATCTTCATAGCAATGTCACTTGCATTAGCAAAATTCTAGAAGTGGAGAGGGGATAACTTGCAATACACTTACACTTCTGCTGTGTAGAATTCTGCTCAGCAGCGAAAGTGAAGTGAATGAACCAACCTCTATAAAAACATACACTGTATTTTACAATTCATATAACATTTAGCGATATATTGCATAGGGAAATATACACAAGTGGTAAAACTAAATGATAAGCAAAGGGATAATAAATACTACCCTTGAGTGGGAGGGCGAGAGTTGCAGGAAAGGCAATTGGGTTTCCCTGGCATCAGTAATGTTCTATCACTTAAGCTTTATTGTTAGTGCCCAGATACTCATTTCATTTTCATTTGTCCCACATATATGGAACAAACCATATGTAATATATATATATTCTTTTGTGTATATGAAATATTTCAGACAAAATGATGTTTGGAAGTCAATGAACCATAAGTCACGAAAACACAATGCTTCATGGTTATGAGGGAATTGAGTTATATTGAATAATAAGAGAAAAAACACTGAGCCAGAAGGAATAAAGGTGGTTTCAAGTTCTGACTCTGGCATATTCTATGTGATTCTAGTTAAATCATCAATAAGCCTTTGTTTATTAATTGAAATAATGGGGGAAATAATGTCTTTTAAAGTTATAGTAGGAAAAAAAATAAAATATATATATGGAAAATGCCCTGGAATCTGTAACAAACCATATACTATTGTAGATGAATACAATGACCCTAAAAGCAAACAGGTTATAATTTTTCTTCCAGTCCAAAGAACTGCGTGTCCATTGGCTGTATCCTTTTATTTGTCCCAATGCCCCTTCTTTCAAAAGTCATAAAATCACTCAGAAGCCATCTTTATTTTTCCCTCACCATGTGCAGAGGTGAGCCTCTGGGGCTCTCAGACCCAGCTGCCTTGCATTCACTTAGTTAGAAACTTAGGCATGCCTTCTTCCTGAGCTGTGCGTGTAACACCTTCTCAGACTTAGCCAGCTGAGGGGTGAACTGGACAAGACAGAAGAAGTGTGGTGACAGCCCCCCAAGCTGTCTAAATCAGTAAATAATAATCCCAACTCCAAGTGGGGGTATGAAACTTGTCCTGAGTGACTCCCCAAGGCATAAAGAGTCATAGATCCTATTGTTCATTAAAAAACATTAAAAGGCAGGACAGAAAACATGAAAATCCCAATAGAAGACTTTTGGTGGGAAACTGCTGTTATTCCCCTTGCTCAGGCAACTGCTGCCCCAATGACTCCAGGGTCTCGGCTCCCATCTGCCACTGGAGGTTAGATGGTTCATTCCTCCCTTCAAATGAAGTCCTTCTGTGCTCCTCTCTTGAAATCTGTGAATTATGGGGAGCTTGAGAACCACCCCCACCCCACCAGTCTCATGTTCCCAATCACATCAATCACATTTCTCTTGCCAAGGACATAACAAAAGACAATATCTACAGAGCCAGTAGGAATACAATAAAAATTGGCACCACATGTCACCCAGGATCTCTGCCTGTCTTTGAGGTGAGCTACAGAAAAATCCAAAAGGTCAATGCAGTCTTTTTAGAACTCTCTTTGCCCCTCACCCACAAGCCTGTTTTCCAAACACCTCCATGCAGGGAAACTCTTCACATGAAGGTGCTGCAAGCATCCCCACCATGTCTTGGCCTCTGAACACCATGTCCTCACTGGATTAGGAGGGCCTTGTAATTCCTACTATCAGTGATCCAAGCTGTATTATCTGGATATCTATGAAGATTAAAAGAGCCTCATCACCTTGCTACCAGCCATAGCAAGTCAGTGTGAAAGGCCAAAACTCAGACGTGAAGCCATCCCTTAAAAAACTTGGCTCTGGCCAGGCGCAGTGGCTCACACCTGTAATCCCAGCACTTTGGGAGGCTGCTGCAGGCAGATCACCTGAGGTCAGGAGTTCGAGACCAGCCTGACCAAACATGGAGAAACCCCATCTCTACTAAAAACACAAAATTAGCCAGGCATGGTGGCGCATGCCTGTAATCCCAGCTACTCGGGAGGCTGAGGCAGGAGAATCGCTTGAACCCAGGAAGTAGAGGTTGCAGTGAGCCAAGATCGCATCATTGCACTCCAGCCTGGGCAACAAGAGTGAAACTCCATCTCAAAAAAAAAAAAAAAAAAAAAAAAAAAACTTGGTTCTTACTGGCCTCCAAGCCTCTGTAATTGGATCTAATGAGGAATGATGACAATAGCTTAGCATCAAATAAAGAAAAAGGGATAACAAGGATGGAAATCAAATATCAAAAGGTTCACCGGACAAGGATAGGTAGACATAGGGTACTGACTAGGAGTCAGGGGCCTGGATTCTGGCCCTAATCTACCCCTCACTGTCTCTAGGTCTTGGTCAAGACTACCCTGGGGAGGCAGAGAGTGGGGGCGGGTGGGGGTGGCTTCATTTTAACTGCAAAGTGCTCCCTGAGAGCCTTTCTAGCCCAAGCACTCTACAGGTCTAACTCAAATGAAACCCAATGTTAGTTGCATTTGATTGCTTTCAGGAAGTAAAACTTAGAGAACTAGGATGCAGGAGATAAAAAATATAAAGGACAGGGTCATTTTATATACAACATAGGAAACAAGTGGGGTACAAATGAGTAAGTATTGAGAAACCAGAAATAATAAAACTATGAGATATAGGTGAAGTATTCCAAAAGGTCTTCCAGACAAAGTTTGAGAGTGTGCCTTAACAATAGGTCTGTTTGTGCTTTCCCCACCAAAATTAACAGAGCACTTAACTCATAGCAGAAACTTTAAGTTTATTGAATAGGTGAGACCAGGACTGAGAACATCTTCCAGAAATGGGTTTAAGATTTACACAACTGAAAACACCTGGCCAAAACATGGCAATTTGAAATATTATTGAGAAAGTTCTGAGAACCTTCCAAAAGTAAAAAGGAGATACTCCAAGAGGGGCCAAGTCAGTGGGGTAAGGTGACTGACCTCCAGTAAGGAAGATTGTGCAATGAAACTGTTACTGGCAGAAGATAGACCACACTGGGTTAGTTATTCACATTCCAACTCGGTTCCCTCAACACTTGTACAAGGCATTCATAACATAATACTTGACTTGAGAGGTATAATATATATGGTTGCACAACAACTTGTTATGAGGACATGAAATAACACATATAAAAATCATTTAAAAACTTAATTCCGTCTCAAAAAAAAAAAAAAAAAAACTTAAAGGTGGGCTATGTGCTACCTAGGCAAGGCAAAAAAAAAAAAAAAAATGTTTCCTTTGTAAGCATGCTCCTGGGAGGAAAACTTCTCCATTTGTTCATCAAATTCTCCTAATTAGTATATACTATGCAGCAGACATGATGCTGGATGTTACATATAATACTTTCAAATGTCAGCCACTTTACAGTTTGAAAAACTTACAGAGAATCTCAAGAGTAACTCAGTCTTTACAATATATTAAGCCCCCCAAAGCCATATGTACTCCTTTAATTCAAAGGCTGTCCAATCACAAATCAGAATTACCCTGTTTATTTTCTGTAGCATGTCACTAACAAGGCAAAAAAAAAAAAAAAGGATTTAAAAAATCCTTTATTTAGGAAGAACATCCATCTTGAATGGGAATATGGCATTATCACCAAACATGAAACAAAGCAAATCAGCAAACCAAATGAAGACAAGAGAGAAAGTTGACAATAAGAAGCAATAGGGAAAGACTCCATATTCAATAAACGGTGCTGGGATAGCTGGTTAGCCATATGCAAAAGATTGAAACTGGACCCCTTCCTTTCACCATACACAAAAAACAACTCAAAATGGATTAAAGACTTAAATGAAAAACTTAAAACTATGAAAACCCTAGGAGAAAACCTAGGAAATACCATTCTGGACATTGGCCTTGGCAAAGATTTCATGATGTAGACTCTAAAAGCAATTGCAACAAAAACAAAAATTGACAAGTAGGACCTAATTAAATGAAAGAGCTTCTGCACAGCAAAAGAAACTAACAAAAGAATAAACAGACAACCTACAGAGTGGGAGAAAATATTTGCAATCTATGTATCCAACAAAGATCTAATATCCAGAATCTATAAGAAACTTAAATCAACAGTGAAAACCAAACAAGCCCTTTAAAAATGGACAAAAGACATGAACAAGCACTCCTCAAAAGAAGACATACACATGGCCAACAAAGCATATGAAAAAATGTTCAACATCACTAATCATTAGAGAAACGCAAATCAAAACCACAATGAGATACCATCTCACACCAGTCATAATGGCCATTATTAAAAGTCAAAAAATAAGAGATTTGACAAAGTTGCAGAGAAAAGGGAACGCGTATACACTGTTGATGAGAATGTAAATCAGTTCAGCCACTGTGGAAAGCAGTTTGGAGATTTCTCAAAGAATTTAAAACAGAACTACCATTTGACCTAGCAAACCTGATCAAGTCATTGTCATATTTCCCCTAGAACCTGGCCTGAAGGAGCAATCTGTATATATACCCAAAGGAATATAAATTGTTCTACGATAAAAACACAGGCATACATATGTTCATTGCAGCACTATTTACAACAGGAAAGACATGAAATCAACCTAGATGCCCATCAACAGTGGACTGCATAAAGAAATTGTGGTGCATATACACCATGGAATAGTATGCAGACACAAAAAAGAATGAAATCATGTCCTTTGCAGCAACATGTTGCAGTTGGAGGACATTATCCTAAGTGACTTCATGCAGAAACAGAAAACCAAATACTGCATGTTCTCATTTATAAGAGGGAACTAAACATTGAGTACACATGGACAGAAATAGGTTAACAATAGATATCAGGGCCAACTTGAGGATGAAGATCAGAGGAGAGTGAGGAATGATAAACTCCCTATTGGGTACTATGGTCACTATCTGGGTGATGAAATCATTTGTACACCAAACCTCAGTGACATGCAATTTACCTATGTAACAAACTTGCACACGTACCTCCTTGAACCTAAAATAAAAGAAGAAAGAAATAAAATCTGATCTTAAAAAAGTCTCTTAAACCCAAGCATAAGAGCATGGAACACAATGCTGCAGGAGACTGAAAAACTGTAAGCTAAATGCAATTCAGTAGTAAGTGACTGAGAACAAAAATCAGAAGTTCCAACTCTTCCACTGCCTGTTGTTGAACCTGTGGGAACTGGTTCTTTTCCAATAATTCAGACAAGAATTCTATCCAGTGCCATTGCATAAAGTGCCACTTGCTAGACTGGAAAATGCAAAGATGCATAAGATGCATAAGATGCCCTTGCTGTACTCAAGTCAATCTTATCTACCAAGGAGCCAGACAAGTAAACCAATATAAAACGTCATATGCCATAAATGGGACATGGATAACATAGGGAGGGGAGGGGCTCCAATTCTATGGAAGGAACTGGGGAAGGTATTCATGGAAGAGGACACTGCATGTTAAAGGACAAGTAGAGATCAATGGCAACACCAGTGATATGGTTTGGATCTGTGTTCCCGCCCAAATCTCATGTCAAGCTGTAATCCCCAACACTGGAGGTGGGGCCTGGTGGAAGGTGACCGGATCATGGAGGTACTTCTCATGAATGATTTAGCAGCATCCCCTCGGTGCTGCTCTTGTGATAGTAAGTTCTCATGAGATCTGGTTGTTTAAAAGTGTGTAGCACCTCCCCACTCACTCACTCTCTTCCTACTGCTCCTGCCATGTAAGACGTGCCAGCTCCTGCTTTAACTTCTGCCACAATTGTAAGTTTCTTGAGGCCTCCCCAGAAGTTCAGCAGATACCAGAATCATGCTTACTGCACAGTCTGCGGAACCATATGCCAATTAAACCTCTTTTCTACATAAACTACCCAGTCTCGGGTATTTTTTTATAGCAATGTGAGAACAGACTAATACAACCAGCCATTGAGGAAATATAGGCTGGAGGGTGGGATTTGCTGGGAGGGACAATGAGAGTTCAGAGGTGGCCATACTGAGTCTGAGATGCCAGCAACCAGCTTGGCGGGAATGTCTCACCCTTCTTGGTCCTCCGGTTTCCTCACCTGTGATAAGCAAAACTGACAAGAAGATAGTCAGCATTCCTTCTAGTTAGAGCATCTTGGAGGGTCAGTTTTTATCATCAAGTCCTAAATGTACTTAAAAGTATTGTGTATCCCATCCTCTTTGGAAGGAAGCTAAGAAAAATCTGACAAAGTCAACTGAACTATGGTCACACGGGGTCCCAGTGTCAGACCTTGACCAGGCAAGAGGCACTCCAAAGGGCAAGGGTCTATACCCACTATGGGGTCATCGTTAATCGGATAGTCATTAACGCTGCTCACATAATACTTTTGGCTCCCAGCCTTCTTGGCCCCCAACATTGGATGTGGCCACATGACCAGTTCTGGCAAATACATTTAAGGGCAAATATTGCATTGCCAGGGTAAGGACCTCCAGAGCTTCTCTTTCCCCTTTCACAGTTATAGAAAGTGTGGCTGAAGAGAAGTAGGCAAGAGAGTAGGAAGTGATGAGGTCAGAGAGAAGCTGCTTCCCCATCCCTGGTTGTAGAGGAAGAAAATGACTTGCCCAAAGCCCCCAGCCAACCAGATGATAGGCACAGAACACAGCAAAAAATAAAGGCAACCCTGTGAGGTAGGTATCATTATCTCCCTTTTATAGATTGAAAAACAGAGTCAATGAAGTTAAATAACTTACTCACAGCTGGTAGGTGGTAGACCAGCATTCAGATCCTTGTCTGGTTCTGTTCAAATACAACCCCATTCCCCCAATGACTTGATGTGATTTACTTCATTCTGTGGGTTGTAGGAAATAGTCTAAGGTTTTTACATAAGGGAGTAACATGATTAGGTCTATTTTTAGGAAAATAGCTATGTTTTTGCCAAAAACTAAAGAGGAGGAAGGGACACCATTTGGTAGGCTATGGCAGAAACCTGGGTGTGACAGGATCAAGGATACTGGAAATAAACAGGAGGATGGGGAGAGCAACAGACATTTCACAGAATAAAAGGGAATTTGCAGACCAGATAAGGATGCTCCAGGAATTCCAGAGGCCCCCCAAGATGGCCAAGTGGGTTTTTGGTAGGGGAAATTAATTTGGTTTGTGGGATGCTAAGCTTGAAGTACTTCATTTGAATCTACCACACAGTTGAAAATACGGCTTTGCAGCACAGGAGAGGCAGAAGTTGGGGACATGGATCTGAGGGTCACAAGGACACAGAAGGCTTAGAGCAGTGGTAGGCAATCACGCTCAGAACAGCTCCCTGTGGAGAACCACCCAGAACCCAGAGAAAAAGAACACATCCAGTTCTCCTCAACTGTTCTTCACCCTTGAGGGGAGGCACGGCCACGTGACTCATTTCCTAATGAAACGTCAGTAGAACTGTCACACACCGCCCTAAAGCATTTAACTGACAGTGCTCCCTCTGCAGCCTTTCCCTTCTTCCAGGGCGACTGCACGGGTACTTGTTGAAAAGGTAGCATTGGCAGACAATGGAGTATTCCTCAGCCTGAGTCCCTGTGTGACACCTGGGAAGCAACTCTGACCTAGCACCTATGGCAACAGGGCTGAAGGTTTCTCCTACTGATGCTGGGAGGGAGTGGTCAGACACATAGGAAGTGAGAAATGAGAAATCTAGGGGAGAAGGAAGGTCTCAAGGAACTGGCCAACGTTTTCAAGCGCCCCAAGGAGGTGAAAGAGCTTCAAGGCTGAGAGACCACTGACTGGGAACACAGAGGATAACTGAGGACAGGGATGGGGTGTGGTGAAGTGTGCTGCTGCGTGGACCGATGTCTGGCAAGATGTAAAAAGCACTCTCGGGAGGTTTTCCCTTTTTGGCTCTTCGTTTCCGGAGGCAGGGCGTGTGAGAAGCAGGGTGGGCTGGGCTGGTCGGCATGTGCATGAGAGAACATGTGCGGGTGGAACACACAGTTCTTGACTTTCCCGGCCCTGTGGGTTGGCAGCCTACACGCTGCTCACTGTGGCAGTTTTCACTCACTCAGGCCCATGTGGTTGTCACATCATTGGCTTGTGCTCTCACCCCAGATCACATCCTTCACCCTAATGGTTGGAGGCTCATGCATCATAGCACGTCAGACCTGGCTCCTTGAAAGTGCCTAGCCACTGTCACAAGAAGGACATAGGAACCACACTAACAGCCCATTCTCTGCCCAGGGAATACCTCTAGTGACATCTCCCAAATGCCCATTTTGATTCCCCTCATTCACTGCTTCCCTTCCACCCACTGGTTTCTCCTGGGTCTTGACTCTTGCTCTCTGTCTAGCTGCTGAGATTGGGGACTCTTTTTTTTTTTTTTTTTTTTTTTTTTTTTGAGACAAGGTCTCACTCTGTCATGCAGGCTGGACTTCAGTGATGCAACCACTGCAGCCTTGAACTCCTGGGCTCAAGCAACCTGCCTGTCTCAGCCTCCCGAGTAGCTAGGACTATAGGTACACACCACCATGCTCTGCTAATATTTTTTATTTTTAAAGTTTGTTGTCAAAATGAGGTTCCACAATGTTGCCCAGTCTGCTCAAGTGATTCTCCCCGCTCAGCCTCCCAAAGCACTGGAATTACAGGTGGACTTAACTTTAGAAGATCAGCCTCACCCGGACTTTGATGCCCTTCTGAACATGGATTTGTCAATTCTGCACACTTCTATGGCAAGTAACAGGTTGCCTGCCTGCCCTATGTTCCCAGGCCACTGTCCAGCCTGGCCTGCTGTTAGCCCAGCCACTGACAGGAGGAGGACAAAGATCTCAGAATCCCATCACTGCAGTGCCATCCTGATGGGTAATATGCCTTGTGAGTGTGGCCTCTCTGTCCTCCTGAGACCAAGCCAGCTCTAAGGACACTGGAAGTAACCGTTTGTGAAAGGATACCTTGTGGCCCATTTCCCTCTTTCACGTGTTTACATGGAGCTCCCTGGCATTATGTCCTTATCTGCCCCCTGGCTGCCCAGGAGCTCTGGCCCGAGTTTGCCTTCTTCTAATAGGACCTTTGCTCTGTGCATTTTCCGAGGGGCAGCAGAGTGTAGGACAAAGCACGTGAGCTTTGGATTAAGAGAGACCCAAGTGAAAAATCCTAGTCCCCAATTTACTAACTGGGGATCCTTGGGGAAGTATGCAAGGCTCCTGCAGTTCACATTCCACCATGGGTAATATGGAGAAACACAGCCTGTCATACTGAATTGTTGTAAGGAAGAGATAATATACAAAACCTAGCACATTGTAGTTATCCAATACATTTTGTTAACTTTCCGGCTATTCTTTTCCAGATTTCTTCATCGTTTACAACTCTACTCCCTATCTATTAAAATGACTCTGTCCTGTCTGAGTACCTCTCTCCTGGGACTCTGTCATCCTTAGGTGCCAGTAAGTGCGTCATGCAAAGGTGTGAAAGACCATGAGGAAGAAAATGTGGAACTTTCACCAGATATCATATTTGTAGTTATCTAGAGGCTCTTAAAAAGCCTTAACTCAAAGATAAAAATGAATAATAGAAAATTCATGTTTCACAGGAGGCTAGTTTAAGAGGTTCTTAATAGTTATGTGTTACTGAACATCTCTTATGTGCCAGGCACTGTGCTAAGTTCTTTGTATTCATTACATCATTTAATCAACAAAAACTCCATGAAATATTATGATCCCCACTTTCCAGGTGGAGAAACTAAGTCTGAGAAAGGTTAGAAAATGTGCCCAAGGTGACACAGCTAATTAAATGAAGAATGAGGATTTGAGCCCCGTAATCCAAAACAATGCTAAATTGCCTCCCTCTTTTCCTAAGAGGTCCTTCCAAAACCTTCAAATCAGGGTTGTTTTTGTATGTCTGTATTTACCCCAGCCTTTTCAAATCCTAATACCAGTATTCAGTGTGTCCTTGTTAGTTCAGTATGTCCTTGTTAGATACATACATGTTAGATAGATGTGCAGCAATACAATAAGAAAAGTTCTAACAGGCGGTTAACACTTTATAAACAGTACCTGTTTTATTATCATTATTGTTATTATATATAGCCCATTGCTACTGCTCCCAGACAGTGGTGCCTTTTCAGGTGAATGGTGACTTTGTTTCTGATTTCTCATTTATCTAGAAGATAACAACAAAAAAGCTCTTTTAAAAAAATAACATGCATCCTGATATCCAATCTCAAAGCCATGGTCTGGGTAGAATAAACACTCTCTCAGTCCTCTTTTAGAGACAGCCTATCCTAACTTCTGTGCTGGGCAAGTCTGCCACAGTTCAGAGTGGCTGGCAGAGGGGCACCACTAGAGCCCTCATGCTGGGGCCACTCAGAGTTCCTAGAAGATTAAAGTTGAAGAGGCAGCAGAGAACCCAGACAAGCAAGTGTCCTCATCCACAGAACAGGCCTGCAAGCTAATCTTCCCCAAATACTATGTCCCGCATGGTCATCCTGCCCCCTCCATCCAGCACCCACAGTAACTCTCCTGCCTTAATTCCCTCTGCTGTGAGGTCCTCCATGATCTAACCAGACCTAACTAAACCAATGATGTTCCCACCACTCTCATATTCAATATCGTTTTTATCCCACAAATAAATTAGGGCCTGCCTCAAAGTTGGGGATCATCCTGTTATTCCTAAAACTTCTCCCCCAAAACCCACTCTATGACACCCCTGGGCTTATATAAGTTCCAGCTACCTTTCAAAGCCCTGTTCAAATCTCACCTCTTCTACAAAACTGCTCTTACATGATAGAAACCACAGTGGTATCTCCAGCCCAGAATGCCTATTTCAGGGATCACCCATATGAAAAGATGTGGCAGGTTTCAGCTTTCTGTGGGAGGAAATAAGCCCCCAAGACAAAGGACCAGGTTTCATACTTCTTTTGAATTCTCCTGTGTTTGGTGATCAGGAAATTGCACACTAGCCAAGTGTACTATGAACATAATTTGTGTTTTGTGACTACTCTTTTCCAACTGACCTGCGATATAAATATCTAAGGTGCTAGAATTGCTGGATGTCTTGAAGGTGACAAAAATCACATCTGAGATTGTATTGTATCATTTAAAATTACATGTTTAAAGGGGGAAAAGACTTTCTAATCATGTATAGCAGTGCTGTGGGGATCAGTATACAATTTTCCTTTTATTCCCCTCCTGATTATGAAACCAGCTGAGACACGGGACATACTGGAGTTAGATAAATAAAGACAAAAAATAATCAGTTTCATTTCTGATAAAGCAAGTTGGAGAACATGACTTTAGATCTATCATCTATCTTCTAGATCTATCCTGAGTGTATACCCCAGAATTTTGAACCATCCAGTCATAGGAACAACCACAGAAGCCCAGTCCTACCCTATTACAGGGCACTGTCCCAGAAGCTACAAGCAAAAGGGAGTAGAGAAGATACGTTCCTGGAGGGCCGGCCAGTTCTAAAGAGGAGGAAGAAGCTGAGAGGAGCACAGCCAGTTCTTCTAAATCCATCTATTACAGTTCAGGAGGAATGAGCAAAGGATGATGACAAAGGCCTAAAAAGTGTTTTCTGGAGGAAGTTCTTCCACCAAGAAATATAACAGAGAAAAGGAGGTTCCCCTCACTGACTAATGGTTCTAAACTATAGGAAGCATTATGCAAATATTAACTACTTAAGTGGTTAACATCTGAAAGAAGCTAAAAACTTAATAGATTTAATCTTTGCTGATACACAGAACTCACACAATGATTTGCTTATTTCACTGAGAATTGCTGTCCTCCATAGGGGATATTAGTTCACTTATACATCATCCACTCAACTTGACATGTATTGCCAAACAGCTATTCGTTGGAGTCTAGCCGGAGCACATATATACTAAGGAGGGCTTCATGCTTCAGCTGGAACTAAGCACTCATTCATTCAACATATATTAATTACTGTGTGCCAGACACAGAGCTTGGTGGTAGAGACATCATAATGTACACCCTAGATAGTCTCGTGGGCAACAATATCAAACAAGCACAAGGGGGCAGCAGGATCCCCACATTCAACCAGTTCTCAGAACAAGTGCCTTAACTGATGGATTGGCTCAGATGCTGTTAAACACCGATTATATTATGGAAACATATGTAGTGCAACGTCCTGGCCATTATAATGAGGAAAACATGAACACGACTTGAACCAGGACAAGGGATACCAAGGGATATCTTCATTAAAATACACTTTTAATAATAAATAATTCTAAGATGCTGTGGGTGCATTTCCAATTTGAGTATGGTGGGCAAAAACATCATTACCTACAAATCCTTCTTGGCTTTCACATTCTGCACTTCTCAATGCTTCCTTCTTTTGTATAAGCCTCGCACAGCTCTGGGACACTTTGCTGGGGAGAAGAGCCTTATAGTTCTAACGAGTGCCCAATAATGGGGATTTTACATTCTATACCATGGTGGTAAGAGTGACACAGCACACACTGTCGCTTGGGCTACAGTGAAATTCATTGAAAAGAGTAAAGCTGAGCTATAAGAAAGGGCGGGTGGGAGGGAGGAAAGGGAGGAGAAACGGAGCAGGAAGACAGCCTGGCTTGCAATGGGTTCTCAAGCACAATGCACTTCACACACAATGCATGAGGTCTTTTTTGTCAAAATCCCTTAGCTGCGCATTGTCCAGAGCCCGGGAGGCTGCAAAGGCATTCCAACCCCTGACGGCAATCCCGCAGGCTCTGCCCAGGTCAGCCAGGAGCAAGCAGCTTTGACACTCCCAACACACAGAGGGTGACAAGAAGGGCTCACAGCCTCTTCAGATGTATCCTTTGCTTCATGATCACTGTTTTATTATTTTTATTATTTTAATTCTTTCCCTTTTGAGCTTCTCTGCCTTCCCATGCAAAACTGGTTCAGAGATGCCACTTTTGGAGCTCATTATGTTGTCATGGCAACTAGAATTTTCAAAGTTTATTTCTCCTCCTCTTCTCTCCTCCATGAACTCTCCTTCCCCATCCCCTTCTCTTAACACATATACGTTTTGCATAAGAAACAAAACATGGAAGAAAATAAGACCTATAGCAGCACCATCAGGTAAATTTTTTCTCACACGCTATTTTCTCACACGCTCTTAGCACAGCATGTCCCTACTGGGTACGTGAAATTACCCCTGTTCCCACTGTCTCCAATTAATATTCTTAGACTCCCAGTCACCCATGATGTTTCGGAGCAAGGCCTTGGGTAGCAGCCATCAGCTGTGCCTCCTCCTCTTTTCCTCCTCCTCTCTTCCTGCAGAGAGAAGCAGATATATTCCTTCCTGCTTATATAAACCACGAACATGCTGTGTCTTATTTGTCATTTGTTAGTCCCTGAAAACAACAACAACTGTGGATGAGGGAAAGTGAAAACACCTCAGATGCACTTCACAGGGGATCTCTCTGGAGACTGGAGGAATTACAGTTGGCAAAACAAAAGGAAAGGAAATCCCCAAAGAAAATTTGCTAAATTGATTGTTTAATTATAACACTAACCTTTGCTATCAAAGACCAGGTGAGACAGAGAGGGAAAAGGAATCGAAACAGGAATGAGAGAGCCTGAACTTCCACACTGAACATAAGCCACCTAAGAAAGGCAGTCACCCTGCCACCTGGGGGACACTCATGCCCTGGCACGCTGAGCTGGCACCTGCAGGTGAAATGCTTGTTTGGTCCACAGAGCTGCTAGAGGGGTGGCACTCTGCAGACCTCTGCTCTCTCTGTGCTGGGGTGTAGAGAGAGACTTGAGAGAGATGGTCAGGTCAAGCCTGTGGCAGAGTCCCTCTGTCCCCCTGAGAGCCCACACCCCTGCTGCACTGCCCTCGCAGGAAGAGGTCAGATAACTGGCCCAGAAAACATGGGAATTCGCAGCTGAGGGGGCATGGAACATTCAGATGAGGCCTGGTCCATATTAGGGGGACTGTGTCCAGGGGCTCTAAGACAGAATGACCCTCTGGCTACTGAGATCCAGTATTTTTAATTTATGGGTCTACTGAATTTAAGATTAAACTCTGTGACATCAGACATGATCAATGAGTATTTTAATTGAGACTCTGCTTATTCTTTTTTTTTTTTTTTTTTTTTTTTTTGAGATGGAGTCTTGCTCTGTCACCCACACTGGAGTGCACAGTGGCGCGATCTCGGCTCACTGCAAGCTCCGCCTCCCAGGTTCACGCCATTCTGCTGCCTCAGCCTCCCCAGCAGCTGGGACTAGAGGCGCACGCTGCCATGCCTGGCTAATTTTTTTTTTTTTTTTTTTTGTATTTTTAGTAGAGACGGGGTTTTACCGTGTTAGCCAGGATGGTCTCGATCTCCTGACCTCGTGATCCGCCCGCCTTGGCCTCTCAAGGTGCTAGGATTATAGGCATGAGCCACCGCGCCCAGCCCTCTGCTTACTTATTCTATCATTTATCATTGGTAGCATAAGGAGAGCCCCAACTGCTTAGGTCATAAAAGCTCCAGACTCTTGTATTGCCTAAATTGGCCCTAACAGGATTAGCTGTGTGGCTGGGGAACTGAACAATAATAACGGGAACATGGTACTCTACACTGAGGAGCAGGGTGAAGGGCAGCAAGGCTGTGCAGGACAAATGCACGCTGGGAGCTGGGATAAAATAAAATGGTGGTTATATTGAGGAGAAAGAGGCAACGAACGAGAGCTGGCAGAGCGGGTGTTGGGGTGTGCACTGCTGGGTGGGGTTGGGAGGAGGAAACTGTGTTTCAGGAGAGGGGTGGGGTCATGTCGACTGTAATTTCCAGGACTCTAGCTGCCATGTGGGTTGGGACAGGAATGTCCTGCCCAGCCCATGGCTTCCATCCGCTGGCCCTATAAGGGATGTCCTCTTTCTGGGCAGTGGACCATCTGCTCTCCGGCTCACTCTAGTCCTGAATTCTGTTGTCACTCTGCTTCTTCTAACTCACTCACCTTGGAAAAGCTGTTCCTGGCACATAGTAGGTGCTCCACAAATGTTGAATGAATGATCTACTCCTTGAATGTGGAGCAAGAGCATATGCTCTGGATGCCACCCCATATCCCCTCGGGCCACCTCTGGGTTCTGCAGCTGCAGTGGACAGGACTTAAACACTCACACAGGTATGTGACAGTGCCCACTTTGAGTGCTTACATCTTCCTGCTTCTCCACCTACGGAATTTCTCCAGGCACTGTTAAGTCCACAAACAGGGCAGCCCCAAAGTGTCATCACTCAAGGATGGACAGGGATTGATGGATGGGGGAAAAATACACACACACACACACACACATACTCATATACATACATACATAAACATACAGATACATGTATCTATGTCCCAGTTTCCCAGTTGCTTGGTGGAGCAGGGCTGAGGTACGTTCTACATGGTTCCTTCTAGGGTTCCCAGTGGATTAAGCCTCAGCAGTTCATACTGACAACCCTCTCAATTAACACATAACTCTTTGGCTTTTTCCCCTTCTCTGCCTCAATTTTCTCACTTGCTCCCTTTTGCAGCCAATTCTTTTCTTGGGGTCGTCTTTCAGGGAACCCAGGCCAAAACCCCATACGTGAGCTAGTTAAGTCCAACAAATAACTCCTCCCTGACCGAAGGACAGGGAAGAGAAAAGGGGAACATTAAACTAAGGGACAGCAAAGGTGCATGATCTCAAATACAAATGCCACCAACTTCTCAAATTTTGCCAGGAGAAAACCTTGACCAGGTTTGAAAGACTATATGGATAAGAAATGCCTAGAAAGCAGGGAAAATGTTTGCATTGTCTGTGAACATGACCAGCACAGCGCAACCTTGCAATAGGTATCTGCTACTGTTTCTGAGGGTAGTGCAGAGGAAAGGGGGCCAGAAATGAATGACTGAAGGAAGACCTTCCTCTCTGGAGCCAGACAGTCTGGGATACAACTTGGCCTTGGCCTCGAGGTTCCCTCTGACCACTTTAGGTCCTTTCTTCCCTCCTATTCATAGGTGTTTACAGAGGGAATTTAGAAGGTGAAGATATCAATAAAAGCACAGTCTTGGTTTCCAGATCATTACCTTTGGAAGAAATATTAAGTTACTTAATCCACTAGGGCAACTTTCCCCACTAGTTAATGCAAAGACATCCTTTTTTTCAA
Organism: Homo sapiens; assembly: GCF_000001405.40. NCBI lineage: Eukaryota > Metazoa > Chordata > Mammalia > Primates > Hominidae > Homo > Homo sapiens. The sequence continues at coordinate 181,672,383 of NC_000001.11, read as the reverse complement.
AAGTTACTTTATTTTAGGTTTGGGGTACATGTACAGGTTAACTCATGTCACAGGCATTTGTTGTACAGATTATTTCATCACCCAGGTATTAAACTTAGTACCCAATAGTTATGTTTTTTGCTCCTCTCCCTCCTCCCACCCTCCACACTCAAGTAGACCCCACTGTCTGTTGTTCTCCTCTTTGTGCTCATGAATTCTCATCATTTAGCTCCCACTTATAACTGAGAACTTGAGGTATTTGGTTTTCTCTTCCTGCGTTAGTTTGCTAAGGATAACGGCCTCCAGCTTCATCCATGTTATTGTAAATGACATAATCTTGTTCTTTTTTATGGCTGCATAATATTCCATGAGTATATGTACCACATTTTCTTTATCCAATCTGTCACTGATGAGCATTTAAGTTGATTCCATGTCTTTGCTATTGTAAATAGTGCTGCGGTGAACATTCACATGCATGTGTCTTTACAGTAGAATGATTTATATTCCTCTAGGTATATACCCAGTAATGGGAATGCTGGGTCAAATGGTAGTTCTGCTTTTAGCTCACAAAGGCATCCTTTTTAACACCCCTGAGTGAAGAATGAAGCCTTCCACACAAGTTAATTATGCATTCAAGGTCCTATTGCTCCGGTTTTTGTTTGTTTGTTTGTTTGTTTAGCCCAGTTGGTTGGTAAATCACATCTTCAGAGTAACTGACACTGGCCACTAGAGAAACACAAGCATCATTTCTCCTGTAGGGAAATAGTGTGGGAGCCGTTATGTCAGGTGAGGGAAGCATATCCATAGAATCACACGGGGTCAGATCAATGCAGGCTGTAGAAGTCTGGCAGCAATTCTCTCAAGTCTGATTGTTTTTTCTTTCTAAGACAGGAATCAAAGTTGCTATCCAAAGCCTGCTCATTTTCTTCATAACATTTCCCATTATTTGTGTTATTTGCTTGCTTGTTTTCTGTCTCAGCCATGAGAAAAATAAAGTTCATAAGAGCAAGGGACTGCATCTTCTTGTTCACTATCAAACTCAGAGTGCCTGACATATTGGTGCTTAACAAATGTTTGGTGGCTGGACGCAGTAGATCACGCCTGTAATCCCAGCACTTTGGGAGGCCAAGGCAGGAAGATTGCTTGAGCTGAGGAGTTTGAGACCAGCCTGGGCAACAAAGTGAGATCCCACCTCTACAAAAAATTAGCCAGGTGTGGTGATATGCACCTGTAGTCCCAGCTACTGGGAAGGTTGAGGTGGGAGAATCCCTTAAACCTGGGAGGTCGAGGCTACAGTGAGCTATGACTGCACCGCTGCACTCCAGCATGGGTGACAGAGCAAGACCGTGTCTCAATAATAACAATAATAATAAATGAATAAATGTTTGTGATTAGATATTTTAGTAAGTGATCAAAGAAGTATTTCTCCCCCTTACCACCTTTTACTTTAAAAAATTAGTCTGTACCTTCCTCCTTCAGCTCTTGCTCACTAAGGTATTAATTGCTCATAATTAGATCATCCCTTCCTCATATTATATTTGGTCACTGGGTACCTTGATCTAAATAGAACATACAATGTGAAAACACAGGGACAAGAGGATGGAGGAGAAACTTCTCTGTGAACAGCACAAAAGGTAGTGGGGTGGGGGCATGGGGAAGGGAAGTCATGTCCTACTTTAATGCCATTTCAGTCAACTCTGCCGAGGGTGGGGAGGCCTCTTTTGGTCTGGTCAGCTTCAGCCTGAGGACGTGTCAGCTGCTAAAAAGATTAGCTATCAAGTTGAGTCTAATATAGGTAAGAATATGTGGCCCCTTTAACAGGTTTTGGGGCTCCTCCAGTTGCCCCAAATGCCCTCAAATGCCATTCATTTCCTGGGTTCTCTGTGGAACACGGCATCTCAGTGCTCTCTTGCATAGTAGAGTTAGCTTCTTCAACAGGAAAGAGTAATTTCAATATTTTGCTAAATGAAGAATATTTTGGGACACAACGATAATTAAGTGTTGAGAATGTAGTGATACACTTGACACCAAGGGGAAAATAACTTTTAATTCAACTACAACTCTAACAGCTTCTCAACTTAACAGCTAGAAATGCCAAGCACCCAGTATATAACCAAATTGTAAAGACTCTGATTATCAGCCGGGGAAATTGGGAGGTATTATTTCAGCCACCTCAGTGTATACGTGTCTGCAAGTGCACAGAAAACATGTCTAATTATAGGGCCTCGACTATGGACTATAACCTCAGAATGATGTGGGGCTCTAATGTTATTACAAATTTCCATGTGGCAAAGCCAATTATTATGAGGTTCTATAGACCAGAAAAAGAGACAAGTTTAAACAAAAACATATTTTTTTCTAATCTGGAAAAGCCCAAGATTTTGGTATCAAAGCTATAGTGAAGTGAATGTAGGAGATAAATTATCATGGGGAGAGGGAAAACCATTCAAAAGGCCTTCACAACAGCAACAATTACACTGGGATCATGTCCATCATGCTGATAACAAATATTCCCTCTTTCTCGATGTAATGGAGACGTTCTTGGAGTGGCACACTTCTTGGAGTCCTACTACAAGTGCCTTGTGCTCTGCTCTTCAGCTAATATTAAACTTGGGTTTCAGGGGAATTATGCACACTGAAAACAATGCTCAAAATCTCAGGAAAATTTCTGATGAATACAGACATCACAAACAGGAAGTTGGCCTTTGATTTGTTCACTTGAGGCCATTTACTGGGAGCTTACTGTGTGCTTGTTAATTATGCTTGCTAAATGCTGGGGAAAAGAAAGTGAACTCACCATGATGCCCTTCTTCGTAATCCTGTGAAAGGGACAAAGACCTCCACAAATAACTATAAAATAACGTAACGAGTGCTCTAATAGAGGAGTATATATAGTGCAATGGGAACCCAGATGAAGAAACTTGACCTGGAAGGATGAGTCAGAGTTCCCCAGTCAAATACAGCAGTGG